>NC_000016.10:52744318-53047348 GCF_000001405.40 Homo sapiens
GGCTCTCTGGGGGTGAAGGAAAAAAAAAGCCCTGATTTGTAGTATTGGCTGATTTCAGTGTTGTAAATGCTCCTGCCACCAATGTGATGTCACTGAATGTGGAGGTGGGAAGAGTTGTGTACAACGGGTTCTTCCAGGCAGCACACCATTGCACCATTGACTTATACATAATGAGACAATGTATGTGAAGGCATTTCTTCAACTTTGTACATGTGAGTTTGCTCTGTTAATCAATCCTTTTTCTGCTTTTGGTCCTTATTGTGTTTAATAGAATGGTGAAACATGAGATCAATATTCTAAATAATTATACAGACAAGCCAACTACACTCACCAAGTAGGGCTGAACACCAAGTGAGGGAAGACCCCTCCACAGCACTGTCTGCTGTGCACGACGTTGTCTAGTTTCTTTAGAATGATGCCATCATCATAGCAACTACCATTTTAAGGGACTTACTATATTCCATGACCTGTGTCAGATGCTTTAAATACATGATTCCATTTTATCCTCACAACAGCTTTGTGAGATTGGAATTGTAACCCCCAATTTACAGATAAAGAAATTGAGGCTCAGGGAAGTACATAGCATGCTCTTATTCCACCATACTAAGTGACAAAGCCAGGATTCAACCCTAGTCTGTGTGATGCCAAAGCTCACCCTAAGGCACCACACTTAACTGTCATGACTCTTTTTAAGTTGCAATGTCATTTTAATTTTGACTCTTGGTGCCAATAGGCAACATATCATAGTAGCTAAGAATATAGACTTATAAAATCAGACCAGGCTCAAATGCTACTCTGATACTTACCAGCCTTATGACCTCAGGCAAGTTCCTTAATCTCTCTGTGCTTCAGTTTCGTCACCTATAAAATCGGGATAATTATGGCGCCTGCTATGGTGCCTGCTTTATAAGAATTAAATGACTTAGTATGTACAAAATATTTAGAACAGTGTCTGGCACATAGCAAATTCTATGTCAATGTTTATTAAATGAAAATAAAGTTCTTTCAGATGAGGCAGGAGTTTGCTTGTGTTTCAAGACAGAAATGGTGTGAAAGCCACACTTAGATACAAGAGCTAACCTGCCTGATTGACTCTCCAGAAAAGGTCCAGGCAGATGAAATCAAGCAATATCAGGACCAAATGCAGAAAAATACCAGGTCTAGCTTTTCCTGGAACAGGTGCTTTGCACACTGATTTTCCAGTTAAACAACCTCTGTGGTAACCACAATCATAACATGTAAAGTACAGCTAACTTTTTTCTAAGTGGCTTCTTCCAAGGTGCCTATTAATGACCCTCAGAGGACACATGATAAAAAGAAAACAGGGGTTTTTATATGGTGATCAATTCATGACTTAAGCTCCCTTCCCTCAATTACAGGTAACACAGCCTCCACTCAGCTAACCAATCCCAAACAAGGCCTTCTAAGCATGGCTTTCCCTTCTGACTTTCATAACGATAAACACTCATGTCGAGGGGCAAAGGCTTTTGAAAAATCTGATAAAGATATAGACCTGGATGAAGACACTGTATCCATCAAATGGGTGACTTTCCAAAGGCACTTGGATGCTTTTTGTCATGTTCATGTTTCTTTTTTCAAAGCATTTAACTAAAAGTGGTGGCAGCAATACTAAGCAGCTAGACCCAAACACACCTCACAGAATTGTTTTGCATAGGACTGATAGCACCTCCAAAACCTGTACCCACATATATATCCATTGAGTCCATCACCCCCAGCGTTGCACCCACAATGTTCTCCAATAAACTCACTATCATTAGGGATTGCCTCTTCTACATAGAAAGTTACAATGAGATCTAACTACAAATTTACAAGATCAGGGGTTACAGAAATATGATAAATGATGCCACTGGGATGCAATCAACAAAACTAGGAAACTGTAGGATAAATGGCCTACTTTCTTCAACGAATCAACAACAAAGGGGAAAAGGAGGAAAGGGGAACTGTCATACATTAAAATAGACTTTAGAGTCCATCCTGGCAACCAAATGCAGTGTGTGGATTCATTTGGACCCTGATTTGAGCAAACTAACTATGGAAAGTCAAGGCTATTTGAACACTGGTTGAATATTTGGTGATATTAAGGAATTCATGTTAATATTTAGACATATTAAAGATATTATATGTATGCTTTTTAAAGTTGTACTATTATCTCTTAAAAATACATACTGCAGTATATATGGATGAAATAATGGGATATCTGGTATTTGCTTTAAAACATTCCAGGCAGGGGTGAGGGATGTAGAGTGAGGAAGTCAGAACTTGAAATCAAATTGACTATATGTTGATAGTTGTTGGATGATAAGTACATAGGGGTTTATTATATTAGCCTCTCTACCTTGTATATGTTTAAAGATTTCCATAATTAAAAGTATTTCCAAATTTCTGAATTGGAAACACAGGAGTCTTTTCTGACTCTCCTCCACCTTCCTTCCTTCTTAGACCCCTTCCCTACCTTATTCGGTCACTAGGGCTGATCTCTTCTACACACCACAAACTCTGTCCTCTCCACTCAGCAGCAGCCACCTTAATTAAACCCTCATATCTTCTTTCCTGCATTATTGCAACAGCCCCCCTAACAGTCTCAACGCTCCTAAGCCACCATCCTCTCTCCCATCAGAGTAATCTTTCTAAAATTCAAATCTGCTCAAGTTACTCCCCTGCTTACCACCCTCCAAAGACTCATCCTCATCCACCATGAAGTGTCCAATCATGATCCATAAGCCCCATTATGATCCATTCCCCTGCCTACCATCCCATCCTCATCTTCCTGTCTTACCTTCAAATGCAGCAGATTCCGGTGATACCAAGCTACTGATTGTTCACTTGCCAAGAATTTATTGGGCTCCTATTATAAGAGAAATACTGTGCTAAGCATAGGAAACACAATGGCAACCAGTAGAGCAGTCCCTATATCATGGAGCTTGCATTCTTGTAGGGGAGACAGGCAATGCATAAATCAACAATGGATGGTGATGAATGGTAGATGCATGCATTTGTGCTCCCCTGAGTTTGCTATGCTCTTAATCTTCTGTGGTTTTGCTTAGGCAGTTGCTTTCACTTGGAATGCCCTTCCACAATCAGCTCCCTTCCATCTGCTGAATGCCTGCTCCTCTAGTCACCCTTTAAGATTTAACCCATCCGTTGGTTTCTTAGGGAAACCTTCCCCACCACCTCCAGACTTAGTTTGTCCTCATTATGTCACAAACATCTTGCACTCTGCCTAGACCAAAGTAGGTATTTAATAAATGCTTATTGAAAAAACAAATGAGTGAATGGTCTGATGGATGGATTTCTGCCTTCCTTAAAGTGGCTTTCTGAAGCTTTTAAGTCATGAGTGTTACGAGCAGAGATTATATCTGCGTATTATTCTATATCCTGAAGCATTTGGGATTACGATGTATATTTTGTTAACCAAAGCCATTGAAAATAGATATTTGCTTAAACTTAAAATGTCTCTAAGTGTTTCCAGTGAATTTGTGTTATGGCAAAAAAAGGTTCTACAGTGAAATATTTTGAGCTCAGCAAAATTCATACTGAGTTATTCTTATTTTTTAATTTCAGGAGTTCTTAGAGTCTGTAATATACTAATTTATGTGACCCTCTAGGATGAGACTTTATTATATGATTTTCCAAAACATGTTTGGCCAACAGATCCTTTTGTTCTCAGCACATCTCAGCAGACTAATGTCCTGAAAAGCGCCTTTTGGAAAACATTGGCCTACCTGATGCTCTAAGAGTTTTCCTTCATTGATTCATTTGACTTACTTTGAAATAAGGTAATAAGCAGGACCTTGCCACAGTAACTGTGCAACAGAGAGATGTGCTGAGGCTTTCTGTTCCCTCACCTCCTCATCTGTTAAACTATGGTAATAATGCATGTCGTGATTGAATCAGCAGAATTAAAAGGACTTTATGAGATTGGGGCATGGAGTTTTATTTTCCAGCCTTCTCCCTTTCTGTCTTGATTTCTCAATCTATACAGTAAAGGTAGCAATGCTTCAGTAATTGAGAAAATGGCATATCAATCAATGCTTGTTAAAACAAATGTACAAAAATGAAAACCTCTAAGGACAAAAATCAGTAGCTGGTAAGGCTGCTTCTGGATATGTGAGAAATGAAATAAGAGTAGACAATATGCCATTTGGAAGAAGAGAGTTTCTTTTAATACAATGGTTTATATTGTTTTGTAAAACACAAGGAATGCAATAAAACACAAGTGAATGTATGATTTTACACATATATATGAATACCATCTTACACTATCACGTGAGAAGATAAAATTGACAAGCGTTTTCTTTTCAGTATACATCTTTGTAGCTTAAATGATGACTAATCTTATAGATTAAATCTGATCACTGGATTATTGATATTAATTCTTTCATTGGGTTGACAGCTGTAGGATGGAAATGTCATAGGAAACGCACTGAAATCAACTGAGCCCAATTAAACAGGCAGGACCTGAGCCAACACATACAAAATACATCAATCACAGCTCATAATTTTATTTTTAAGTCAGAATGTTTTATAACCTGAGAAAGTAAGTTTAAAGCACTATATTAATAACAATGTTATTTTACATGATGATTTACGTAAAGATTTCAGCTGTATTCCATTGTTTTAAACCTAATCGGTCAACAGTGAAAATTTTCTTAAACTCTTTTCGAGCACAATTTGACCAGGAAATGTTTGGAGATAGAGGAGGCTTTATCTTCTTCAATATTTTAAGCCCTGCTTTTAGTTAAAGCTTTTAGTTAAACAAGAACAAGTCTAATCTGGCAATTTGCAAATAGGCTCATTTCTGCACCCATTCATTAATGTGCTGATTAGAATCATAATGTAGAGTTGGGGGCATCTTAAAGTCAACTCATTTATGGAAATGCTCATAAATTTAGCAAATCATTGTTCAAATAGAAACATTCCACGATGATAGAATGTAGAAAAAGAGCAGATTTAAAGCAATCAAGCATGGAGGAGCATACAAGCTTCTTGCTACAAAGTTATCTGGTCTGAAGTGAAAGATACCCAGTATCAGTCAGTGGTAGAACTGACAGATCGCAGCAAGACTAGTCACTATCTAGGTACAGAAAGAAGTGGGAAAGAGGGAAATTGAGGGAGTATAGAGAGAAGAAGGAAATCAAAACTACATTTGAAAGAGAATTGACCATGAGTTAATCACCACTGGAACTAGGTGATTGGTAAATACATAGGGGTTCACTACTTTTATATTTGTTTGAAACCTCTTGTGATAAAAATGAAAAAAAAAATTAACCTTTGGCTTCTAGCAAGAGATATAATTTTTTTTTCTTTGAGATGGAGTTTCACTCTTGTTATGTTGGCTGGAGTACAATGGTGCCATCTCAGCTCACTGCAACCTCCGCCTCCCAGGTTTAAATGATTCTCCTGGCTCAGCCTCCTGAGTAGCTAAGATTACAGTCACCCACAACCATGCCCAGCTAATTTTTGTATTTTTAGTAGAGACAGGGTTTTACCATGTTGGCCATGCTGGTCTCAAACTCCTGATCTCAGGTGATCCACCCACCTCAGCCTCCCAAAGTGCTGGGATTACAGGTGTGAGTCACCACACCCGGCCTAATAATTTTAAATGAATAAAAAAACTAAAAGCAAATCAAAAACTATGAAAGGAATATATTAACTGTAAGGAGGAAAGAAGGGAAGAAAACTTTCTAGGGAAAGGAATAAAGATTGTATAAGGAATATTTAGAAGAAAACCAGGATTAACAATGATTGCAGGTGTATTTTGATAGATAACACATTTTTTTCAACTTCAAGAAAAAAGCAAACAATTATTGAAGAACGCCATATATCTGAAGGAGTAATAAGAAAAATTTGTGGGCAGAAAATTTGTCATATTGTCAGGACAAAAATAACAAAGTATTTAAATCGAAATTATCATGAGAAGGTGGGTGACAAAAAAAGAGTGGGAGTATGAACTCCCACATACAAAAGGGGAATGTGTGAAGGTAAAAGAGGCACCTCAGAAAGTTCCAAGAATTTATTTTCTCACCAGGACAGTATGCATTCCACCTACGATGGCCACCTTTCCCATTCTGCACCCTGTACTTCTAATACATCCCTCAGCATGCTTCTAACTGGTGCTAGGACAGTGCAGGGAAAAGGTGACATACAGTTCCAGGTTCTACCTCAACAGTCACAGGGAACAGATGACCAGGTGTGCAGCTATGGTTCTTTAAGCCTTAAACTCTTTTGCCATTGATTTTTTTTCCCTGAGTTTTTAGCGCCGTATTCCTTGTTACTGGCATCTAGTAGATTCTCAGTAAATATTTACTGAATAAAGAAAAGAGCCGGGAAAGATGGCTCACGCCTGTACTCCCAGCACTTTGGAAGGCCATGGTTGGTAGATCACTTGAGGTCAGGAGTTCAAGACTAGCCTGGCCAACAATAGTGAAATCCTGTCTCTACTAAAAATACAGTAATTAGCCAGGAGTGGTGGCGGGCACTGCGCTACAGCCTGGGCAACAGAGTGAGACTCTTTCTCGAAAAGGAGAGGAGAGGAGAGGAGAGGAGAGGAGAGGAGAGGAGAAGAGAGGTGAGGGGAGGAGAGGAGAGAGGAGGGAAAGGGAGAGGAAGGGAGAGGAGGGGAAGGGAGAGGAGGGGAGAGGAGGGGAAGGGAGAGGAGGGGAGAGGAGGGGATAGGAGGGGAGAGGAGGGGAGAGGAGGGGAAAGGAGAGGAGGGGAGAGGAGGGGAAGGGAGAGGAGGGGAGAGGAGGGGAAGGGAGAGGAGGGGAAGGGAGAGGAGGGGAAGGGAGAGGAGGGGAAGGGAGAGGAGGGGAGGGGAGGGGAAGGAAGGGGAGAGGTGGGGAGAGGAGGGCAGTGGAGGAGAAGAGGAGAGGAGAGAAGAGAGAAAAGGAAAAGGAAAAGTAAAGAATGAGTGAGTGGATAAGAATGGATGAGTGAACCACAGAGCTTCCACTGCACAACACTATCTCCACTAGACACCTGGGCCATATGAGCTGCATTGATTTCAGTTCCATCTCACCTTGGAATAAGCAAATCAGGAGAACTGGTGGTTTCAGAGTCACTCTCAATTCCTCCCTGCCCCTCACCCTCCCTATAAATGCAATGACCTAGATACATCAGTAATTTTATTTATTAGGTTTTGGAGACCCAAACCTTTCTGTGGTCTGCTAATAGTAAAAATCAGCTTGGAACATAGACAGCAAATAGCAGGGAAACAATGCCAACAGTGCCCAGCTCCTGTTGATGCCTCCCCTCCATGTCTCACAAGATGTATAGGAGTGGTCGCAGAGGAGTTCCACATCCATTGTCTAGTTGGGCCCTCTGTCATCCCTCACCTAAACTGTGTCAATAGCTTCCTAACTGGCTTGCTCCAATATGATCCTCCTCAACTGCAGGTCCCATCATGACATTTAAAATATCCACTGGCTCCCCATAACTCAGAGGATAAAATCAATGCTCCTTAGCACAGCAGAGGCTTCCCATTGCCTAAGCCTGGCTTCATTTCCCAGGGCTTCCTCCACCCACCCACCAGCTCCCTCTGCTTCTGACAGGGAGCTCCCTTTGAGGGGGATTATGCCTGGTCTTGCACAGGCTTTTGTCTACCAGATATGCTTTTTTCTCTCTTTTTCTCCAACTATAGCACTGCAGATCCCTCCAAGCCTATTTCAAATGTCACCTCTGAAACACTTTTCAATCATTTTGTCTTCTCTGTTCCTATTGGCATTTAGGTCATAGGTTTTTCTAGCACTTATCAGATCAGCCTAGAATTATTAGTTGGCTTGTCTGCCTTTTCCACTAAACAATGAACTCCTAGGTGAAAAGTATTGATTCTTATTCAGGTCAGAATCTCCAGTTCCCATCAAGCCTGGCACACAGTAGGTACCCAATAAATGTTTGTCATATTAACATAGTTTACATTTGGGAATGAAGATAAAACAGAAAGGGAAGTGACCCAAGATACAATCAAGAGAATGTTGCAAAAAATCCACAAATTTCTTGAAAACAGAGTAAAGAAAGATATATGAACTCAACACATAAGGATCCTAAAGTAGCAAATGGCTGGAATGTAGCAAGTTTGGGGGCCAAATGTTATCCCACTGCTTGTTAGGAAAGCTGACCATCATTATTTCAGTTTTCCCACCATGTTATATAATTCCACCCCAAAACGATTTGTTCCTCATCTGGAAAAGAAAAAAGTTGGTGCAAGCAGAAGATCATGCCATGGATTTGAGATCCGAGTTGGAAAGGACAAAAGAGGGAAGAAAGGAAAGAGGGAAGAAAAGGAACACCTAAAAAGATAAATGCAATGACCTAGTTACATCAGTAATTTTATTTACCAAGTTTTGAGGACCCAGCACTTTTCATGACCTGCTAATAATAATCATCAGCCCAGAACAGAGACAACAACTGGGAGTGAAGTGATCTCTCCCCTCTTCTTGTTCCTTCTTTGCCAAAATGCCCTTGATTTTCCCCGATTAATTGCACTCCAGTTCTTCTAACATAGAGAATGCCTTCTAAATTACCCTCTGGTGTGAGAGATAATGTAATGTGTGAGATGAATATTTAGCTCCTCAAAGCTCCCCAAATACTTCTTTCAAAAATGATCCACTATTTTCTTAGCTTGAATAGTCTTTTCATACCAACCTCAGTGACTACCAAAACAGTTTAATGTTATTAGAATATCATCAAGTTTCATTATGTTTAATAAGAGATGGTGACAAGAGATAATTTTAAATACATTTTCCCCAAAATTAAAATCACAAGTTGTAAAATTAATCTTAGAAGTGTCAGTTTAATGTGATGTAATTTCAGTCTCCTTAAACTTATTCTCGTTAACTGCTCTAGTATGGATCTCTAGTAAGAAAATTATAAATATGGTAAAGAAGCTAAAATCTCCAATCTCTGTCTTCATTCTTGATAATGAAAACTGTTGTTTGTTTCATCAATTTATTTGCCACTTTAAATGGATTATCTAAAGGAAATTGATTGACATGGTCAAATAACTCATTGTCTATTCATCATTCAGTGTATATTCATTGAGCATTTATACGTAGAGCATTACTGGCGGGTCCAGGGTGAACTAACCAGAAAAATAAAAGACATTGCATGCCCACTTTCCCCATTGTCTGTAACTAAATCACTTAGAGAACAACCTAGAATAGTACGAAATTAAATGTGGTTTCTATTTACTTATTCATACCCTGTTTCATGTCAAAAAGGGGTTTTGAGGTTTCTTTAAAAAAAATACATGAAATATAACAGAACAAAACAGAATAAACCAGGAGGAAAGGAAGCAAATAGGTGAAGATTTAGTTGAAAGAGTTGGGCTGTAAATGAAGCAAGGAGCTCCATAACAGCCAAAGCAGAGAACAAATGCACACGCAGACACACACAGACAGGCATGCACACACACAGAGACACACACAGAGAGGCATGCACACACACAGAAACATACACACAGACACAGAGAGGCATGCAGACATACAGACACACACAGAGAGGCATGCACACACACAGAGAGAGACACACACAGAAAGACATGCACACACACACAGAAATACACACAGAGACACAGGCAGACATACACAGGCATGCACACGCACAGAAACACACACAGAGACACCCGCAGACACACACACAGACACACACATGCAGACACACACAGAGAGGCATGCACACACACACAGAAACACACACAGAGACACACGCAGACACACAGATACACACATGCAGACACACACACAGAGACATGCACACACACAGAGATACATGCAGACACACACACAGAGACATGCACACACACAGAGATACATGCAGACACACACAGAGACACAGGCAGACACACACACAGACCCGGACACAGACACACGCATGCAGACATACTCACAGAGACACACATAGACACAAACAGAAACTCACACACACAAACACACAGAGACACACATAAACATACACAGACACACAGAGACAAACGCAGACACACACACAGAGACATGCACACACAGAGATACATGCAGACACACACAGAGACACAGGCAGACATACACACAGGCCCACAGACACACACAGGCAGACATACTCACAGAGACACACACAGACACACACAAACAGAAACTCACACACACAATCACACAGAGACACACATGCAGACACACATAAACATACACAGACACATAGAGAGACACACGCAGACACACACACACAGAGACATGCACACACAGAGATACATGCAGATACACACAGAGACACAGGCAGACACACACACAGACCCGGACACAGACACACACATGCAGACATACTCACAGAGACACACACAGACACATACAAACAGAAACTCACACACACAATCACACAGAGACACACATGCAGACACACATAAACATACACAGACACACAGAGAGACACATGCAGACACACACACAAAGACATGCACACACACAAAGAAACACAGAGACACAGACAGATGCACACACAGAGACACACATGTAGACACACACACATAAACATACACAGACACACACATGCAGACACACACACAGAGACATGCACACACACAGAGAGACACATGCAGACATACACACAGAGATACAGGCAGACACACACACAGAGATACAGGCAGACACACACAGACCAGGACACAGACACACACATGCAGACATACTCACAGAGATACACACAGACACACACACAGAAACTCAGGCACACACACAGAGACACACGTGCAGACACACATAAACATACACAGACACAGACAGAGACACACACACAGAGACATGCACACACATATACACACACAGAGACACATACACATGCATACACATGTAGACATCTATACACACAGATACACAGACACACACATACACATCCAGAAACACACACACAGACGCAACCCAGATTCAGACACATACACACACAGGGACACATGCACACACACACAGACACACACATGCACAGACACACACACACATCAGTTGCTTAGAAGAAGCCAGGCTTTTCCAGAAACGAAACTCAAGTGAGGCTTTCCTGGAACATATAAAGAAATGCTGTAATGCTTCCTTGATAACATCATCCCTACAGCTACTGAGTAGTGAGTTCCATGTAACTTTGTGGATGGCAGAGCAGCAAAGTGGGCTGAGCATGCTGCTTTCTAATCCTCACTTCTGGGGTCTCTGGGGAGTCCAATCAGAGCCATAGCCCACATGATAAGATCTATGGTAGTTGCATGTACGAGGCATCATGAAAGCACAAAAAAAAGAAGTGACCCTTGAGCAACATTCTAAAGGGGGAAGAGGAGTCAAAAGGAAGCAAAATAGTGGGGCATAGGTCAAATCCAGCCCTCAACTTTTTCTTGTGGATCTTTTCAAAATTTAAACTAGTTACTAACATTTAATAATCCAGATTGCCCATTTTTCAAAAGCATATTGGGAGATTTGCTAACACAGAGCCCATATTCCTCCATGGCAAAAACTGGTTGAGGCTGACCAGCAGCCGCTATTTCAGAGACAGTGAGCACACACCAGTTTGCCTCAGGCCCACCTGGTCCACTGCAGAAATGGCATATGCAAAGGTATGAAACAGCGCGGCACATTAGGAAGACTGGAGTGAAGAGTACATATAGAAGTGATGAGGAGGAGGCCAGAGTAACCAGGAGGAGCCAGGCCCTATTCCAGGTAGCATTTACAGGCAGAATAAAAGTTGCCATACCTGTTCTTTAGCTCATGTGGTCCATTGACTCCACTTGCCAGAAGAAGATCTCAGGGTCTTGTTGTTGTTGTGGTTGCAGATCTTTAATGGAGAGGCTAGGCTAGGTATTTAAGTTACCCCTCTGCAAGAGGCTTCCTATGAACATTACCCTTCGAAAACTCACATCTCCCTCTCTTTCCTGCAACAGGATGAGTTCCACACTTAAATGTAGCAGTCATAAATAAACCTCAGGAATCAGTGTCCCCTGGACATTTCTTCTGTGTCTGGAAACCCATACTATGGCACATCTTCCCCACTCCTTTCTGCAGATTCAACACTCAATGCAAAGATAGCCTCTTTCATGAAGCCATCTGTTTTTCATCCACCTGGGGGTAACCTCTCTCACTCCTTCAAATCCGTTGAGGCCCTCAGAACTTGGTATCTTGTATCAGAGTTGTTTGTGTATACGTTTGTTTCCTTATTTGATTGTTGGGATTTGAGAAGAGGAGTACTATAAGTACTTCCAGAATAAGAAAGAGTATCTTCCATTTGGTATTAGTCTGTGTCCTTCACACTCTTATCACCTCTCCAGTCATTCAGTCCATAATCCACAATCAACCACCTACCGTGTTCCAGGCACTGTTCTAGGCATGGAACAACCACACTCCAAAAGACAGAAAACCATCTTGGTGTCAAAGAATTTACATTCTAGAAGATAGATATGTTTACTTGTAAGCAAATAGATATAATAGGGCAATAAAACACAGTGAAATCAAAGACAATGGCTAGGGTAGTAATGCCCACTTGGAGACTGGTGATTAGAAATGGCCTCTATGAAAAAATGGCATTTGAGCTGAGACCCAGATAAATTATGAGGAAGAAACCATCCTTGGGAACATCTGAGGGCAAAGTGTTCCAGACAGAAGGAACAGCAAAGGCACAGGCCCTGAAGCAGGAACAAGCCTGGCATGTTTGCAGAATAAATAAGAGGCCAGAGTGGCTGGAGAGTAGTGACTGAGGGACAGAACAAAGGAAAATGTGGCCAGAGAGGTGAGCACTCTAATGCCCTGTGGACTAACCAGACCAGGGGTCAGCAAACTATGACCCATGAACCAAATCCAACCTGCTGTTAGGTTTTGTATGGCCTGTGTGTTAAGATTTTTACATATTTAATTGGTTGGAAAAAATCAAAATAAAAATGATATTTTATGGCACATGAAAATTACGTAAAGTTCAAACTTCAGCATCCATAAATAAAGATTTATTGGAATGCAGTCACACCCATCCATTTATGGCCTATGGCTGCTCTTGAGTGTCAACAGCAGTTGAATAAGTTGCAGCAGAGGCCTTACGGCCCACAAAGCCTATGATATTTACTATCTGGCCCTTATAGAAAAATTTGCCAACCCTTGAAGTAGACTATAAGCTTCCTAAGGTCCATTCATTTATTCAACAAATACTCCTAGAGGGCTTTCTGTGTCAGTTATTATGTTGGTTCCTGGGGATACATGGTGGATTAAGTCATACAATGGGAGATTCTGAATTCCAATAAAAGTATGTCCAATGCTGGGTGAGAAGGAAGGCAGTTTTCTTTGAGTTCAAGGATTTACAAAACTCTGTGACCCATGTCTTCCTCCGGCTGAACAGAGGCATCTGGCCCCATTTTCATCAACCCTAAAAGAAGAGAGAAGCTGTGTCCTGAAAAGTGACCAGCTCGTTATAGAAATGAAGCCAATCAGCAAAATCCAAGGGCTGTGGGATATGTTGAGTCAAACTTTTTTGTTTCAGAGCAAATATGAAAAAAGAAGATGAAGTCCTCAGAAACGGAATATTATTTAGCAAGCGATGGAAAGTGTTCTCGCTGCACTAATGAGTCATTAAGTGAGGCGTTTGGGAACTGGGGAGGCGCTATAATTAGGTTATCTGTATTTTTAACACAAGAAAAATAATCCAAGGCGGCATTAACCAATGCAGCTGTATTGGAAGGGGGACAGCTCTCTGCAAGTCTCCAAACAGAGGGGAATCATTTTTAACCACTCAGAGCTCAGCTGAGCAGTTAATTTAACAAAATGCATAAGAACAAACCCTCAGCCATCAGTACCCATCCTTAACTGTCTCCTCACTTTACTGCAACTAGAAAGCAACGCCCCATTCCAAAACACCAGGCCTGTACAGATATCAGTTTAGATGGAGTGGAAACAGCAAATCTGATCATAACAAAAGGGGAACAGAAATTAAGTGAGTGACGGGTTAGGGATTTCACATAATTAAATTGTCAAAGGCCACAAAAAGATTGCGAAAATCAGGGGATATCACCATCATGGGGGAAAGGAGATGGGATTTAGTTACAAATACATTTCTGAGGAAGATGAAGAAAAAATAGATGTCCAGATTGCTCATTTTTGGCCTAATGAATAAATCATCGTGCCCCCACCCTCCACCCCCAATGCACCTGCTGCTTTGAAAAGTCCTTTCCACACCAACCCAACAGTAAATGCCTCACGATGGCTCCAACAAGGCTGGAGTCCCGCCAATGAAAATTACCACTCTTCAACCAAGATAAACATCATATTACTTCATTACCCTTTTAAAACATATGCAAATTAAATCCATTATTCTTTTTTCACCCAGAAATGAAGTTCGTTTGGCTGGAATTCAGCGATTCCTTTTGTTGCGGTTGACCATGAATGAATGAACTTCATGTAGATGGTGCCCACTCCCCATCTTTGAATCAAACATTAATACCATTTGACAGTAATAAATAACACTTATCACAATAGGGATGGAATAATGATTTTCCCACTCAGCTGGCTCATCAGGGCCTATCAGCTGACAACTGCATAAATGAGATTAGCATAACAGCTGCCTATGACAAATGTATCTAAATCCTTCTAATGCCAACTAGTGCTTTGATCTTCCTATCAAGTTGATGCCAAAACCCAAATCCATTTCTGCAAAATACATCTTGTTTATTATAGATACATATGTATGTCCCAGCACAGTCTGCAATCCCAAGACATCCTTAATTAAAAGAACTTGGAATATTGATTGAAAATTGTCACCTCTGGCTTTGTACTCCCTCCCATGACTTAGCTGAATATTTTAAGAAATTTATTTTCAAAATGGAGCTGAGGCTGTGCCTTCCCATACTTCCTCTTGAGTCACTCACCGGAATGTAATGAGGTCCCATTCTGATGTTTTCAAATGAAAATAATTACCATGGTTTCATTTTGATTATTGCCTTTCAGAGGTATCAGGTTCATAAAAATTTAAATCAACTCCAAGTAACATAAGCCACAGTCCTTTACTTCCTATTATACAATCACAATGAAACACAGACTTGTTCTTTGTTTTGGAATGCAAATGGAGTTTGAGATCAAACCTGAACTATAATGTCTTCATTTGTCTCCTCAACAATCCACAGTGCTGATGAAGGTAATATGAGGAACAGTAAATACACATTTTTGGTGTCCAGATCATTGCAAGTCTCAATTTGTTTCTCCTGCTGAACTTGAAGTAGAAGCAAGACAGAAAATTCAATGTCCAGGGAATAACACATAGGGAATGTGAGAGAGATTCGGATGTAAAGAATTAGAGAGCCCCTTAAGAAAAAAGAGGCAGTTCAGTTTAGAAAGCAAAGCTAACACATGAATGGAATGTGCATCTAGGTATTCCCATGGTACACACTAAAGGCAAAGGGTAGTAGCAGATGATTTACTTCCTTCTCTTCTGTGTGAAGCGTGTTAATCACATCCATATCATAACACTCCCCTAAACAATTAAATTAGCCAGTCAGTCAGCAGTCATTCACTTATACAATAAATATTTGTCAGGAGCCTGCCATGTACTATTCTAGGTGCTAGGATATCAAATAAAAAAAAAAAAACAGAAAGATAAGGTCCTTGTCCTCAGGGGACTTGCATTCTAGGGGGCTAATTCCAGAGCTATTGAAAAATAACTGTAGCAGTGAAGAGAGAGAAGACACGTTTCGGATCACATACCAGAGAAGACTTGAATAGATTCTAACATTTGCACAAATATGGGCTGTCACCAGTAAGGACAGACACAAAAGCTTTAGGCAAATGCAGTTGATTAAGACTTCATTTTAGGTCTGACTTTTAAGCAATTTTTAGGCCGAGGTTGAAACTCCTCTGCAACTAATTAAGCAACCCAATATATGAGCTCAAATTGAAACAGCAGGGAATACTCATTAATTTATTTAACAAATGTGTATTGATCAGCCACTATGTGCTAAGGATACAAATGTGTATAGGAGGGAGACACACTCTCTGTTCTATATGGCATCCCATCCTGAAGGTGGAATTATGATGAAATCACAATGTCACAAAAGTAGCATCTACTCTGCTGGGGGAAATCAGGGAAGACCTCCATGAAGACGTGGCCTTTAAACTGAGAACTAAGGATGCGGCCTAGCCAAATACAGAGAGGAGAATCAGTGTGATATTGGATAACAACAAAAGGCAGGTAGATCAGAGCAAAAGTTTCACCAAGATCCAATTAAGGGGACTTTGGCTTTTAATACCAGATACCACTGTAGTTGTCATAAAGTTATTTGTAGATGGCTGCACATGTGTTTCTTTGGGTTAATTCTTAGTAAACCATCTATGTTTCATTGTATGAGTCCATCCATGAGTGAAAGATTCCCCAAGTATTATGAAGGCAAGGCTTCATCTCCTGCCAAGAGAAGGTAGATTTAAAAATAATAATAATAATAACACATGTAGAAGAAAGGTGTTGAAATAAAATCTAGTCCGTGTTAGTTTTGCCACACAAAAGCTACACTTTCAACAAATATTTGTTAGTTGATTTTTATATCACTGGTTCCACTGAAAAGGACTGAAGTTCTATAAGTACTATATTCATTGTTGTTAGAATAAACTTATGTATCACACAAGCAAATTCTGCTATTTTTCAAATATATGTAGATGGTGCTATGAACTAACAAAAAAGAACTTATTTAATTTAATTTATTTATTTATTTATTTTTTGAGACAGAGTCTTGCTCTGTTGCCGAGGCTGGAGTGCAGCAGTGCGATCATGGCTCACTGCAACCACTGCCTCCTGGGCTCAAGCAATTCTCATGCCTCAGCCTCCCGAGTAGCTGGGACTACAGATGCCTGTCACCACACCTGGCTAATTTTTGTATTTTTAGTAGAGATGGGGTTTCACATGTTGGCCAGGCTGGTCTTGAACTCTTAACTTCAAGTGATCTGTCTGCCTTGGCCTCTCAAAGTGCTGGGATTACAGGCATGAGCCAATATGCCCAGCCAAATACTTTTTTTTTTTTTTTGAGACGGAGTTTCACCCTTGTTGCCCAGGCTGGAGTGCAGTGGCACGATTTTGGCTCACTGCAACCTCCACCTCCTGGGTTCAAGCAATTCTCCTGCCTCAGCCTCCTGAGTAACCGGGATTACAGGTGCCCGCCACCACACCCAGCTAATTTTTTTGTATTTTTAGTAGAGATAGGGTTTCATCATGTTGGCCAGGCTGGTCGCAAACTCCTGACCTCAGGTGATCCACCCACCTCAGCCTCCCAAAGTGCAGGGATTACAGGCATGAGTCACTGCACCTGGCCTGAAGACATTTGTTTTAAAGCACCACTGAATTTGTCATAGCTCTATCATTGTGTGTTATGTCAGCCCTGAGACCCAAAGGTACTAATAGCATAAAATTGTTGGCTGGGCCTGGTGGCTCTCACCTGTAATCCCAGCACTTTGGGAGGCCAAGGTAGGCAGATCCCCTGAGGTCAGGAGTTTGTGAGCAGCCTGGTCAACATGGAGAAACCCTGTCTCTACTGAAAATACATAATTAGCCAGGGATGGTGGCACATGCCTGTAGTCCCAGCTACTGGGGAGGCTGAGGCAGGAGAATCACTTGAAACTGGTAGGCGGAAGTTGCAGTGAGCCAAGACTGTGCCATCACAGTCCAGCCTGGGCAACTCCTTCTCAAAAGAAAAACAAAAACAAAATTGTTAAATGTAGAAGTCTTCATATTGGAAAAATTAGAAACTTCTGGTCTATGTGATGAAAATGCCACATGGAAAAATGATGGATTTTGTGTTATTAGTCTTAACTAGCTAATGATTCAGAATAACCAAGCAGCTGATTCACTTCACTTCATAGAATTTATCCTTAATATGACCCCAGGGGCCTCTATTTGATTCATATCAACATGCCATATATCCAAACTGGAAAACAAAATAATGGAATCAATAAATTCAGTGTTATTAAGAAGCTCATATGTTTTCATTTCATCATTGACTGAAAACAAGTCTGACCATGTTTTGGGTTTGCTCGTTTGCATTCTGAGCACTTGCTATATGCCCGGCACTTTGACATTAGATAATATCAACAAAACTTTGCTGATGCTATGGAAGTATCTTTGATGATGTTATGGGGGATGTAGTACTATTAAAAACATGTTTCCTGACTTCAAGGAAATTACAATGCAATTGAGAAGCAAAGATTTATGACAAAGTTCCAATACAAAACAGAAAGCGCCAAATGCCATAAGAAATACGGGCGCTCAGAAAAGGAAAATTGTCCCAAATACTGATATCACTAAAGGCTGCGGAAGGAGAAAACGTAGAAAGTGAGTCTGGGAGGGTGGACTGCACCAGGCATCTGGACCACAAAGTGGTCAGATTGGCTAAAATTTCAGGTGGCAAGAGGAGAAATGAGGAACCAAATTTTGAGATCACTTGATGGAGGGTCTTAACTGACACAGTGGGACTCAGTAGGGTTTAAGTAGCCATTATATACTTAAAAAGGAAAAAAAAAAAAAACTACAGAGTAAGCCTTTATTTTCTTTACAACACAAGGAGCCTGGAGGGGGGCAGCCTGGGGCTGGTACAGCTGTTCCACAATGTTGTCAGTTTCCTTGTGTCTTTCTATGCCATCATTCTTTTTTTTCTTCAATTGTGGTTTAAAAAACAACAACACATATCATAAAGTGTATCTTCTTAACCATTTCTAAGGGGAAAGTTCAATAGTGTTATATTCGCTTGTTATGCAACAAGTTAACAAGTGAACTTTTCATCTTGCAAAGCCAAAACTGGATTCCCATTAAACTCTCCATTTCTCCCTCTGCCATTCTGTTTTCTGTTTTGATGAATTCAACTGCTTTAAATATCTTATATAAGTGGAATAATACAGTATTTGTCTTTTTGTGGTGCCTTATTTCACTTGACATAATGTCCTCAGGGTTCTTCAATGTTGTAGCATACGACAGGATTTCCTTTCTTTGGAAAACTGAATAATATTCTCCTGTGTGTATAAACTCATCTTGTTTACCTGTTCATTGGTAGAGGGACATGTGACTTGCTTCTGCCTCCTGGCTCTGATCATGCTGCTGACTAAAGTTGCTGTGAACATGGGTGTGCCACCATTCAATTTTTAAGTGGGAGAAAATAAGACACACAGACAAACAGCCATCAAGATTTAATTATATTGGCCTCATTCAACTTCTTATTGCCTACTAAGTAATAAGAGAAAAGAACTTATTAAAAGGTACAAGTGGCTTTCACACAGACTTTGGCTTTAAAGCCCACCGGGAATAGCCTGTCCAACCAACTCTCCCTTCATCCTCCTACACACAGGCGTCAGAGCTTTTTTGATAGTAGAGTATTACTTGCCTACTGAACTCCAAAAATATTGGCAGTGTCCACTATTTAATTTTGAAATAGAAGGAAACATGAGTTTTAACTAGGATCCCTAATTGCAGACACTTGAAATGTCTGACAAACATAAATGTTGAATTAATATGAAAGTTCCTACTTCTCAGAAAAGGAAACCTCTGTGATAAACTTCAAAGAAAAAAAAATTTTAATTATCATCCTATGGTTGGATGGGGTTTAATAAAAATCAATTCAAAATGAAGCATCCAATATCTACACAATTCTTTCCATTGCTTCCTTTAGGACTTAGTTCAAACAGCACCTTCTCAACACCATTCCTGGACCAAGCCCTTTAAAATAATACCTCCTCCAACTCCCGGCTCTCTCTTTTTCCCTTTCCGGATTTATTGTTCTTCATAGTTCTTATCACCTTCTAATCTCCTTATTTATATTTACTTTTTTATTTTCCCCTGTCTTCCCACTCTAGAATGTTCCATGAGGTCAGGGATTGTGTCTGCTTTGTTCTCTCAGAGATTCTTTGTTCTCTTCTGTATCCCCGGTACCCATCACATAGTCAGCACTCAGTATTATTTGTCAAATTGGTGAATAAATAAATTAATGAGTTATAATCTGAAAGTAACTGTAGTAAATGCCTTTTGATATTGACAACAACCCCTTTTGTCAGAAAACTGGCCCTGACCTCAGGCTTGAGCCCTGACAGCCATTTTTGGAGTATTCAGTCTCCGATGACCACCCAAAAGAAGGCGCGACCCTAACCGAACTAGAAGATTGCCTCTCCCAGAAATTAAAATTGGAACTGAGAGATGCTAATCTGGGGCTATGTGTGTGGCTGCAAGCGAGGTGCTTCGAAGCAGGGGCACTAGGGTACCCAAAGAAAGCTGATCTTCTGCAAGAGTTGAGGAGGTTGCACAGAGACAGGCAGGGATGCGAGCAAAACCAAGTAACCCCAAAGGGACGGAAGGAACTAGCGCCTTGCTTCTAGGTGGTTTCCTTGATTTCACTCCTAGCTTCTTGTAGATGCTGGCACATATCCCTGTATACTTACAATAAATTCCTTTTCTTGCTACAGCTATCTTGGCGTGGGTTTCTATTCCTTACAACTACAACAGCCTTAACTGGGATAGTGACATAAAACATTTCCTAGTGCAGATGATAAATGTGTTTGCATTCATCAAAGTGATATTTCAAAGGGTCCGTGGTCAAATAAGTGCTCTCGCCTTTTCTGCACTTTGTTGCTTCATTTAGAATCACTTGGAGGAGGGTTAACACTGCAGTTTGAAGACAGGGCTCTTTATGTGGCTTTTTCATATGATAATGTAGAGTATATTTTCAGCCTAGCCTTCAATCAAATGGGCATCGTCTTAAGGAGATATAATTATAGCCGCTATTTTGCTGGCTTTTAATTGAAGACAAAGCAAACAGTGTGCTAAGAAATTATATTCAATGATGACACTTCCAACAGCAGGGAGAAGAGGGCCAGTCAGTATTGAGGAACTGCACATTCCCAGTGTGCTTCTAATCCCCAGAGGACTCTGCCGATAAATAGCAGAGACATGAGGATTGTTGGGTGTTTTTCTTGGGTGGATGGATTGTGGTTACTTTAATAGGCGGTGAAATGATTGGTGCTGGAAAACCCAACAAATCCAAATAAAATAAGGAAAAATAATTTTGATTATCAGTAAATCATATTCAGTAATAACCACTGAAGAATCCAGTGAAAACAACTTAGATAAAACAGTGCATCATTTTTTGGTTTTATTTTTGGTCTTGTTGTTGCTGGGTTGTTGTTTTTCTTTTGTTTCTTTTACAATTAACCATTCAAATTCACACTGGAGTGTTGTATCTTCCAGTGAATATTCAGTATTTCCATAACCTTGACTTGTTGTAGTTTAAAATTATACAAAAGTTAAAATGGTGTTAAAATGATTAACAATGGTAATGTATTCTCTCTTAATACTTCAGACAATCAGCGACTGAAACATAATTGGAGAACAGTTGGTTTGTAGTCCAATTATTTATCCGTCTCTGTTTCATAAGACAGAACTCTGACTTGGTCAATCATAAAAGTGATCAAGCCATGTCACACATCTACTGTTGTAAAATAATTGCATTTCAAATATTCATATTTCAAAATGTGTTTGAAAAGTGGGGAATAAGAGAAAATAACTTCAAGAAACACAAGGGATACATGCCTGTGTAAAGCTTTCTAATTCTTTTTTTTTTTTTTTCATTTCAAACACTACATAAAGTTCACTCAGACAATTGGGTTTGTGTGTAAATACAACTGACTGGTTCTCATTGCAAAAACTCGTTTCCCGCTTTTCAGCTAATAATATTTCCCTTTTGTTCCACCTCATTACTTCAAGCTCTCCTCCACTGTTCTAAGCTAAGTAATTTCTCTTTCTTCTCACTGTCTGCACCTTTACAAATATTTGCAAATGGTTATCGTGCCCTATCCTGGTACTTATTTAACAGGAAAAACCTTCAGTGTCTTTAATACTTAATAACTAGGGCACTGCCTTAACTGTTTTTCTCCCCTGCAATTTCAACTGTCTAACATGTTATGGTAATTATCTAAAGCAGTCCTTACAGAATGATGTTGAACTCAAAATTCATTTTGCTTTTCTTAGCAAATGCTGTCTTGGGTGAAACTGCTCTAAGAGGTTATCAGAGACACTGAAAAGTTATCAAAGGGCCACCACTGAGTCCTGGACAATCAGAAGACCTTGGTCACAAGATCTAACTCATAGTAATCTTTCCTCCACCACTGTGTGGCTTCAGGAAAATCACTGCTTCTATGGATCTCACTTTTATTTTCTACAAAGTAAGAGTTCAAATAGATCATCTCTAAGATGTCTTCTAAATCGACGATTGTAAAGCTAACCTATATTTTTAGAGTATCCTTTTAAAATCTAAATTTAATCAAGTCACTCCTTCTTAAGAGCCTTCAGTTCCTTCCTATTACACTTAGAATTAAATCAAACTTTTTACAAAGCCGACTAAGACCTGTGTGATCTAGCCTCTCCCTACATTTCCAACCTCAGCATGTATCACCTTTTCCATTTATCTTAGGTTGGGTTCCTCCAAATGAGGCTCTGAAACAAGTATATGAATCCAAGTAGCTTATTTGAAAAGCAACTGACAAGGGAATGGGGAAGGAAGGGAGTGTAAGGAAGGAAACCAAATGAAAGGAATGAAAGGATTCTTATCGAAGAGCTTATCGCAATGGGCAGCCAAGGTTCCATCCCACTGAGGATTCCCAGCAGATAGTCAAAAGCACAGAACATGCCTTTGAGTTATCTGTCCCAAGGTGAGGGGGAGGCTGGGATGATGTTGACCCACCAACTCTCATTCATTGTAGGTTGAGAACAGCTCCTGGAGCATCAACTTCCCGGCACCTGTAGCCTGCCTAGTATGTTGACCCATCATAATGGAGAAAGCTACTACTATAGACAGGAACACAGTGCTGTGGGGTTCTGAGCAGTATACTGACACATCTGCTGCCCCACCATTTATTAAAATCCAGCCGCACACACTGTCTTCCGGTTCCTTGGGCTTGTCCTCTTCTTCCCCCTTAGACCTCTGTGTACATGACCCTCTCTGACTCAGACATCTTGCAAGGTTCTCTCCTTCTTGGTCTGAGCATCACTTTCTGAGGCAAGTCTTCCTTGGCCATCCTATTTAGTTTCCCTTCCCTTGTTTTATTTAGGTAACACTCCATGCTTGTTTCTTTTACAGCATCCTTCATACCTTGTAATTATTTATTCTATTATTGCTTTGCTCAAAAAAAAACAGGGTCTCGCTATGTTGCCCAGGCTGGACTCCACCTCCTGGGCTTCAGGAATCCTCCTGCCTCAGCCTCCCGAGTAGCTGGGACTACAGGCATGCAACACCACACCTGGCTATTATTTAATCTATTTTATATTTTTATGCTTCACTAGATTGTAAGTTGCCCTTGGGGAGGGGCCATGTCTATTTTATTTCTTAATGTATAACCAGCACCTATCTCACTCAGTACCTGTTAAATGGCTGGTATTCACTAAATTGTTCTTACATGAGTGAACTGTTGAAAGCCACAGTTGTTTGTAAAAATCATTCATTTATACACAACAACTAAAAAGGTTTTGACGAGATGGTGAGAAAATGTTCTGATGCCCAATTCCCCTACGCATTGAAAAGTGCTAATTTCAATGGTATCCTGGAGGAGCAGTACTCCATAGGTAGTCTAGTTTAAGTAAATTATGTAAGTGTAGTAATTGGCTTAAGCAAGAATTCAGCATGCTAAAGCCGTCAGAAGATGGGATTCCAGTCTCAGCCTTCTATGCTTCAGGCCATAATCGTGACTTTCTGGGTCTCGTGAGTGTCTGTGAGTGTGTGTATGTTTGTGCGTGTGTGTGTGTGTGTGTGTGTGTTTCAGAGTTCTTAATTTTTCTATTAGAAAGATAATAATGAAGAAATTGGATTATCTCTTTAAGTACCTCCTTAAGCCGTAATATTCTCTTAGTCAATTAAAGTGAGAAACATAAATATGGTCCTTGCATATTATAGGTGCTCAGCAAATATTTGGTATTTGAATGTTTAGGATGTAGATGACTGGGCCACAAGTACAATGACATGAAATTCTGCAAACAAAAATCTCAGATTCTTTATCAGCAAAAAGTGATGGTCTTAAGTAATATGAGTCAGGGATGGGGAATACCTGCTGTGAGTACCACTGTTACCTCAGTCTGTACTCATGGCAGATGTCACTAATCAATTACCACTCTCTTTTCCACTTATCCAAACTGTAGCCCCAGAAGCCTGGCAGACACTCTTTTAACCAAGAGATCAATGTTAATGTTGCTGGTGATACATTATGTTGAAAGCAGAATAGCATGATATGATATGATGAGAAATTTGTGACATTCTTCCCCAAAACCCCAGCCTAATGAGAAAGACATCAAGACAAGCCCATTCTGAGGGATATTCTATAAAATACCTGACCAGTACTCCACAAAACTGTCAAGATCATGAAAAACCAGGAAAGACTGAGAAACTGTAACAGACTAGAAAAAACTAAAGAGACATAATGACTAAATGCAATGTGGCATCTTGACTGTCCTTGATCTTGATACCGTGGATTAGAAAAAGAGCATTAGTGAAAGACAAAACATATATAAAAATATATAATTCTGATTTTATATATATAATATATATTTATATATATTTAATAATTTAATATATATTTTATATATAATCTGAATAAATTCTAGAGTTCAGTTAATAGTAATGTACTAATGTTAATTTCTTGGTTTTGACAAATCCACCATCACTATGTAAGATGCTAACATTAGGAAGAACAGGGTAACAGGTATACAGGAAGTCTTTGTATTATCTTAGAGACGTTTCTGTAAATCTAAAATTATTCCAAATTTTAAAAAGGGTACTTGTTTTCAAAAGTGAGTGAACCAGTCCCTCTTATTATCAGTACAAACATGTGCAACACATTTAACCTCTTTGAGCTTCACCTACCTCATCAGTACAAGCATCTTTAATCTTTAGAGATATTCTAATGCAGATAAAGAAGATTGAAATTACTTACTATCAAATTCTTCCAATTAGAACAGCCAGCTTGAGGCACATACTAGGAAATAAATGATCCTGCCAAACCCAGTGTTGCTTTTTCCACTTTCAAGTAATTTAAGAGTTTCTATGTAGCCACAGACTTTCTTAAATTAATGCCTTTTTAAAAAAAATTAATTTTCAAAATATCTTTTACTTCTGCCCAAATTTAATTGCAAATCTTGAGATCTGGGCATAGAGAGAATTTATGGAGTACTTTGATACTAAGGAATCGCTGCCCCTAACACTAACAATCAACTAAATTGCTACAAATCTTCTCTTAATACCCTCCAGATGACATCTGGGCTGGGGATAGTCTTTGTAAGATTCATACAGTTTTTCCCTTGAAGATACATACCAGGCACAGGATTCGGGCTTTCTATGTACTTATGGATCCCATAATTCATTGTCTAGGTGAAATGGGCTGCTTTTGAAAACTTGGAGACTACAGCCTTCACTTTTCAAATTGTGTAGCTAGCAGATTTCATTTACAGTATATTGCAACAAGTCCCTGGGAGTTTGCACCAAAGCCCATTAATCAGAATCAGTTAAGAAAAATGTTCAAGAGAATTTCCCATTTCTGCAGATAGACAAGGTTGAGAAATATCAGAGGTAGAGTTATATAGTGTGAAATGACACTTTCTAAAGGGCTCTTTTGAGCAATTTATTAAGAATTTGTCAAAGACATGCCAAGTGTTCATCAGTGAATTAGGCATGTATTATAATGCTTATTGTAGCATTTAAAGATCATGATACTTATCACTTAGATTGTACTTAATGTGCTCAAAACATTTTCAGTTCTAATTAAATATTCTCCCACGTGTATCTGTGTAGAGAAATAACCATTTACAGGAGGAAGAAATACCCAGACTCACAAATAAAAAAATCCATCAAAAAAAGGCTTGTGTCCACACCACAGGGAGAGCCCTTATCAGCCAAGAGGCTACAAGATCCCTCTAAGAATCAGGCCTCTGGCCCAGGGAAGGAGGGCATGGGAAAAGTCCAGAAACATGTTTTTGGTAGCTGGCCCAGGTGGTGGCATGGCACAGCAGACAGGATACTGGCTTTGACGTCAGAAACTTGGGGTAGAATAGAATTGATATCACAGGATAACCATGTGATGTCGAGAATTCACCTCAACTCAAACCTCTGGCCTCCTTGAGCCCTGACCTCCTTATCTGTAAAATGGGTATGAGAATACGTTTAAGAAGAAAAGAAAAAAAACCTGAGCTCAATAAGATAACTGACTTATTGAAGTCATATGCCAGTCCATAGTAAATCTGGGACTCAGACCCGGCAGTCCTTACTCTGAAATGTAGACTTTGAACAAAAATGTCAGGTCACAAATTGTCAGACCAGCACAGTTCTCCAAGAGCACAGCAGATTTGATATGAACTCACTCTCAGATTCTGGGATTCTATATGCATGACAAGGTAAGTGAGACCCTAAATGGTTGTTTTAATGAATGCAATGTTATAATTCACACAGAGTCACTGTTGTACCTAGCAAATTCATAATTAGAGGTAATTTTGCACCTGCTGTCACGGGAAGATGGCATTTCCTTTAATTTAGCTTGATGCCTTGATTATACTGTGGGAGCGGCAGGAGACAAGGCAATCTCTCACTCCACTTCCAGAGAAAACACACAGCCTTTAGTCTGTAGTTGTGATTAATAAAGCTACTCAGCACCTTGGAGTCATCAGCCACCACTTCTCGTCATGCTGATGCAAAGTCTTCCATAAGGCAGGAGAGTGTGTCACCGCCCAACCTGTTGCAGAAATGACAAGAGGTTACTGGGTTCTTTTTAAGGTGAGCCATCCCAAGAATTCCACTCAAACCCACTTCAAAACATAATCACTGCAGCGACTATGAATTTCAGGCCACTAAGTCAGAGTCACAAAAAACTTAATGTTATATTCCTATAACTGAACTTACTTTCCAGTTCCAGGCCCTGCTCCAGGAGTTTTGGATTCTTCTTTTTATTTTTTTTTTCGTGGGCTACTTTAGTTTGGGGTGACTTATCTAGAGCCAAGTCATTAGGGAAGAAGGGCACTTAGACATGCATGCTGACGTCCACTGAGAGGCCTCCATCTGGTGCTGATCATCAGTCCTCAGTAGTGATGGCTGTGTCCTCTCCTGTCTGCAATGGCAGGATTCTCCCGGCCCAGTGGTCTTTCGACCTTTAGACACTCAGGCTTGTCTCTGCTGCTCTGTGCCAGCCACAGGAGGAGGAGGGGTCTCAGTGGATGCAGTCCTCTAGACCCACCACAAAACCACCACTTCTGCTCTACTACTTTACGGGGAGGCTGTAGGAAACTGGGGGTAGAGGGGTTGCCAGCTCTAGGTTCAAACTCAGGTTTAGCTGAGGCCAAGTCTCTTATTGACCTCTGCACTATCCAGCCTCTCATTTTCCCCCTAGTGCTGATGACAGCAAGAGGAAGGTTGGGTTTCCAACTCTCTATGGCACATAAAACTTATTGAGCTTTCTAGGGAGGAGATAAGAAGATAAGGAGCCAAGGGAAGGTGCAAGTATGATGTAAGACAAGTCCCTTAACCTGTCTCACTGCCCCTCTTCAGTCCACAATCAGTTTAGCTCAGACATTCTTTACAGCGGTTGAGGAGTATACCACTGTGGGCAGGCACCCTTCTTCATTACTTCTAATTCCATGTTGATGAAAGATTGGTTGTTCTCGCTTTTTCTGATTTTATATAGAATTGCAGTAAACATTCTTTAGAAAGTATCTGCTCAGGCTATTGTCTGGCCACCAGGGTTTGAGACAGAGTGAGAATTTGCAGAACTGAAGAGCTGGAACCACCTGTGACTCCATTCCATAATCCTGCAGCTCATTCCCTCTGGGATGCCCTGTGGAAGGAGCATACCACTGTGGTGAAGAGGGCATGCCTTAGAGCTCGAAGACTCAGATGCACATCACAATTCTGCCACTTACTAGTTACGTGACCTTGAGCAAATTTCTTGACCTCTCCTAGCTTCAGTTTCCTCATCTGCAAAATAAAAATAAAATCTGCTTCACAGCATATTGCAAAGCCTAAAATAGATGTTGGAAGTAAATATGTAGATATATATATATGGTGTTTGGCATTGCACTTGGCTATTGGCTATTTCCTATGGACTGGCATGTAACTCACAAAATGGTTTGAGGATGATGATGATGATGATGATTTTGACTTGGGTAGGGAAAAGCAGGAAGGGAGTAAAGGAAACCACTTAGGGAGAATTTATCATTCATGGACACACACACCAGGGAGTTGCCTGCACCTGCTCAAAAGTAGCAGAGCAAAATGAAAAGATTAACCTCACTTCCAACTGCCTGATCCCCAATTCCTGCACCTATCTCCTCACCTCCAGGGAAAAGAGAGCCCATCTTCGGTAGCTGAGGAAGATTCTGAAATGCTCTGAAAAGGCAAATCAGAGCATTGCAGGTGTGCAAAATTTATAACTTGCTAGTGTAGACATATAAAGTCAATATTAACTCACAGTGAAATGTAATTAACTATAAACTATTTTGGTAAATGTGAGATTTTTTGATACATGAAAAAAAAATGCATGATGACTTGAAGCCAAACTACTATCCAAAAGGGTGTCTTGTTAATTCAGGTTTGAGATTTGCTTTTTAAATTCAAATAATAATGAGTGGGGTATAAAATTATGGGAAACAATTACAGGGCATCATTTTTTGGTAGGTTTGTATTGTTGGGTTTTTTTTTAAAGATTTTGTTGTTTTTATTCTATTTGTTTCTAGTGAGGTTCAAACCACAATTGAGACTGGTATTAAAAGACAATAATTACCCCAAGCCCAGAGGACTGAAGACTCAGCATGTTGCATATGAGGCACTTGATTTCAAGTGGTGTTAAGAGGGTTTTTAATTACTCAGCTTTGGACTCAGGTATCACCTCTCTGACAAAACAGCAAGGGAAGAACAGCATTCTAACTGGATTAGATAACTTCCCCGCCACCAGACCCATGACTAGGAGCCATTTTGCCACATAGGAGAAGCTATTTTAAACCAGCTCATTAGAAGAGGTATGAAGAGGAGCTATTTGGAGTTCCCTGAGGCCTATGGGGAGAAATAGGAGGGGGAAATAAACAATTATCATCAGTAGCCAACATTGCCATGTATTCCCCACCAAAATTCTGCCTTTTACAAGTATGCTAGGCAAGCTACATGGAAGAAAAAGATTATAAAAGAATCTCACTCATAAGTGGAAGCTAAACTATGAGGATGCAAAGGCATAAGAATGATACAATGGACTTTGGGGACTCGGGGGGAAGGGGTGGGAAAGGGGCAAGGGATAAAGGACTACAATTTGGGTTCAGTGTATACGGCTCCAGTGATGGATGCCCCAAAACCTCACAAATGACAACTGAAGTATTTATTCATGTAACCAAATACTGCCTGTTTCCCAAAAATTTGTGGAAATAAAAAAATTAAAAATAAATAAATAAATATAAAAATAAAAAGAATAATAGATAAGAGTAGAGGCTTTGGAGCTGATCACAAAGACCTGAGCTTCAGTCCTAGCTTGGACACACACAAGATGAGGCAAATTCTTCAGGGACTTTAGACTCATTTCATTCACCTACAAATAGGGTATATTCATGTTATTTGTCCCATAGAATTGTCCTGAGGATTAAATGGGAAAAAGTGTATACAAAGATCTTGGCACAGTGCTGGGCATTCAGTAAACATTCATAGGTAAAACCTACCATTTAGCATTATAATAATGCCCTTCCCTCCTCTCTCTACCAAATCAGAGGCTCAGCCAGGTGAAGTGGCTCATGCCTGTAATCCCTTAGGAGACTGAGGCAGGAGGATTGCTTGAGGCTAGGAGTTCGAGACCAGCCTGGACAACATAGCAAGACCCCCATCTCTACGAAAAAATAAAAATTAGTCTGGCGTGATGGCACACCTGTAATCCCAGCTATTCAGAAGGTGGAAGGAGGAGGATCGCTTGAGCCCACGAGTTCAAGGCTACAGTAAGTCATGATCATACCACTGCATTCCAGCCTGGGTGACAGAAAGAGACCCTGTCTCTATAAAAATAAAAATAGAAAGTCTTACAGCAACTTTATTTTTGCCATGTGCTAAATCATCCCTCAAACGAGCACGTCTTTGATTCCACCCAACTTTGCCACTGGCGTCTGTGAGGAGGGACTTGCATTTACCTAAGCCCTGGCCACCCTGCTTTTCAGCTCTACCATCTCTCACCCCACCTCAACCCTGTGGTGCAAGCTTCCTTTCTAACTCTTGCCCATCCTTCCAGTACCTATACCTAGAGCACAAAAGGCAGCAGTAGATTCAGAGGATTGAAAATTAAAGAGGTGATACATCCCCAAAGTCCCGAAAGAGGCAAGCTTAGGTGGGCCAGAGGGTTTGGGCTCAGCTTCATGGGGATAGAAGGGACAGTGGTGACCAAGGAGGCAGGGCCAGCCTCCTGGGTGTGTGACCTCTGTAGTCACATGGGGCCTCACACTTTAAAATGAAGTTGGTGTACTGTTCTGCCATGACCATCTCGAAATTCTTAATTTTTTAACAGAGGACTCTACTTTTTTTTTTTCCTGCACTGGGTCCTGCCAATTAAATACCTAGTCCTGCAAGGAGGAAAAAAAGTGCAGAGATGAAGGCTAGGATGGCTTTTTATCCCAGTTCTACTACATTCTAGAAATGTGGCTGTGTATAAATTCACCATGCATTCCACAAACATTTTTTTAACTTTTGAGTTCAGGGATACATGTGCAGGTTTGTTATGTAGGTAAACTTGTGTCGTGGGGGTGTGTTGTCTGTTATTTCATCACCCAGGTAATAAGCCTAGTGCCCATTAGTTGTTTTTCCTGATCCTCTCCCTCCTCCACACTCTACCCTTCATAGGTCCCAGTGTGTATTGTTTCCCTCTGTGTGTCCATGTGTTCTCAGCATTTACATCCCACTTATAAGTAAGAACATGTGGTATTTGGTTTTCCATTCCCACATTTATTTGCTAAGGATAATGGCCTCCAGCTCCATCCATGTTCCTGCAAAAGATATGATCTCATTCTTTTTTGTGGATATATAGTATTCCATGATCCACACACATTTTAATGATTACCTCCTGTGATGGTTAATACTGAGTGTCAACTTGACTGGATTGAAGGATGCAAAGTATTGATCCTGGGTGTGTCTGTGAGGGTGATGCCAAATGAGATTAACGTTTGAGTCAGTGGGCTGGGAAAGGCAGACCGACCTTTAATCTGGGTGGGTACCATCTAATCAGTTGCCAGTGCAACCAGCATATAAAGCAGGCAGAAAAATGTGAAAAGGCTAGACTGGCTTGGCCTCCCAGCCTACATCTATCTCTCATGCTGGATGCTTCTTGACCTCAAACATCAGACTTCAAGTTCTTCAGCTTTGGACTCGGACTGGCTTCCTTGATCCTCACCTTGCAGACTGCCTATTGTGGAACCTTGTGATCGTGTAAGTTTAATACTCCTTAATAAATTCATATATATATATACACACACACACATATACACATATATATACATATGTGTGTGTGTATATATGTGTGTGTGTGTGTGTGTGTGTATGTATATATATATATATATATATATATATATATATATATATATATATATATACTATTAGTTCTGTCTCTCTAGAGAACCCTGACTAATACACCTCCTATCTGCCAGCCTCGGCATCCTCATTCATAAAATGGGTATAATGATGCTATCTACAGTGAGGGGTTGTTTTGAGGAGTGAGAACATGTACTAAGGCACTTGGAACTGTGGTAGCACATAGTAAATGCTGAGTAAATATCAACTATCATTATTAAGGAGAAAACAAGTTTAGGAATTGGCACAGGAAGGAAAATAGAGCTGCCATGAGACTCTTGAGAAGGAAGAGTCCCCTTCATTTTTAGATCTGTGTATATATTTTTAGGCACCTGATAGACGCAGCACACAATAAAGGGGGATGTGATGGGTAAAAATATAAGTAATGGGTGAGTCCTGTCTTCCTGAGAGTCATATTTTTGTGTATGAGAGGAGTGGGTTGGGAATCACTTACCCACATCCCAATGCAACAAGTTCGAGGCTGGCCAAGGCTGTGAGCAGGGTACCAAGAAGTTTAGGGACGAGAGAATAAAGAAGGAGAAGCAGGTTCTCCTTTGGAGGAGCTAAGAAGGACTCCTGAGAGTTGAGCAGGTTCTAGGAAGAAGAGCTTGGATTTTGAAAGTCTAAAAGGCACAGAGGGCAACACAGTGAAGGGAGCAGCATGGACAGAGCCCCGGTGGGGAAACGCAAACAGCACTCAAGAAACAGCAACAGTGATAAGTATAAATCTCAGTCCTCAAAATGCTGGCAAGCTAGAGAAAGTAGTTTTGTTTTCCCTTTATTTTCTTTACATCAGCTTAAATTTGACTCCCAGCCTTCCAACCCACCAAGCCAGAGTGAGTCAATCTCAGTCACTATCTGGAGCTCTCTGTTCAGCCACCCCAGGTTGTTCCAAAGCCTTGGAGCTTCCGCAGGCTTCTGGTCATAGGTTCTTGGTCTACACTGGTTTCTGCTGAGACGCACCTGCCCCCTCGGGCCGCAGGTGCCTGTTTGGGGACAGGATCTAAGAAACCTGGGACCCAGAGAGCAGGAAGAAGTCAGTGACTCCAGGAAACGTTGAGAGCTGCCACTAATTCAATCTTCAAACTGCTGCTGACTTTCAGTTAAACCTGATTTCAACTTAATATAAATATTGAGGAGGGCCGAGGTGAGTGTTGCTGAAGCTGACTGGTTCTCTAAGAGGCCGTAAAACACAGTGGTTAAGTGTCAAGCCACATTCTGTGTCCTAGTTTTACTTCTTACCAATTGTGTCACCTTTGGTAAGTTACTTAACATCTCCGAACCTGAGCTTTCTCTTTTGAAAAACAGGAATATTAGTAATACTTCTCAGGATTATTATTAAGATTAAATGAGATAATATGTACAAATGACATATTGCCTGGCATATATAAATGCACCATAAATGGAAGCTGCTATTATCATCATCACCACCTTTAGGCTGCACCCAAGATAAATACACACTGGATAATAAAATTCCCTTAAAAAGAGTACGTCTTCTTAACTACAGTAACAAGTTCTAAAACCAGATTACCTGGATTCAGATCTCAGTTCACTTGCTGGCTATGTGACCTTGGGCAACTTATACACATATCCTCTCTAGACCTACCTCAGTTTCCTAATCTGCAAATTGAGGTTCATATCAGTACCTAACTCATAGCGCCTTAGGGAGGACTAAATGAGTTATTTCATGGAAAGCAAATAGAACAGCACTTAGTAAGTGATGGTTATTGTTGCTTTTTGTTTCCCAAACACATCTGCATGCATTCAATTCTCAGAACATGACTTACTAATGAAGTTTAGAAAGCTGTCCCCCTACCAGAGCACATCTTTCTTTCTGTCTTCCAAACTCACATCGAGTAGAAAGCCAAAGTCTCCCGAAAGGACAGCCACCCAGAGAGAGTCACTGTGTATAGTTTGGTGTGTATCCTTCTAGATGTTTTCTAAATGTAAGTATACATCAATGGAATCCCCCTAAACAATCTACCTTTTTTACTTGATATATTATAGATGTCCTTCTGGTCAATACTATTGTATCTACCTCACCCTTTTCCAACAACTCATTCTATTCCATGGCATTGATGTACCCTACTTTATTGAACAAGTCCCCTTCTCAAAGAAATTTTGATAGCTTCCAATTTCCTGTGATCCTGAACTTATAATCATGTTAAATATATCTATACAAACTTATTATTTAGAATAAATTTCTAAATATTGACTATCTGGATCAAGGGGTATGAACATTTAAAATGTGGGTACCTATTGCCAGAATGCCCACCCAAAAATGGTTTTTATTTTATTCTATTTTATTTCATCTCATCTCTTTCATTTGCTCCTTTTTTAGCTCTGATCACATTTATGTTGGGCTATATTCTCTTTCTATCTGTATTAGTTTGCTGGGGCTCCAGTAACAGAGTACCATAGAGTAGGTTGCACAAACAACAGAAATTTGTTTTGCCACAGTTCTGGAGGCTACAAATCCAAGATTAATCTGCAGGGTTAGTTCCTTCCAAGGCCTCTTTCCTTGCAGGGTGGATGTCTGTCTTCTCCCTGTGTCCTCACATGTTCTTCCCTCTGTGGTTTCTGCAGCCTAATCTCCTCTTCTTATAAGCACACTAGTGGCATCAGATCAGGGCCCATCCATATAACCACACTTTACTTGAATCACCTGTTTAGAGGCCCTAGATTAAGATTTATGAGTTTTAGGAGGGACTCAACTCAGCCCATATCACTCTCTGTTATCTGATTGTTCATCTTTGTGTTTCTGGATTGCCTAGAGGAAAAAAAAAAAAAGTGTCCAGTGATTTCCTGTTAATCAAATGGGTGAATTTGCCGAGCATCCCGTGGTTGTCACCCTGGTCTGGAGAGTCCCGCCCAGAGAACATTTTGGGCACTAGTCCAGAGCCTTGGGTTTGAATGCCAACCCTGCCACATAATAGCTTGATGACCTTAAGCCAGTTCCTCACCTTTCTGAGTCTGTTTTGTCATCTATAGTCATAGAACAACATCACTGCAGGAGATTGTTGAAGAATTCAAATGAAAATCCCATGCGAACTTGCTTAGTAGGGAGCAAATATGGCTCGAAAGCTGTGATAGTTATCGCCCGGCCTCTTCCCTTCTTGCCACTGCTCCTCCCATATCATGTTCATGCATTACCCCCACCCCCACCCCAGGCCTCTTTAGAGATGAGATCCCCCCAGAAGAGGCCCACTTCCTGTGCAAACAGTCTCCAAAGGCAATTGAGACTCACTCTCCCTCCCCAGGGTTTGTAACATTCTATGTGTTCCATGCTTCTAGGAACATTAACCATGACTTGGTGACACTTGTCCCAAAAGGGACCGATTGGCTTTGGGATCACAGGCGATGACTTCATTGGGAAGGCCATTAATCATAATTATGAAATAATGAAATGGCTGTCAATTTGCCCATGCCTAATAACACCTAATTAATAAAAGGGTCTTTTTATTTCTCACAGTGGAAATGGATGGCAGAGGATACTGTTTCTGGGAGAGCATTACTTGTCTTGGATGGCTGAAATGCCTTGGCCAGTGGAAGTCACTCGACTCTTGGCTGGATGCCTCAGCAGCACTCTATGAGCCGTGCAATAACCTCTCCGAAATGCACTGCTACTCCTGTCTTATTGCTTAATTAATCCACTTCTAATTGATATGGCCATGCATTACCATGGCTGCCTCCCTGCTGTGAGAGCCCATAAAAACATATTTGGCTTTTTTAACAGGACTTTTGAAACAATGTCAAGAACATGAACTTCTAAATGACATCATACTTTGTCAAGAAATGTGAGTCCCATGACTTTGGCCAAATATTATCCTGATAGTTAATAGAAATGTACAGGTCCACTGAAAGCATTATTGTATTTCAAAGGATTTATATTGTAGGGAGGTGGGGAAAGAGGAGATGAAGGGAGGACAGAAGCTATTTGGAGAATGGGCTCTGATAGTGCCTTTTCTACTCTTCCTTAGTAAGTGCCCATCTTTTTTATTTATTTTTTTTTTAGAGTCAAAGTCTCTTTCTGTCACCCAGGCTGGAGTGCAGTGGCATGATTACAGCTCACTGCAGCCTTGAACTCCTAGGCTCAAGCGATCCTCCAGCCTCAGCCTCCCAAGTAGCTGGAACTACAGGCGTACATCACCATGCACAGCTAATGTTTTATATTTTAGATATGGGGTCTTGCTGTCTTGCCCAGGCTGGTCTCAAACTCCTGGCCTTAAGCAATCCTCCCATGTCATCCTCTCAAAGTGTTGGGATTACAGGCATGAGCCACTGCAGCCAGCCAGTAGATGTCCCTTATTATTCCTTCTTCTTAGTCATATTATAATCACCAAAAAAGCCTGGTAAGTACCTAACTGAGCAGTATGCGGTGTGAAGCACTGTCCTGAAAGACGAGTTATTTCTCTGTCAGTCAATTCAAGATGTTTGTTACACACAACTCTAAAAACAGACTGATAAGAGTTTAAATCCCAACTCTGTCACTTCCAAATTACCTAACCTCTCTGGTACCCAATTCTCCTTTTTGCAAATTTGACACTCAGACATTTTCTTAAAAATCACACATAAGCGAGGGTTGGGAACAAGCCTTTGCAAAATTATGTATAATCAGAATCATCTTTAGAAACCCTGAAAAGCAACATTGTCTCTATAAACCTATCCCTCCACAGTAAAATCCTCAGGCACATTCAAGTTTAAGATCTACAAAAGAAGAGTCTAGATCAAGGGTCAACAAACTATGGCCTGTGGGCCAAATTCAACCCACCACCTGTTTTTGTAAATGGTTTTATTGGCATATAGACCCCCTCATTTACGTATTTCATACGGCTGCTTTCCCACCACCACAGCATGCAACAGAGGCCATATGGCCCTCAAAGCCTAAAATATTTTCTATCTGGCCTTTTACTGAAAAAGTTTGCTGCCTCATGGTCTAGATGCAGATGTCTGTCTATTGTGCTTCCTTGCCCTTTAAGATGCCTATCAAATCCCTAGCAGTGAATGGGGAGAGGTGAAGAATTCTAAAGCTCACTGACTGCCTATAGGGTCAGCTTCATTCTGCTGTAATATTAAACCTCTATGGCTTTAATTTGGGCTAATAGAGTTGTCTGTGGCCAGGGAAATTTAAAAAAGGTCCTGGTGTACATCTTACATAGGGATTAGGTTCTAAAATCAGCTGTAACTGCACCCGTGATTTGATTTCCCTACAGACAGTGCCCCTGTTTCCCAAACCGGAGGTAAAAGTGAGGGTTCAGTGGTGTCAGCACAGAAGCAAGGCCTTTGGGGGCAGTCCTAGGGCCAGGCTCAGCTCCCCTGGGAGCTGGCGGGGTGAGAGACTCTAAGAATTCTCTGTGAAGGGGCAAATCAGGGCTTCTGTCTCTCGACTCACAGGAGCTTTTGACAAACTGGTTTTGCCCTCCACGTCGATATTTCACTGTCAGTTCCCAGATTCATCTCCACCGCTTTGCCTGCTTCCTATAAGAGTCTCCTCTGAGTCCAGGCAGATGCTAGCTTCTTCCTTGCTGTGGGGGCAGCTTGGAGACACTTCACAGGCGATATTAATCATGCTGATTAGGCATGACCTCCCCTTTTGTAAACTCACGTTGATGGCCTCAAACCAATCAGTACCTGTCGCAATGTTTATGGTCCCGAAATGAGAGTGGAAGATGGTGGAGGAAAGAGTGTTTTGTGTGACAATGAGGAATCCCTTCAGTCCAGCCTGCTGATGGCAGCTAATGCTTCTGAGAGAAAGTGGCTTTCAGAAATTTGCTCATTGCTGTGGCCTCTTTGGTCTTCACTCATAAGGCATTCCCCATCTCCCTGGTGAAAAAAATAAATAACCCTCTACATTTATGCAACACTTTTTTCTGTATTCATGGCCTCCCTAGAAAAGTGTTACAGGCTCGTGGCAAGGAACATGGGCTCTGGGTTCAAACTGCCACGTAATGAATCTTGCCTGTGCCTCTTAGTAGCCACTGGCCTTAAAGAAAGGTAAACTTCCTTTTTTTTTTTTTTTTGAGACAGAGTTTCACCCTTGTCACCCAGGCTGGAGTGCAATGGTGTAATCTTGGCTCACTGCAACCTCCACCTCCTGGGTTCAAGTGATTTGCCTGCCTCAGCAGGCTTTTTCTCTGAGGAGTGACCCTCTTGCACCTACATTCTAGAGCATTTAGATTTGCCAGAGATACTCCCAGATGGGCAGGGAAAAACAGTATGGATGAGGGCCAGAAACCAGGCAGGAAGGCAACACACTGGGACCCAGCCCCTTCTCTCTTTCCCCATGATCACCTCTCAGGCTATGCTCAGGCTACCTTGCAATTAAATGTGCCCAAATGGGCCATGTGCTCATGTCTGTACCTTTGCATGTGTTATTCCCTCTGCCTAGAGCATTTTCTCCTCCAACCCTTCCTATCCCACTGTCGCATACATTCAAATCTACTGCAACCAAATCTAGACAATTTCTGCTTCTTCCAGAATGATTTTCCTCCCCCACTCCCCAGGGCTGAATTGGGCACTCCTCATCTCTGTTTTCACAAATGAAGGATCTCCACTCTACACTAAAAACCCCATGAAGGTAGGGACCAAATATCCATTGTCCTGTGCTCCATCCATAGCATATAACATGGTGCCTGGAACATACGAGGTGCTCGATAAATATGAGTGGAATAAAAATGGCTGTGATATCCCTTATAAGCCCTCTCCTCAAGTCATCTGCTATTTGTCTCTATGTGTCTGTGTCCCTGTTGTTATTCCTGAGCCTTTAGTAAGGTCCTATTTTTTTAATTGCATAAATTTTGGGGGTACAAGTACAACTTTGTTACATGCATAGATTGCACAGTGGTCAAGTCAGGGCTTTTAGAGTATCCATCACCCAAATAATGTACATTGTACCTATTAAGTAATTATTCATCATCCACCTCCTTTCACCCCCTCACCTTCCTGGGTCTTCATTGTCTGTCCTAAGGTTGTATTTAAATGTTCCCACCTGGCCTCCCTGTACTATGGGGAACAATGTATTAAAATATAAGTGTGCAAATTATGAGTAGCAGAGCATTAAGAGAGGAGAATTTTGCTCATTGAGGCTTGGATGGCCATAATTAGTAACTGACTCCCAAAGCACAGTGAATTTTAGAAACAAGAGTTTGTTGAGGTTACAGAAGCACCTTTTCCTCCATTGCTAAGCTTGAAGGACCTGGAACTGAGCTCTTATGACTTTCCTCATGATGTCTATCAGTTCTCAAAATTTTTCTCTTTTATACTGAACTACATCCAGACCCTAAGACCAAATTCTCCCTGTAATAGACATGAGGGTAAGGGTGAAGAGCGAAAATGATGTGTTCAGCAGATAAGTAAGTACAGGTTGGAGTACAGCTTCATGGGAAGGAAGAGATGTGCTAGACGTCAGACTCAGGCTGAAACGTTTTTACATTATTCTTAGGCATTTAGCAGATGGAGGCATAAGAACCTGCCTAATTTAGGAAATTTGATTTGAACTACCTGGTCTAACCAAGGTTTCCACTTCCCACTACTGCATTTGGTGTAGGGTCAATGAGCTGAAGTTTGTGAACCCATGTTGCTTCTGTCTTCCCTTAAATGTTATCACATAGAGGAGGGAGCTACCCCACAACAGGGGAAAAAATATCTTTCAACCCCAACATCCATCCCAGACAAATAAGAACATGGATAAAATAAGAGACTCTTAAAGACTCATTTTGAAAGCCTTGAATTCTTAACAAAACCTCTGAACAAGTTTCTCCTAGGAGAGGACTGAAATGAAGCCTTTTGAAAACAAAAAAGAAATGGCACATTTGACAAGGGTCAGCTGGCCAGGCTCCTGTGATGACAGCATTTGGGAGTATTAATATATACCAAGAGCTGTAAATGGTTGCAAAAATGCACATGGATTCCTTGACATAATGTACTAGCTCACACCATCTGCCACTTTCAGCAGTCAAGGACTGCATACTTGAAATGCTTTCTAATCACTTTCACTTAACAAGGAGTTGGATTCCACACTAATTTTTGAAAATCTGCCACCAGAACAGTTCTTTAGGGTTGTTGCTCTGGTGACCTTAAGGGATATCTAAGATGAGCAGAAGTCTACTAGAGAATGCCAAGAGTTTGAAAATGTTTTGTGCTAGTCCACATTGGATACTAAATTGAGTTTCTCTTACACTACTGTTGGCCCCACACTGTAGGTAGGGTAGTGGAATCCCCACAAACAAACATGTAGCTTCCACAAATTCAACTGAATATGCTCAGGAGGAGAAAAAAATGTTTAATATGATATAATCTCCACATGTAAGGCACTCTTTCTCAGGAACCTCAAGATCTATTCAACTCAGGAGTCCGTGATTCCAACACCGGGGGAAATGGCAGTGCTGGACTTACTATGAGCTGAGACTCTATACCCCAAACTACATTTGCTGTATTTCCTGGTGAATATAAAATACCACAAAAAGGAGAATTTTGATTATATACTAAATTTTTGCCTTACACCTTTAGAGCTTAACCCCAGCCTTAAGAGTTAGGCCTTTTTGACATTCTTTCCAAGTCCAAAAAAAAACCAGCCCTGTTTTGGAGCCTGGTGAGAATACATGTAAAGAAATGTAGACTAAGCTCAGCTAGTAGATGTGAGGGTCTCTGAGGCACTCTCCAACTCACAATGGGTTTTTTGGGTTTTTTTTGTTTTCCCAGGGAAGAGACTTTGGCAACATTTTGCCAAAAGGTCAGTGTTTAGGCCCAAATAACAGGACTTTCTAAGAAAGAGATAAAGATTTTTCCTATCATCAAGAAGATCATGACATATAATATTCTGCAGCCATAAAAAAGAACAAAATCGTGTCCTTTGTAGCAACGTAGATGCAGATAGAGGCCATTATCCTAAGTGAATTAACAAAGCAGAAAACCAAATACTGAATGTTCTCACTTATAAGTGGAAGCTAAACTTTGGGCACTCAGGGACATAAAGAGAGAAACAATAGATACTGGGGACTACTTGGGGCAGGGAGGGGAGACAAGGGTGAAAAACTAACTATTGAGTATTATGCTCACTACCTGGATGATGGGATCAGTCGTACCCCAAACCTCCACACCAGGCAACATACCCAGGTAACAAACCTGCACGTGTGCCACCTGAATCTAAAATAAAAGTTGAAATTATACTATTTAAAACAGAAATGGCTGAATGAAATAAATGATAACTAAGTTAAAAAAATAAAATGACTAAATTTAAAAATGACTAAATTTTTAAAATTTAAAAAGGATAGAGAGAATTAATCCCAGATCAGCACCCTTACATACCCTGAAGAGATGTGAGCCAGAACCACTCACTAGCATTGAAACAGGGACAGTTACATCATCAGACTTTTATGTATAAGCTGCAGATTTTTGTCCCTACCTCAGTGGAATGGTCTTTGGGGTCATATTGTCCAAATGGACTGACTTGAGCACCAGATTCCATTGCTTTTTGCTTTGTTTTGAGGCAGAGCCCAGGCTGGAGTGCAATGGCACGATTTAGGCTCACTGCAACCTCCACCTCCCAGGCTCAAGTGATTCTTCCGCCTCAGCCTCCTGAGTAGCTGGGATTACAGAAGTGTGCCACCATGCCTGGCTAATTTTTTTGTATTTTAGGAGGTTTCACCATATTGCCAAGGGTGGTTTTGCCCAGAGGCCCTCACATCTACTAACTGTGCTTAGTCTACATTTCTTTACATGTATTCTCACCAGGCTCCAAAACAGGACTCGGTTTTTTGGACTTGGCAAGAATGTCAATGCCCAACTCTTAAGGCTGGGGTTAAGCTCTAACTGTGTAAGGCAAAAACTTAGTATATAATCAAAATTCTCCTTTTTATGGTATTTTATAGTCACCAGGAAATACAGCAAATACACCATATTGCCCAGGGTTGAATTGCCTCAGCTCAGGCAATTCGCCCAGCTCGGCCTCCGAAAGTTCTGGGATTATAGGCATGAGCCGCCACACCCAGCCAGATTCCACTGCTTTCTATTAGTTTCTAGATACAGTCACCATAAAATGAACTCATTGCCCACAAAAGTCTCAAATGCATCTGTAGCCAGAACAGTCTCTGTCATTTGGGCATCAAACTAGATCTCAAACAGACTATGACCATCAGAATAAGCCAGAATATGTTCTGGAAACAATTCCAAAAGCTCAGGGACTTAAAGCAGGAGACAGCGTTACTCATAATACAAATCCATCCCAGGTCGGTAGAGGAGCTCAGTTCACTTTAGTCACTCAGAGATGCAGGCAGATGGAACAGCCACCACCCCAAATCTTGACAGTCACTGTGCCAGAGGAAAAGAAGCTCTGGACAGTCTTGCACCAGCAGCAAAATACGTCAGCCTGGAAAAGACAAATAGTACTTTCACTTACCACTCAACAAGCTGAACTGTTGCCTGGCCCCATCCAACCATTAGGGGCACAGGAAGTGCAATCCTACCACATGTCTGGGAGGCAGAGAGCTGAAAATATTTGGTAAGGATTGCTAAGGACTGCTATATTCATTTGCGATGTCACTCACACTTTCTTTGCTATCTTCCCCAGTTGTCTTAAAAATCACAAAGCAGTCTGTTTGACTAGATCCGGTGAACTCACTAGAGCAGTAAAAAACCCTTGGGCTGATAGGTTGCCCAGAGTACTAGAAAAGCATTACTGCCCAAAATGAAATGTTGCTCCTTATAGATGTCTTTTTATCCTCTATCCCGGTGTGTGGGGAATGAGTTTTCCATCATTCCTATCTTACAGTCTCCATTCTTGACTTTAATTCTCATATTTTTCCAAAACTTCTTTATCTTCCTTCCTTTCTAAGAAATGATGTTTTGTTCAGATGGGACAAAACATTTATTTATCTCAAAAGCATAATTATATAAATCATAGAATGAGGCAGTGGGGATTGTAGGCTTAAAATTCAGAATAGAATAATTTTTTCATTTTACAGGTAAGAAAACTGAGACCCAGAGAAGAAAAGTTATTTTTCAACATGAGTCGAGCCTCCTCTTTCTCCCCAAACCATGTGTCACTCTACAGAGACCCCAAAAGAGATTTATTTTGCCCAACAATCATAAGAAAAAAACCAAACAGGGGCTAGTACTATGGAACATGGGGAAAGAAGGGAAGATAGAAATTGAGTCAGTGTTTAAGAAAAAAACTGGGAATGCTTTTCTACATTCAACATTTCCCAAGGTCATGTTTTGCAAGGCTGATGATTTACCCTCCCCATTTCTCCCTCTTCATTTTCTTTGTACTCACACACAAAAAGACACGAACTCAACAACAACAAGGATGTGAAACCATTTCATTGGGCATTTGAATACAGCTGGGTCATAAAAGAAAGTGACCACTGACTCATTATTTTTTAACGTGAAAGGAAAAAACAGGGACTCCTGCAACATCAAGCATGTGCTTACTATCGACTTTTCCCCTGTGAATGGTGTTTTCCCTGGGAATGGCATTCTTATTACTATTCATAAAACTAGTGTCAAAATCAAATGATAAATAACACCTCTGGCCTTGGGCACCTACCTCTTCATAAGCACAAATTGCATTATAACCTCTCTTCTAGCTCTTTGATATTTGACAGATATTTAAAGTAAATATCAGTCCTATAGAACATCTGCATAATCTTAAGGATGGTTATAGTCATGTGAATAATAATACTAGATTAGGGACTGCAGGATAAAGTCAGTGTTAACTCCAGGTCATAATTTGAAAGCTAGACCTGTAACCTGCCGCTCTAATTACACTAGTCCTCTGTCCCCTGATTACACATACATGTGTTGTGGCTTTCAATGGAAGGAACAAGGCATTTTAAAGAAGCAACAAAAGTGCTCTTGTCAATTAGAGCAGCTATTAATACTAATTGTGCTTTAGAATTCTCACAACAACGTTAGAGACCCTAATTAATACACCACCGTTCACAGAGATATGATGAAACCTGGGTGTTACTCACACCAGTCTAATAACTAGTCTGGTTGTGATGTGGACTGGCTCAGAGTTAGAATTTTAAGTACCACACAGAAAAGAAATTAGCATTCTTCAGTCTCCTGTTGCAATGGGGGTGAGAGGAGCTGGCCTGAACTACAGAGCTGTAGTGGAAGGCACGTAAAGCCCCTGAAAGGGGAATCTTGCTTTCCAAATCTTTTGATAAATGGAAGGGCTTTCCAAGTGTTGTCAATCTAAATGAACACAGCAGGGAGTGTAGCCTGGGAATGTTCACCCTCATGGTCAAACTCCAAACAGAGAAAGAGAATTGCAAGTTGGCGTCCAAAGACCGACTTCTGCTTCTCATCTAGGAGATAAATCTGAGCACAGAGTTCTAGAAAAGAGGAAGGAATTTGATAGAATTAAGAGCTTCCCTTGAAAGGAGGGAGGGGATTTGCACTTGTAAATAAGGTGCTTATTTTTGACACCTGTTGAGAGAATACACACACACACACACACACACACACACACACACACACACACACAAAATGCTATTCTACTGGGCCATGCTCTGCAGAGTGGCATTGGTCCACCTATGCAGCATTTCATCTCCTGGTAGAGCCCAACTTTTCACACATCTCAGCGGGCCAAGAGACTTTTGCAGATGATAAAACAAACTCCCTTCACTTAACTTAAATTTACATCAAGGTTGTTGCACAACAGATTTGGGCAGAGAGCACTTAAGTTAGGGGTTTTTGCTGATCTACTAGTATTTTTTTAGGTCCTTGCTTGTCTTTGACCTCTAACCACTGCACCATCTTACCATGCAACATTTCCCTGCCCACACCTTACAATCAGGGACTTGTCACAGAAATTCATTATTACGTGCAATCATGCTCTTAACAGGTAAGACCTAACTGATGTCTTCTCTTGGTTGGTGGGCTCAAGGCTTAACAATGTCATCAATCTTCAGGGCCTGGGTGGATGGCAGGATGCTTGGGAAGGGGTCAGTGTCTTGGCCCACGATAAGACTTCATCAGGATGTCTCATCCAACGTGGCAACTTCTCTCAGTGACATGAACCAGTCATTTTACTACTCCGTGTTACTGTTTCCTCAATTCTTAAAAGAAGATACTAATTACTGCCCCCAGTTCCTCATAAGGATGTTACAGAGAGGAAAGAATATGAATCCCTTTGGAGGAAGGAAAGGTGTTATATCAAAATTGGATGTCATTAATTAACTAAAGGAGAGGTTTTTAAAAACGTTGAGGATAGGTGAGAGTGGGAAAGGAAAGAAGGGGACATGTGTGCTCAGAACCCACACACCGCTTCTTCTAACCCACACTTTGCATACCTAAGTAGCCCCCAATCTCCTATGGAAGAAGCTCACATATGGATGTGTGACTGGAGTGTCCATACATTTATTCCAGAGGCTTCTTGTAGAAATAAATACAACCAGGGTGGTATGAGAGGAAAGACAGACCACACTGGGGGCCCAGAAATAGCTTTCCCAATGCAGAAGTCTAAGGCATTCAAGAACTCTAAATTCAAACCTGGCTTTACAGGTTAGGAAGATATATTTGTTAACATAGAAGGATTTCACGTTTTTTAATTTTTTAAAGTAATTTAAACTTTTATTTTAGATTCTGGGTGTATATGTGCAGGTTTGTTACCTGGATGCATTGCGTGATGCTGAGCTTTGGGGTACAATTGATCCCATCTTGCAGGTAGTGAGCATATTACCCAATAGGTAGTTTTTCAACCTTTGCTTTGACTCTCTACCTCTCCCCTCTGCTAGACCCCAGTGTCTATTGCTCCCATCTTCATGTATATGAGTACCCAATGTTTGGCTCCCATTTATAAGTGAGAACATGTGGTATTTGGTTTTCTGTTCCTGTGTTAATTCGCTTAGAATAATGGCCTCCAGCTGTACCCCTATTGCTGCAAATGACAGGATTTCATTCTTTTTATGGCTGCATAGTATTCCATGGGGTATATGCACATTTTCTGCACCTAGTCCACCATTGATGGGCATCTGGGTTGATTCCATGCCTTTTATTTAGCATATTTTACATAATAGTTTGTTAGCTTAATTTATAACTATTTTAGCTATATGGTGAATGGGCCTCCATTTATACTCTTGTCAGGGTCCTGATAATATTAGAAATGGGCCTAGATTCCAGGGTCAATTAAGTCTGGGAAACATGGAGATAAACACAGTTAAATAAAGTATATCGAAGCCTAAAATATGCATCATGCATTATGCATATCTAAGAAGGGATTATGTCATATTGCTCTCACTACAAAGTGCCTTTTTTTTTGCATTTTAACATTTCCAAAATCTGAATGTATATTACAATTGTAGTAGGCCAGAAAACAGCTGTGTCTGAATGTGCATAGAAACTTGCACTGTAGGCGTCAATGGCTTGGACAGAAACCCCAGACACAATAGTGGAGCATGTTTTTAAGAAATATTTTATTACCCAAACCCTTGATGACATACAGGAAGATAACATGTGGGAAAACATAAACATCAATGACTCAGAATCAAAAAATGATGCTCAAGAATTGAACTCACATGAAGTTTAAGGAAACCTAAGCAATTTAACTTGCTTTAATTTTCTTCTTTAAGTATGCACAAGAGTGATTATGATAAAAATCTAAGTCTACACAAAGATTATAAAATTTACAATAAGTATAAAATAAAAATTCCAAGTGCTAAGAAAGAGTTGTTTCTTGGTTTAGTTGGTAGTGGTTTGTCTTTCTTAGTGGAACATAAAATAATGGTATGTCTCACTCATAAGTGGGAGCTAAACAATGGATACACATGGACCCAGAGAGTGGAGTAATAGACACTGGAGAATCCAAAAGATAGGAGGGAAGGTGGAGGGTGAGGGATGAAAAATTATCTGTTGGGTACAATGTACACTATTCCAGTGATGGGTTGATATAGTTTGGTTCTGTGTCCCCACCCAAATCTCACCTCGAATTGTAATAATCCCCATGTGTCAAGGGCAGGACCAGGTGGAGATAATTGAATCATGGGGGCATTTTCCCCCATGCTGTTCTCATGATAGTGAGTTACTTCTCACGAGATCCTATGGTTTTATAATGGGCTTCCCCCTTTGCTTGGCACTTTTCTCTCCTATTGCCATGTAAGGAAGGATGTGTTTGCTTTCCTTTCTGCCATGATTGTAAGTTTCCTGAGGCCTCATCAGCTATGCAGAACTATGAGTCAATTAAACCTTTTTCCTTTATAAAATACCCAGTCTCAAGTTTTTCTTTATAGCAACATGAGAATGGACTAATACAATAAATTGGTACCGGGTAGTGGGGTGCTGCTGTAAAGATACCCGAAAATGTGGAAGCAACCTTGGAACTGGATAACAGGCAGAGGTTGGAACGGTTTGGAGGACTCAGAAGAAGACAGAAAAATGTAGGTAAGTTTGGAACTTCCTAGAGACTTGTTGAATGGCTTTGACCAAAATGCTGATAGTGATATGGACGATGAAGTTCAGACTGAGGTGGTCTCAGATGGAGATGAGGAACTGGAGTAAAGGTGACTCTTGCTATGCTTTAGCAAAAAGACTGGTGGCATTTTGCCTCTGCCCTAGAGATCTATGGAACTTTGAACTTGAGAGAGAGGAGTTAGGGCATCTGGTGGAAGAAATTTCTAAGCAGCAAAGCGTTCAAAAGGAAGCAGAGCATAAAAGTTTGGAAAACTTGCAGCCTGATGAAGCCATAGAAAAGAAAAACCCATTTTCTGGGGAGAAATTCAAGTCAGCTGCAGAAATTTGCATAAGTCACGAGGAGCTGAATGTTAATCACCAAGACAATGGGGAAAATGTCTCCAGGGCATGTCAGAGACCTTTGCGGCAGCCCCTTGCATCACAGGCCCAGAAGCCTAGGAGGAAAAAGTGGTTTCCTGGGCCAGGCCCAGGGCCCCCCTACTCTATGCAGCCTTGGGACATGGTGCCCCGCATCCCAGCTGCTTCAGCTCCAGTCGTGGCTAAAAGGGGACAAGGTACAGCTTGGGCTACTGCTTCAGAGGGTGCAAGCCCCAAGCCTTGGCAGCTTCCACGTGGTGTTGGGCCTGTAGATGCACAGAAATCAAGAACTGAGGTTTGGGAACCAACACCTAGATTTCAGAGGATGTGTGGAAATGCCTGGATATCCAGGCTGCAGGGGCAGAGCCCTCATGAGAACCTCTGCTAGGGCAATGCAGCAGGGAAATGTGGGGTTGGAGCCCCCAGACAGAGTCCCCACTGGGGCACTGCCTAGTGGAACTGTGAGAAAAGGGCTACCATCCTCCAGGCCCCAGAATGGTAGATCCAACAAGAGCTTGCACCATGCACCTGGAAAAGCCAAAAACATTCAACGCCAGCCATGGAAGGCAGCCAGGAGTGGGGCTGTACCCTGCAAAGCCATAGGGGCAGAGCTGCCCAAGGCCATGGGAGCCCACCTCTTGCATCAATGTGACCTGGATGTGAGACATGGAGTCAAAGGAAATCATTTTGGAACTTCAAGTTTTAATGACTGCCTTATTGAATTTTGGACTTGCATGGAGCCTGTAGCCCCTTTGTTTTGGCCAATTCCTCTTATTTAGAACAGGTGTATTTACCCAATGCCTGTGTGCACATTATATCTAGGAGGTGAATAACTTGTTTTTGATTTTACAGGCTCATAGGTGAAAGGGACCTGCCTTGTCTCTGATGAAACTTTGGACTTGGACTTTTGGGTTAATGCTGGAATGAGTTAAGACTTTGGAGGACTGTTGAAAGGGTGTGATTGTGTTTGGAAATGTGAAGATATGAGATTTGGGAGGGGCCAGGAGTGGAATTACATGGTTTGGGCCCCCCCCCACTAGCCCCTGCCCAAATCTCACCTTGCATTGTAATAATCCCCACTTGTCAAAGGCAGGACCAGGTGGAGATAATTGAATCATGGGGGTAGTTTTCCCAATGCTGTTCTCATGATAGGGAGTTAGTTCTCATGAGGTCTGATGCTTTTATGAGTGGCTTTTCCCTTCACTCACCACTTTTCTCTTCTGCCGCAAAGTGAAGAAGGACATGTTTGCTTCCCTTTATGCAAGAATTGTAAGTTTTCTGAGGCCTCCCTAGCTGTGGGGAACTGTGAATCAATTAAGCCTCTTCCCTTTATAAATTATCCAGTCTTGGGTATTTCTTTATAGCAGCATGAGAACGGACTAATATATGGGTACACCAAAAGCCCAGACCTCATTGCTACACAATATATCCATGTAACAAAACTACACCTGTATGCCCTAAACCTATTTTTAAAAATTTAAATTCATTTGTTAAAAAAGAAAAGCAATTACATGTTTTTATTTAATGTCATTTTGCACTTTAAGAAATATAATAGTTTGCAAATTTTCCCAGACATTTTTAAACAGAAAGGCCCTTTTCCTCCAAATCATTACATAAGACTTGTGTTTTCTGGAGCATTTTTTGAGAAAGCTGCATTAAGTTATAGAATACTGAAATGCAGCAGTTGGAAGGAGCTTCAAAGGACCCAAACCCCTCATTTTCAAGGCAGAAAAACTGAGGCACTGAAGGTAAAGTGACTTTCCCAAGTTTACACAGCACATTAATGTCAGATGTAAAGCAAGAACAGATATCCTGACTCCTGACATATTTTTTATCCCTAGATCAGTTGAAGCCTTCCTGGATTATATCAAACTGGTTGTTTCTGACCCAACTAGAATTGGTGAATTAATATTCTACTCATTTTTGTCTTGAAAAATTCAAAACTTGTTTATGACTTGTTTGTTGGCCATCAATTTAAAATGGTTGACAGAGACAGAAAATTCATCCAGAGGTCTATAAACCCACAGATTCAGGAAGTTCATGAACAGACACAGAATGAACATTAAGAAAAGTGCACCAAGCATAGTATAAATTACTGAAAGCCAATGATTAGATAAAAAAAGGCCTCAAAAGCAGCCAGAGAAAATGAACATGATAGGTTAAAAGCCTAGGGAAAATATATCTTAAAACACTAATCAGATGAAAGCTTCAGTGATTTTATTAATATCAGACTAAGTAGAGTTTAGAACATACCAGGAATTTCTAATCATATATTTAGTATTATTACAGATATTATAATAGCTAATGATAAAAAAGTAAGTCACCAAGAAAATCTAACACTCCTAAATGTATATGCCCAATAACAGAACTTCAAAATGTGTGAAGCAGGAAGTGACAGAACTAAAAAGAGAAATAGACAAATTCACAATTGTAGGTGGAGATTCCAACAATCCTCTTTTAGTAATCAATAGCATAAGTAGTGAGAACATCTGTAAAAGTTCACCTGGATGCACAGAAATGCATGCACTCCTTTGTGAAGAAGCATAATTTGATTCTGGGCTCTGCCACTGTAAGAGAGTGACATAAATTCTTGGGGGGCTGCTCAGTATAGGATAAGGTCAAGTGGAATGGACATTACATGTATCTTGGATTGTGATGAAAAGTAAAGGATTTATGTCACTAAATACCTGCTCTTCATTTCTGCCCAAAGCATTTGAGAAGCCAAGAGGAATTTTACAGGGAACTTGCCATTGAAGGACTGAAATAGGTGTGGCCCCCTTCTTAAGGACAACCACCCCATCGGGACTCATAGGGTAAAAATTTCATATTCCCCATTCCTGTGTCCTTTTCTCTGTGGAATGCTAAACTGTGTGCTAGGTAATCCCTGGTGTGGAAGATGCATACAATATGGCCCCCATGAATCCTGCCTCCCTGTATCTATTTCTGTGTATAGTTCCCTCCCACAATGACTGGCATCTTAGTCATGTGACTTCCTCTAGCCAATGAGACTTCAGCAAACATGCCACAGGGAAAAGTTTGAATGGCACATGCAAACTGGGGCTTACTCTCTCTCCTTTGCTGTTTTTGGACTCCAGCCACCATGTAAAAAAGCCCAGGCTAGCATTTTGGAGACAAGTCACCTAGGTGACAGCCAACACCAACCATCAGACATGTGAGTTAGGCCATCTTACTCATCCAGCTCCAATGGAGCAACCAAAAGTGACTCCAGATGGGGCCAGAAGAAGCCTAGCCCAAATTGCTGAACTGTCCAGAATAAAATGGTTCTTCCGAGTTTTGGGGTGATTTACTAGGCAGCAAGGTATAACTTGTAATGTCCCAAGTAGTCAGCCAGCTCTGCACCAACAAAGGCCAGAGCAGCAATCACCCCTCTAATTACTCAAAGAAGAGACAGAAAGTGTCTTATTAAATATTGCCTAGAAATTCAGAGTGAATCTCTTCTGACTAGCCCCTCTCTCAGCGCAGCAAATCAATGTTAACAAAACACATGTGCTGGAATTCCCCTGATGCCCTTCTAGGCAGAAGTTTTTGGTTAGGAAAAGAAAAAGAAACTTAATTTGAAGTTTTAATAACCTCCCAATTAGGTTGTTTCTGTTAGCATTAATATTTAATCATGACACTACTGTGACTATTTTGGAATTGAACTGAAATTAAGTAAAAATGTTTGATCATAAATAATTTCGTTATTAAAGATAATCTTTGTTATATATGTTCCCATGCCTATCTTTTATTAAATTTACTTTTCATGTTGACATTTTTAAGGGGATAATTGTATGTTTTTGTTCCTAGTAATATTGTTACCATATATTAATTATGGCATCATGCCGGGAACACTGGTACTGAAATTCTTTAGTTTTTCTACTTTAAGAGCCAGCAATAGGCTCTCTCCTTCACAACTAACAAATATATGATCAACTTGGAGCTCTAAATTTATCCCCTGAATTATTTTCTCTCTTTCCTAATTTGTTCATAACTACCACTGATCTTGATTCACCGAAAAACCAGGGTACAAGAGTGAAAGGGGTTTTGGTTATCTTTGCCCTTTTTTCAGGAGTATCTTGGAGGCCACACACATCCCCAAAAACAGAAGGATGTGTAGGCAGAATAATGGTCCCCCAGAGATATCCACATCCTAATCCTGAGAACCTACAAATATGTTCCCTTACAAGACAAAAGGGACTTTGCAGATGTGATTAAGGACCTAGATATGGAGAAATTATTCTGGATTATTTGGGTGGGTCCAGTGTAATCATAGGGGTCCTTAAAAGTGGAAGAAGGAAGGCAAGAGGAGAGTCAGAGAAGATATGATACCAAAGCAGGGCTGGACTGACACTACGTGAGAAGGACTCAATCCACTGTTGCTGATTTTGAAGACAGAGGAAGGGGCCATGCATCAAGAAATAGAAAAGGCAAACGAAATAGATTCTCCCTAGAAGCTCCAGAAAGGAATGCATCTTTTGCTGACAACTTCATTTTAGCCCAGTGAGACCAGGGCCAGACTTCTGTCCTACAGAGCTGTAAGATAACAGATTGTGTTGTTTTAATGCACTACATTTGTGGAAATTTGTTACAACAGCTATAGGAAACTGATACAAGTGGCATTCCCTGGGGTACCTTGGTATGAATCCTGGAAATCCCACTTACAGGCTATGTAGCAGAGGACAAGCTGTTTAACCTCTCTAAGCTTCAATTTTCTCATCTGTAACATGAGGATAATAGTGGTTATCTCACAAGATTATTGGGATAATTAAATGAGAAAATTTGCATAAAGCTCTTAGCCCAGTGCCTAGCACATTTTAAGCCTTTGTTAAAGGTCAGTTATTGCTGCCACCATTAAACCCTGTTGTGGCAGACTGGGGAATTGTTCACATTTGCCTGTGTCCTTCCCTGTTACAAGACCCTCACTGGCTGCCCTTTGGCAAGTGACTTCTAGAGTCTTGCTGGAGGTGGTGGGCACTTCTTGTCCCATTGTCAGGCTTGGCCATGGAACTGCTTTGCAATGAACTGTGAGCAGACATGAGCCAGGCCACATCCAAGGAGAAGTTCTGAAGCAAGTACACACTTTGGCCCTGCCTCTTGTTCTTTTCTCTTTATGATAAGAAAGGTATTTCCTAAATTATTAGGTTCCACCTGAGTCCTAGCTAAGAAGACACATGGCACAGAGCTGCTATACAGAGCATGTAAAGTGAGATATAAATGTTTGCTGTTGTAAGTCATTGAGATGTGGAGGTTATTTGTTTTCATGGTAAAGTTAACAAACATACCATTTATGGATACTGTTTAGAGAGTTACCAACTCACACCACATACACACCCTGCTATCTACAAAAACTATACTTTGATCATAGCTATCCTAACATTCATATTGGTATTCTGTGACCTCTGGGTCCCTGACCATGGTTAATTCAACCATACAAGAACCCTTGGTCCTACTTGGGCCACATAGATCCCCTTTCCCAAAAAGTTGGACCTGTGACCAAGAGGCAGCTAGAGACAAGCTCTGCCTATGCCTAGAACTAAAGAATTTGTGGAGAATAGGAAATATTAGGAATTATGGCCTGATCATGTTGGAGTCTGCAGCTGGAGAAGCAGAGAAAGAAGAATAGAGATGTGAGAACAGGAGGAGAGGCTGCCTGAGACCACAGTGGTTTTCCAATTCCTGGACTTGGTCTACCCTGAGGCCCTTGAGATATGCTCCATGAGATATGCTACTCTCCTTTCAGTAGATCCTTCTTACTACTAAAGTAAGCTCAAACAGGTTTCTGTAACCTTAAACTGAAAGCATCTTGGCCAAGATGAGGTTGTTGGTAGGAATACTGCTACCAGGAGTCTAAAGTAAAAATTTCCATTGATGACAATCCCCAAAGCCATGAGCAATCAGTCTGCACATTACAGAGGGCCCAACCTTCCCTTTTCCCTGTCTGCCTGAGCCCCCACCAGATTCCCCATTGGTACAGAGGATATAACTCTCCACTTGCCACCAACTGAGCTCTTCTAGGTGGATGAGTCAGAACACTAGAAGAAGATGGTTTCAGCACAGTTTGTTCACCATCAAACATATGTGTTAGAGTCCTGCTCTGTTCTGGACACCATGTTAGCAGAAGGAATACAAAGAAGAGAGGTAGCAGGGCATGGTGGCTCACGCCTATAATCCCAGTTCTTTGGAAGGCTGAGGCAGACGAATCACCTGAGGTCAGGAGTTCAAGACCAGCCTAGCCAACAAGGTGAAGCCCCATCTCTTTAAAAATATAAAAATTAGCTGGGTGTGGTGGTGCACGCTTATAGTCCCAGCTACTTGGGAGGCTGAGGCAGGAGAATCATTTGAACCTGGGAGGCAGAGGTTGCACTGAGCGGAGACTGCACCACTGCACTCCAGCCTGGGCGACAGAGCAAGACTCTGTCAAAAAAAAAAAAAAGGTGACTCACCCTGCAATTTATATAGCTTAGTAGGGGATAAAAGCCTGAAAAAGAAGTTCAAAAGGAAGGTTGGGGGTAAGAATCTTAGCCCCATCTCTGCCACTAACTGTGAAACTTCAGTAAGCCATTCACCATCTCTGGCCTCCAGCCTTCCCATTTACAAAATAAGGGCCTAGGTTAAAGGATCTTGACAGTGTTTTCCATGATGCCTGGCCCACTGGCACTACAGGTAAGACCCAGTAAACAAAAATGAGCCGCTGGATACAGTTTAAGCCTGGCTTCATTAGAATCATGTGGGGAGCAATCTAAAAAAATAAATGTAGAGTTTTGGAGCCTTAAGCCTCCGAGTTCTGATTCAGTAGCGCTGAGCAGCACCCTGGTTTGTGCTGATTCTGACGCATGCCAAATTTGGGAACCACTATTCTTCACTATTATGAATTACCAGATGGAAATGTCTTGGCCATCCCTTAAGCATATAAGCAATCGACAACATGATAAGCTGATAAACTGCAAATTCATTGTTAATACTTACATAACAGTGTTGGCATGGCATTGCTATGTGCCCAGCACTGTACTGAGCACTTTACATGTATTCATTAATTTAAGCTTCATAACACCCTAGGAGTTGGGTACTTTACTATCCCCAGAATGATTTTAATCCTTTTATTCATCTCTTTCTTCCTTGATCCAACAATGAACTTTGATCAGGTCTTCCCTATAGGAAAGCATAATAATTGGAATAAATAATTAAAATTAAGTAAAACGTAAAAGAAGAAGAAAGCCTAATTTGGAAGCTGGCTGCCTTATGTTCCTGCCTCATACCCACACTTCCTTTGGGACTTTGTGTCTGTATCTCCCACGTCTCTGCTTAAGGGTGAGAAAAGTGGCCAAGACATGGGCTGCACTTTCCAGGGGTGGGAGGATCTAATGCAAGGGAGATTCTAGTCATGAGTTTATTCTGCCACTGATTCAGTTGTCAGAGAGACTTGCATATTAGATGAGGTAGAAGAAATAACCCAATGGGATAATCTTGAAATTTCACCATCGGCTTTGATATCAGATATTTACACCTTGGATAATTAATAATCTGTGAGCATGGTAACATAAGACTCTGAGGATTTTATTGGTTCTGGGGAGAGTTCTGCCTCAAGGAGGAAGAGTAACAAATAACAGTAGTTTAAATAACAAAGCATTCAATTATCTCACAGATTTAAGTTTGGAGCTAAGTATTCCTGAGTTGATTCACCACTACCTCAGGGAATCCACATTCTTTTCATTTTTTCCATTCTTTTATTCCACTATCCTCCATGTGTAGATTTTCAACCTTCAGCTTATTACCTCATGATCACAAGATGGCTGCTATAACCCCAGGTGTTACAACCTAACATTACAACCTCCGAGGCAAGAATAGAATAGGCCCTTTCTTTCTGCGTCTCTCTCTATAACCAGGGCAGGAAAATCCCTCCAGACACATCATTCCCCTTATGCCTCATTGGTCAGAACGGTGTCACATGAATACTGTGATGGGTTGACTTGTGTCTTCCCAAAATTAATATGTTAAAGTCCTAATCCCTACTACCTCAGAGTGTGACTTTATGTGGAGATAGGGTCTTTACAGAGGCAATAAAGTTAAAATGAGGTCATTAGGGCGGGCTGCAATCCAATATGGCGGGTGTCCTTTCTGAAGAGAAAAATTGGACACAGACACGTGGAGAGGGAAAATGATGTGAAGACACAGGGAGATGGCAGCCATCTACAAGCTAAAGAGAGAGGCCTGGAAGAAACCCTTCCCTCACAGACCTCAGAAGGAACCAACCATGCCAACACTTTGCTCTTGAACATCTAACCTCTAGAACTGTGAGACAAGAATGTCCTTTTGTTTAAGGCACCCAGTTTGTGGTACTTTATTTATGTATTCATTTATCTGGAGACAGCGTCTCACTCTTGTCACCCAGGCTGGAATGTAATGGCACAATCTCTCCTCACTGCAACCTCTGCCTCCCAGGTTCAAGCAATTCTCCTGCCTCAGCCTCCGAGAAGCTGGGATTACAGGCACCTGCCACCATGCCCAGCTAATTTTTGTATTTTTAGTAGAGACGGGGTTTCACCATGTCAGCCAGGCTGGTCTTGAACTCCTGATCTCAGGCGTTCCACCCACCTTGGCCTCCCAAAATGCTGAGACTACAGGCATGAGCCACTGCAACCGGCCTGTGGTACTTTGTTACAGCAACTCTAGCAAGCTAATGAAGTCACCCCTACCTAACGTCAAAACATGCCATGAAAGTGAATATATAGTCAGCCTCTATTGTGGGAGGTAAATCTTTAAGCAGAACTACGAGAAAGAGAATGTCTACTGACTGGTTAACCAATGGTGACAGCTCCATCTTTGTTTACAAATCACAAAAATAGAATCTGGCTCAGTCAGAAAAGGAATATATTAGAATAATACAAGGAAGGGTTAGGAATCAATGGGAAGACTAGACAACCAAGCTTAGAAAAATGCAGAAAGCCAGGCAGGACTAGGGGTGTGAGTAGCAGGGATGACATAATCCTCTTATCATGACTCCACCACGGTGATGTATGAGCTCCTAATACATTTTTTGCCCTTAAAATGCTTAGGATTTCAAGCCCCAGGAGAGAAGGGACCCACCTTTTGACCACAGGAGAAGAGCGAATAATGACATGATTTAAATCCAACGAAGACTGCACCAAACTGGAGACAGACAATTCTCCAAAAGGAAATTAAGAAATTATTTCTTAAAGGATTCAGAATAAAAGCTGGGAGGCCAAAGAAATTACATGTCCACTTTACGTGTGGAAGACAGGCAACGGGTGCAGAAATTAGAGACAAGCAGGGTTTCCTTACAAGTACTGTAGGTTGTCCCACCTCCTAGGGATGAGTCCTCAGAGCCAAGCTCCAAGTCATGGTTAAACTACCCACACTTTTTACTCCAAAACTCCCAATCCCTGAGCATGATAATTAATTAACCAGTACCCTTCAGGGATTATTTTCTGATCTCTTCTAGTTCCTCCCTCTCCACTTCAGATCTTAAGCCCTCAAAGGATTAAATTAAAAAGCAAACACAAAAGCAATGGTTTAAATTCATCAGAATCACCCAATTTCTCCAGACTCAGTACCTTTTTCCATGCAAATGACAAAGAAAAAAATCACTTGTCTGTGTCAACGAGGTACCAAAACATTTAGTCAATTAGATCCAGTTGGGAAACAGCCTGTCACCCTGGTCGAGGGAGGAGAGAATCTGCCAAATTCGTTGTTTGACTGAATTGAAGGGCTGTCTTGTTCAAAATAAGTCTTTTTTATTAAATGTTGACAGATCATAGTACATCAAAAAGAAAATCTACAAAAGCCACTTTTCATCTATGTAAACAGTAAAATCAAGGTGGCATATTGGAAATCTCTAAATAACACTTTGCCTACATAAAAGGGTGTAATTCTTTAGGTCAGAATAAATTAGGAAAGAAAACCTCCTTTTCAAGTAGAAAAGGATTGAGAGTCTAAATTATCCCAGACGGTGTGTCACCAATATCAGTATGATTTCTCACCACCTCCACCATTTCACACTCCTTACATAGTGACAGCCCCATGTACTGAGTGAGCACCATACTAAGTGTTCTCCATTTAATGTTTTATTCAATCTGATCAACAACTCCATAGGGTAAAGACTGCTATTCCCATTGTAAAAGAGGAAACTGTGGCTTATGTGGTCTACACAGACCTGAACATATACCTGACTTCAAAACCCTGGGTTTTAACCCCTTGCTGGCGGTTCCCTTCTAAGAGTACTTAACTCTTCATTCCTGCCACATTATTGGCATCTTTCTCCTTGGGCTGACTCAAAAACCCTAGACCATTCTCTAATTGTTTGGGCTCAAAGAGTACCCCTTTTCATCAGCCTAACAGCCCCTGCCTCAAAATTCCTTGACCCAGGCCAGGCGTGGTGGCTTACACCTGTAATCCCAGCACTTTGGGAGGCTGAAGCGAGCAGATCACCTGAGGTCAGGAGTTTGAGACCAGCCTGGCCAACATGGCAAAACCCCGTCTCTACTAAAAATAGAAAAATTAAGCCGGGTGCAGTGGCTCATGCCTGTAATCCCAGCATTTTGGGAGGTCACAGCAGGCAGATCACCTGAGATCAGTAGTTCAAAAGCAGCCTGGCCAACTTTGTAAAACCCTGTCTCTACTAAAAATATTTTTAAAATTAGCTGGGCATGGTGGTGGTCACCTGTAATCCCAGCTACTAGGGAAGCTGAGGCAGGAGAATCACTTGAGCCCAGTAGACAGAGGTTGTAGTGAGCCGATATCACACCACTTGTACTCCAGCCTGGGTGACACAGCGAGACTCCATCTCAAAACAAAACAAAACAAAACAAAAATTAGCCGAGCGTGATGGCGCATGCCTGGAATCCCGGCTACTTGGGAGGCTGAGGCAGGAGAATCGCTTGAACCCAGGAGGTGGAGGTTGCAGTAAGCCGAGATCACAGCACTGCACTCCAGCCTGGGAAACAGAGCGAGACTCTGTCAAAATATAAAATAAAATTAAAATAAAATAAAATAATATAATAAAATAAGATATAAAATAAATAAAATAAAATAAAATAAAATAAAAATTCCTTGACCCAGTATAGCCTTGCTTTTCTTTTTTAGGCTCAAGCCCGCAGAGTCCAATAAGGTCTGCCCGCCCCTTTCTAACATTCTAATTGCCACATGCAATGTGGGTTCCAGCTTCTGCTGCACAGTCTGAGTGCTTATAAAGGAGAACTTTCACATAATAGTGTCTGACCCAGGGTGTCCAATACTGCCTTGTTTTATTTAGCTCAGGCATTGGGGGCTCTTTCTATGGGCAAGATGGTAAGATTTTCATTGAATTGTCATTGACTTTTGTCTTATATTTATGACCATGTCTTCAACTTCTCCTTTAATTTAGAAAACAAGACCTGTGAAATACACCACAGCCAGCTCCTCAATGGACTATCTCCTGCCACTTCTTATGATTTCTTGCCTTTTAGTCATCACAACCTCAATTTCTTCTTTGTGCAGTGTGTCCAAACCCCAAAGGTGATCACAGAACATGAAGCAATGGTTTCTAATTAACCCTTTTCTTTAGGCATAAGGGCTCAGGGTATACATAGAACTCTTTATGGCATGTGGACTTTTTATTGTTTGCCTTAGGATTATAACAGAAATTAATAAAAAAAATAAACTTCCCACAATCAATTCTAGTAAGACATAAAATTATTTTGAACAACTGCTTCAATGCATGAATCTGTTTTGTTTTGTTTCGTTTTTTAATTATAGACCCCTATTTTTCAACACTTACCTCTTGGACAAGTGTTATGTTGATCCAAGTGCTAAACTCTTGGATCAGACTCAGAAGGAAAAGGAGTCATGGGATAAATGAGGTTTGGAGAAGTGGAGTTCTCCTGAAAAAGAAAGAGAGAAAGAAGGAGAAGGAGAAGAAGAGGAACAGGAAGGGGAAGAAAAGAAGAAGAAGAAGACGAAGAGGAAGAAGGAGGAGGAGGAGGAAGAAGAAAGGGGAAGGGGAGGGGGAGGGGGAGGAAGAGGAAGGAGTAGGAGGAAGAGAAGGAAGGAAAGACGAGAGAGTGAGAAAGAAAGAAGGAAGGGAGGAAGGAAGGAGAAAGAAAGAAAAGAAAGAAAGAGAAAGAAAGAAAGAAAGAAAGAAAGAAAGAAAGAAAGAAAGAGAAAGAAAGAAAGAGAAGAAAGAAAGAGAAAGAAAGAAAGAAAGAGAAGAAAGAAAGAGAAAGAAAGAAAGGAAGAAAGAAAGAAAGAAAGAAAGAAAGAAAGAAAGAAAGAAAGAAAGAAAGAAAGAGAAGAAGAGACCTTTGCAAGAGAGGCCAACCTTCTTTTCTTCTTTTCTTTAATCCTACCCATCTCCACTCTTAAAACTTAAAATAATATTTCGTATTTTCTGAAATACTTTTTTTCTCTGAATTTATATTAACATTCCAAGACAAGGAACAAATAGAGGTATAAAACATGCTCACCGAATCATCTGTCCCGAATGCATCCCCAGGGCGCTCCCCACAGCATTGCTGTTAGGTTTGTGTCATGTTAGCAAAGGTTGAGAGTTTAGTCTCTAGAAAGAGATACATTAATAGCCCACAATTTCTTGAATCTAACCAATATTTCTTCCACTTTTCTCCCTACCCCAAGATTTTATTAAATAGATGATTCACTTTATGATCCTTGGAAATTTAAAGAAACAATCAATCCTCTTGACTCCCAATTTGGGGGAATTTTATTAATCTATTATGCAATATTTAATTTATATTGCATGTATTATATTGTATGCAAACAATGAGGCATACAACAAAATGAAAACCTGTGAGCCCAATACCCAATATTTTCCACTATTGTAACTACCTGAGAGATTCTTCCCTATCCCAGTTCCCTGCCACCTCTAATGGCAAGATTTTTCATTTTTTTTTTTTTTTCAGTTTTTACATGTGTGTCTTCCTAAACATATTGCTTAATTTTGCTTGTCTTTGAACTTTCTAAAAATGGCATCATACCATATGATGTCTCAAATGACCTGCTCTTGTCATTCAATCTTATGTTTAATCATGGAATACTGTGCAGCCATAAAAGAACAAAATCATGTCCTCTGCAACAACATGGATGCAGCTGGAAGTCCTAATTCTATGCAAATGAATACTGGAACAGAAAACCAAATACCACATGTTCTCACTTATGAGTGGGAGCTAACCATTGGGTACACATGGACATAAAGATGGAAACAATAGACACCAGGGACTACTAGACGGGGAGACAATGAGGGAGGAAAGGGCTGGAAAACTACCTAGTGTGTGCTATGCTCAGTACTTGGGTGATGGGACCATTCATACCCCAAACTTCAGTGTGACACAATATACACATGTAACAAACCTGCACATGAAACTCCCTAAATCAAAACAAAAGTTGAAATTAGAAGAAGCAAAACCAAAATAGAATTTCGAGGAACAATCTTATGTTTCTAAGATTCACTCATGGTTGGTCTATGCAAATGTGATTCATTTATTTTACTTGCTGCATAATATTCCATTGTGTGACTACACCCCAATTCATTTAACTATTCTTGTATGATGGATATCTGGATTGTTTGCAGTTTTAGTTGCTCTAAATATTCTTTTATGTCTCCCAGTGAATACATCTAACAATATCTCTAAGGCACATACCAAGGAGTGGAATACTAAATAGTAGAATATGCAAATGTGCAATTCTACAAGATAGTGCCAAATTGTTTTCCAAAGTAGTTACAACAATTTACATCCCCATCATCCTCTGTGGCAACCTTTGTTTCAATCTTGTAAAAATTGAGAACAGCACTAAAAGAATAAAACAGAGGATGAACGTGGTTTGATGTAAGTCAGGAAAGAGTGCAAAGGAAGATTGCACATAGAGGTGCTGCCTACACCAGGAAAGCTAGGCTAGAATCCTTTTCCCACCTGGGTCTTTAATCACCACTGACCTGGCACAGCCCATAGCCACAGGCAACTGATAAAAAATCCACCATGGCTGCCTGGTCCTCAGGGTTCCTCCTACCCTCGGCTTTTTACCTGCTCCCTTGGCAGAGTCTCACAGTATCTGTCGTTGGCTTTGTCCCTACATACAGTCAGTCAACAAGCACTTCTTGAGCGCCTGTCATATACCAGATACTGAAGGTATAGCAGAGATATGACAGGCAAGGCACTTACCCTTACATTCCATTAGATGGAAACACATAAGAGACAAGTAAACAAAAAGGTGAGTCCAGATTGAGCCTGTTGTTATGTACTTGATTTATTTCCTGATAACAGGTGAAGAGTTTGGGAAAAGCATTCCAGCCAGAGAGCAAGCACAAAAGCCCTCAAGCTGGATGGGACTGGTATGCCCAAGAGTCAAAAAGGAAGCCATGGGTCAAAGTGTTCTGGAAAAGGAGAGTGGCAAAAAAGGAAACTGGAAAAGCAGACAAAGGCCAGATGGTGCAGGGGGCTTTGTAGGCCAGGATGGTGACTAAGTAGCATGGGGTTGTCTGGGGAGAGGCAGAGAGATCCAAGTTCGATCCATCCACAGGACACAGAAGAAGAACTTGGCCGGGAGGGACAGGTAAAAGGGAGAAATGGAGAGGAGCATCTTCAACTGAAATACTCTTTTCCTGCTTAACACCTTTAAAAAATATTTTTTATTTTATTTTATTTTATTTTATTTTAGAATTAGGGGTACACGTACATGTTTGTTACATGAGTAGATTGCATACTGGTGGGGTTTGGGCTTCTAGTGTACCCATCCCCCAAACATTGAACATTGTTCCCTATGGGTAATCTTTCAACCCTCACTCCCCTCCCTCCATCCCTTTTGGAGACCTTAATGTCCAATATCAATATCCAAATATTCCCATCTTTATGTCCATGTGTACCCATTGTTTGGCTCCCATTTATAAGTGAGAATATGTGGTATTCGTTCACTTAGGATAATGGCCTCCAGCTCATCCATTTTGCTGCAAAGGCCATGATTTCATTGTTTTTTTATGACTGTATAGTACTGTATATATACCACAATTACTTTATCCAGTCAACTGTTGTGTCTTTTTTTTTTTTTTTTTTTTTGAGATGGAGTCTCACTCTGTCACCCAGGCTGTAGTGCAATGGCACGATCTCTGCTCACTGCAACCTCTGCCTCCCAAGTTCAAGTGATTCTCCTGCCTCCGCCTCCTGAGTAGCCATGATTACATGCTCCCTCCACCACGGCCAGCTAATTTTTGTATTTTTAGTAGAGATGGGATTTCACCAGGTTGGCCAGGCTGGTCTCGAACTCCTGACCTCAGGTGATCTACCCACCTTGGCCTGTCAAAGTGCTGGGATTACAGGCGTGAGCCACCATGCACGGCCATCTTTTTTAAAATAATAATTTATTTTCCTTTGGGTTGACATCCAGTAGTGGGATTGCTGCATTGAATGATAATTCTATTTTTAGTTCTTTGAGAACCTGCTTACTGCCTTTGAGCAATTGGTTAATGCTCAAGATCCACGTAATTCAGATTTTGCATTTCCCTGGGACACTGTTTCCAGGATGGCTGAGGAAAGAGAAAAGAAATAACAAAAAGAAAAGATGACTTCTTTCTCTTTCCACCTCGAAGTTTGGACCATCTCTCAACTATTGCCAAATGAAGCTGTGGCTTTAAGGGCAGAGCCTGGACATGGGAATCATGGCCCCAAACCTGCTTGGTAAAAATGTGACATATGGGCAGTTGTTTACCCTGAGCCTCAGGTTCTTAAGATGTAAAACTGACGGTGGGAGAGAATTGAGCACCTATTGCACATCGGGCATTGAACATACTTCGTCTCTTTAATCCTGAGAATAATGCTATTTTATGGATGAGAAAGCTGAAGCTGAGAGTTGTTGGGACCACGATGCTGAGATTCCAACCAAGGTTCAAGAAGGCTTTACAGAGCACTGCCTCAGGGATATTGCGAGCAGTGAGTAAATAAATGTGTGTGAAAATGTTCATCAAGCAGAGTGTTCTTTGCAAACGTAAGGTATAATTACTTTTTCTGCAAAACTCATTTTGAGTTGCTCCCCCACATACTTTCTACCCAATGAGCTACTTGTTTTTTCCCAAAAGCTTCGTGCACTTTAATGAATACCTCTGTTCATATATTTCCTTTTGCTCAAATACCCTTCCCCCTCTCATCTACCAGGTAATCTTATATTTAGCTCTCAAAAGACTTGCTCAGAAATTACTTCCTCTCAAATCTTTCCTACTTTTGTCATGCAAGCAAGACTGATCACCACTTTTTCCAGATTCTGATGGTACCTAAGATATGGACTGTACATGTAGCATTAGCTATTGCCCCACAATAATGCATTAACCATACACCCTAAAACCCTATGACTTCAAACATTAATGATTTTTTTCCTGCTCACAATCTAAGGGTTGGCTGGGAGTTGGCTGATCTAGGCTGGGCTCAGCTCCAAACCACACATTGGTCCAGTCTTCCTCATGAAAGTACTACTTGGAATTGCACCATAGAAGTGTGCTCTTTCTCCAGTGGAAAGAGTTGTAGAGTCCAGGGGCAAAGGATTTAGAGCCAGGAATAGGTGAAGAGTGAAGGTCAATAACTCCATCTGTCACAAATACGTTTTAAAATGCTCTTATATGGGCTGGGTGTGGTGGTTCATGCCTGTAATCCCCGCACTTTGGGAGCCCAAGGTGGGTGGATCACGAGGTCAAGAGATTGAGACTATCCTGGCCAACATGGTGAAATCCTGTCTCTACTAAAAATACAAAAATTAGCTGGGCATTGTGGCCCACTCCTGTAGTCCCAGCTACTCAGGAGGCTGAGGCAGGAGAATAGCTTGAACCTGGGAGGCAAAGGTTGCAGTGATCCAAGATCGTGCCACTGCATTTCAGCCTGGTGACAGAGCAGGAATCCATAAAAAAAAAAAAAAAAAAAAAGTTCTTATATGGATGTGGTGAAGAGGGAACACTTTTACACTGCTGGTGGGAATATAAACTAATGCAACCACTATGGAAAACAGTGTGGAGATACCTTAAAGAACTAAAAGTAGAACAACAATTCAATCCAGCAATCTCACTACTGGTTATCTACCCAAAGGAAAAGAACTCATTTTATGAAAAAGACGCATGCACACGCTTTTGTAGCAGCACAATTCATAATTGCAAAGATATGGAACCAACCCAAGTGCCCATCAACTAATGAGTGGATAAAGAAAATGTGGAATATATACACCATGGAATACTACTCAGCCATAAAAAGGATGAAGTAATGTCTTTTGCAGCAACTTGGATGGAGCTGGAGGCCATTATTCTAAGTGAAGTAACTCAGAAATGGAAAGCCAAATATGATATGTTCTCATAAGTGGGAGCTAAGCTATGAGAATGCAAAGGCATAAGAATGATATAATAAACTTTGGGGACTCAGCAGGGAAGGGGCAGATGAGGAACAAAAGACTACATACTGAGAGGCCAGGCGCAGTGGCTCACGCCTGTAATCCCAGAACTTTGGGAGGCCGAGGCGGGCGGATCACCTGAGGTCAGGAGTTCATGACCAGCCTGACCAACATGGAGAAACCCCATCTCTACTAAAATACAAAATTAGCTGGGTGTGGTGGCACATGCCTGTAATCCCAGCTACTCGAGAGGCTGAGGCAGGAGAATCACTTGAACCCGGGAGGCAGAGATTGTGGTGAGCCGAGATCGTGCCATTGCACTCCAGCCTGGGCAACAAGAGCGAAACTCCATCTAAAAAAAAAAAACCATCAAAAGACTACATATTGAGTACAGAGTACACTGCTTAGGTGACAGGTGTACAAAAATCTCAGAAATCACCACTAAAGAACTTATACATGTAACCAAAAACCACCTTTTCCCCAAAAATCATTGAAATAAAAAAGAAGGAAGGGAGACTAACTAAAAGAAATATGAAAGTCCTCTCAACTAATTAAAAAAACGAAATGTTCGTATAACCACTTACTCACCAGTTGAGTACCTATTGTGTGCCAGGCACTCTTCTAGGTGCTGTGAACACAGTCAGAAGCAAAAAACAGAGAAGGTGCCTGTGTCTTCATGGAGGTGACATTCTCATGGGAGGACACAGACAAACGGGCAAGCAGGATAATTTCAAATAGTGGCCGGTACTATAAAGAAAATAAAACCTGGACATCTGAAAGAGTAACAAGAGCAACAGCAGGAGCAAAGGGGAGTTTGGATGGTGTATTGGGGTTCTCTAGAGGGATAGAACTAATAGGATAGAGGTATATATAAAGAGGAGTTTATTAAGGAGTATTAACTCACACGATCACAAGGTCCCACAATAGGCTGTCTGCAAGCTGAGGAGCATGGAAGCCAGTACGAGTCCCAAGGCTGAAGAACATGGAACCTGATCTTTGGGGCAGGAAGCATCCAGCACAGGAGAAAGATGTAGGCTGGGGGGCTAAGCAAGTCTAGTCTTCATGTTCTTCTGCCTGCTTTTTATTCTAGCCACTCTGGCAGCAGATTAGATTGTGCCCACCTGCATAAAGGGTGGTCTGCCTTTCCCAGTCCACTGACTCAAAAGTTAATCTCCTTTGGCAATACCCTCACAGACACACCCAGGAACAATATTTTGCACACTTCAATCCAACCAAGGTGACACTCAGTATTAACCATCACACATGGGGTGATAGGGAATGGCCTTTCTGGAAAAAATGACTTTTGAACAGAAATATGAGTAATGCAACAGAGCTGGTCCCATCAATCATGGGGAGATCTGGGAAAGAGCATTGCAGGTGGAGGGACATCTCCTGGGTCTGAGAAACAGAAAGCACCAGTGCAGTGAGGATACACAACCAGTATCAAAATCACCTGGAAGGCTTCTTAAGACACAGATGGCTGTGCCTCACCCCCAGAGCTTTTTATTTGATGGATCTAGTTCGGGCCCAATAATTTGCCTCTCTAACAAGTTCTTGGGTGATGTTGATGGCACAGGGACTCTATGTTTTCAACTGGTGTGCTTGTATGATCAAGAGAGTGTGGCACAAGATAAGACCTTTGAGGCTGTGATGAAGAATGTTAATGTTATGCTGTGTACAAGGGAAGTCACTGGAGGACATCAAGCAGGGGATTGATATGACTTGATATAGAGATTGGGTGTTTTTTTCTAGCTTCATTGAGGTATGATTGACAAATTAAAAGTGCATGTATTTAGGTTTAGTAGAGCTTCTGGAGCCAGGGGGCTAACAAGGGTGCAAAAATGGAAGAAAGAAGTTAAGATATTTATGATACCAAACCATCAGTTTTCCAGGGTTCCTACTTGGGGCAATGGGACATACAGAGCTGCCACTGGCGAAGATGAGAATGATGGTGGAGAAGAAAGATTGGTAAGGGAGTGATGTCGATTTTGAACTCAATTTGAGGTCCCATTCAAGACCACTGTGTTACACACCTCTGGAGGTACCATGCACACTACATATAGTGTGAAAGGCAGCCTGGCAGCACAGAAGAGTAACATGACAATGTGAATAGCACCACCTAGAATTGTGCAACATAGCCCAAATATTCTTCCTCTTCTAAGCTTACATGTTAGTGAAAGAGGCAGGCCATGGGTAGGCAAGATATTTTTGAATGGTGTTTTGTGCCATAAAGAAAATAAACTCTCAATTCTGCAGATCTGGATAACTCATGATGCTGCTAGCAGTCACTGACTATATGGACGGGGCATTCGCATATTCACTCCTAGGACCTACTCGGTTAAAGAAAGCACATGGAGAACCATTACTTGCAGGTAAAATATTAGGTGGGTGCAGAAGTAATTGTGGTTTTTACCTTTACTTTTAATGCCATTACTTTTAAAAACCACAATTACTTTTGCACCAACCTAATAATAGTAACTAACATTTACTGGCATCTATGATGTGCCAAGCATAATAAGTCCACATATTAGTTCAAAGAACAATCCTGAGACATGTATTCTCATTTTACAAATGGGAAAACTGAGGCACAGAGTGTTTCAGTAACTTGCCAGAGGACACATTGCTAGGAAGGGGCAAAGATGGGATTCAAGACAAAGGTTAACTGCAGAGCTGGCTGTTGTACACGTTTAACGACATGGCTCTTGGTTACTTGCAGGCAGAGTCTGTCTGAAGAAGGTCCATGTCACCCTTGTCCCCTGGCCAGGCTCTGGTATTGCCAAAAAGAAAAATCCCACCTCGCCAAGGCCTACGTTCTTTGCCAAATACATCGCTAAAACTGTCACAGTATCCGTAGCATTAAGAAAACCCCATGCCTGAATCTATGTGCCAGACCTTTTACACAGAGAAAATATGGACATTTTCTTTTAATAACGCTACAGGGAAATAATGAAATGGTAGCATTACAAAAACGTAATTAGGTCTTCAATAAAAAAAAATCTCCACTGGAGTCCTATAAAAAGACCACAGGTGTTCATCATTATTTTTTATTTAGCAGACAGTTTTAGCCATTGTTTGTTTTTTCCTCTATTTATTAAGTTCTGGTATTTTAAGATGATTTGTGTATAATAATAACAATAATTTCCTGTTTGCCTGTCAGTTGTGAGCCGCTTTAATTACAGATATTCATTTTCAGAAGTTAACTAGGTAAACACACTCATTTGTTATGTTCCCTGTTCATTAAATCAGTTAGCACAGCTAGTAACTATATTAAGTATTTTGCTGTCGGGTTTCAGCAATGTATCTTCATGGATTTCCAATGCTATTTCTCACAGAGACAGACGCAGACTTCCTGACAGTCCCTTCCCATTGGTTTAAAGATGCCAAGTCTTCCATCTCTGCAAGGCCAGGTGCATTACACCCGATGGAGGCATCCACTTAAGACCCTGCATATCACAGTCCAAATCATTAATTCAGACTAAAGTGCAGTGCTTGATAGCCAGAAGCAAGATATGGGATAAAGGAAGAGGGACATCTTGGCAAGGAAGGATTCGAGTAGACATGCTTGGAGCATACCTGTCACAACCATGTCTTTGGACAGCCCTCTGCACCCACTCTGCAGAAGGAGAGGGCCTCAGTCACCATGGGGGGTACCAGATAACCCTGATCCCTGACAGCAGCTAATTATTCCAGGGTTGGACATCAGAGGTCATCAGTTGTCTAACTGAAGCATTTGAAGGATAGAAACCAAGTTGGAGATGTAAAATTCAGAGAGAATCAGGGCTGAGTCTCTGAGCCATAGCAGTCCCAAACCACACACAAGCTACTGTTATGGGAAGGCATGAAGAGATTAATGACGCAGAGACTCCTCAACAACAGGAGAGCATGCAACCAGGAAAGAAAAAGTAGAGCAAAAGAGCATTGCCTGAAGATGTTGCACCTCCCAAGAAGCCCAACTAACTGTTTCTTTGAGACTTTCATGCATCTTTACAATAAACCAGTCACTTAGCTAATTTAGTAGGTCTCTATTAGTTACAACCAAGCATGCTCTGAGCAATACATTTTTAATCATGGTGACTGAGATGATGGTGGGTCCACTAAAAGTGTCACATCTGGTAAATTCCAACTTTTCTAGAAAGCAGCTATGGGTACTGGAACTTGGTCATCTGTCATCAGTCACCTGAGAATTAGATGTTTCATTCAACGTTTTCCTTTAATAGGGACTATGACTATTGTTGACAAGCCAAATTAGGACTAAGGGAAATAAGAGATTCTAAGTTGTCAATAGCTAAGTCACAAGGTTCCAGAGGAAATGACTCATCTGTAGTGTGAGTCATGACAGAGGAATTTGTGTCAAAGGGGCATATTCCCAGTCAGAATGGTGATTATTAAAGAGTCCGGAAACAACGGATGCTGGCAAGGTTGCAGAGAAAAAAGAACGCTTTTACACAGTTGGTGGGAGTATAAATTAGTTCAACTATTGTGGAAGAGAGTGTGGCAGTTCATCAAAAATCTAGAGGCAGAAATACCACTCAATCCAGCAATTCCATTACTGGGTAGATACCCGAAGGTATATAAATCATTCTATTATAAAGATACATGCACGTATATGTTCATTACAGCACAATTCACAATAGTGAAAACATGGAATCAACCCAAATGCCCATCAATGATAGACTAGATAAAGAAAATTTGGTACATATATGCCATGAAGTACTATGTGGCCATAAAAAAGAATGAGATCGTGTCCTTTGCAGGGACATGGATGCAGCTGGAAACCATTATCCCCAGCGAACACAGGAACAGAAAACCAAACACTGCATGTTTTCACTTAGAAGTGGGAGCTGAACAATGAGAACACATGGACTTAGGGAGGGGAACAACACACACTGGGGCCTGTGGGGGGTGAGGTTAGTGGGAACGAGAGCATCAGGAAGAATAGCTAATGCATGCGGGACTTAATACCTAGGTGATGGGTTGATCTATGCAGCAAACCACCATGGCACATGTTTACCTATGTGACAAGCACGCACGTCCTGCACATATACCCCAGAACTTAAAATAAAAGTTAAAGGAAAAAAAGCAGAATGGATATTCAAAGCAGAACAAAAGTTCAATGAGTTGCCCCATGTCAATTATTTATAACTACTCTGCCTCACCTCTTTTGGAGCCTTGCTAAGCTCTCCTAAAGAGAAAGATCCATTGGTTGTAGCTAGATGAGCAACAATGAGAAACAATGAGACAAACATCTGGCATAAGCACGGAGTGATTAGGGAAGATGATATTTAGTCTTGTTGAGCCTAAGCCAGGTCATCTAGGTGGAGGCCTCAGACAGGGAGGGGCACCATTAGCTCATCAGAAGGTGCAAGCCAGCATATTTAATAAATCCAAACCAATCTGGTAAGGATTTTCCAAAAGCCTCCAAAACTAGTCCCACACTATTTTCTCCATGATACCTGGCTTTGCTCTACATTCCCTTCCTTTACAGTTTCAAGTCCTTTATGCTTGGCTCTCCCATCTTTTGAAGGCTTCACCATCTTTTGACTTCTCCTGTAGGAATTGTCTCCAGACTCTCTCTCCTTCTAGCCCTCATAGATCCCTAGGTCAATGCTGGAAATACATGATGGAATTCAGGAGGCAGTTTAGTCTCATGTCACACCCAAAGGTATAGACAGAACACCACTGACACCACGGAATCATGGAGGTGCTGGGTCAGCAGAGAAGGAATTTTGGCAGCAAGGCCCCCAGAAGAGGTGGATGATGATAGCACCTAGAATGTATGTGAAGAGTTATAGACTTCAAAGAGAAGGAAACTTGAAAGGAAGGAGAAACGTTGAAGTAAAACAGAAGGGTGATGAGATATCTCCCTTTAGAGATCTCTGTAAAGTAGAAGCGTGCTGTGAGTACAGGGCTCAGAAATAGAATTACAGGCATGAACAGAAGACTAATTATCTGAAGAACGTAATGTCTGTATACTTATAAGACTTGCTTTCTTGGCTGGGCGCGGTGACTCATGCCTGTAATCCCAGCCCTTTGAGAGGCCAAGGCGGGCAGATCACGAGGTCAAGAGATCGAGACCATCCTGGCTAACATGATGAAACCCCATCTCTACTAAAAATTACCAAAAAATTAGCTGGGCGTGGTGGCGGGCGCCTGTAATCCCAGCTACTTGGGAGGCTGAGGCAGGAGAATGGCGTGAACCTGGGAGGCAGGGCTTGCAGTGAGCTGAGATCGCACCACTGCACTCCAGCCTAGGCGACAGAGTCAGACTCCATCTCAAAAAAAAAAAAAAAAGACAAAAGACTTGCTTTCTTGAACAAATAGGATCATTTGTTCAAGAGCTATGCTGGAGCTCTGTAGGTTTTTGCCAACACTGCATCCATTCTCCCTCCCCTGGTAACAGCACCTAATTTTGATTTGCAAATCCCAATGTATACAATCTTATTGTGACTGTCAATCAGAGAGTCCCACCCTCCCCTTCCCAAGGAGTGTGCACATGACCCAAGCTAGACCAATCAAAGGTCTAATTTGAATTTTTAATACAGTAACACCAAGACTGAAAAACTCTTGGTGCTGATTTCTTCTGATGGTGGCACCAGAAGGGACCTACTCTCCAGAACCAAGGAGGAATTCTGGTGACAGTTTTTTCAGAGATCTTATTCTCCAACTCTTCCTTGAATTTTGTGAACCAATCCATATCCTTCCAAGAACATCCTTTTTGGCTTATGGTGATCAGACCCAAGTTCTGTTGCTTATAACTTAGAAATCCCAACCAAGGCATAAGTAGTATTACCCAGTGTTAACTAAAAAGTAAGACATGATGGGAAGAATTAAGAATCCCAGAATAGGGGGCCAGGCTCACGCCTGTAATCCCAGCAGTTTGGGAGGCCAAGGTGGGCAGATCACTTGAGGTCAGAAGTTCAAGAGAAGCCTGGTCAACATGGTGAAACCCCGTCTCTACTAAAAATACAAAAATTAGCCAGACATGGTGGGTGTGTGCCTGTATTCCCAGCTACTCTGAGGCTGAGGGAGGAGAATTGCTTAAACCCAGGAGGCAGAGGTTGCAGTGAGCCAAGATCATGCCACTTCACTCCAGCCTGGATGACAGATTCTGTCTCAAAAAAAAAAAGGAATTCCAGAATGGGGATTCCACTTCCAGCATTGCCGCTGCCACTAAAACACTGGACAAGTTTGAGCAAATCCCTCAAGCTCACAAAGCTTCATTTCACACAGCTGTAGAAGAAAAGATTGAATAAGAAGCTGCAAAAGTCCTTTTCCATCTTCATAGAAATATTTTTTCCCCTATCTCTTATTTTAAAGAGTCTCTAGTCTCCATTCTCTGCCATCCACTATCAAAGGACTTTAAGCATAGCAAAGAAAAGAAACACATCATATCCCCTTCTAATAGACATGGGACTTGGAATTCATTCATAAAGAGAATTCCAAATCTCATGTATGAGCCCATTTTGTTAAGCAATAGACGTTTAATATGATTTCATTTTTTTTTCATTCTTTCATTTGGCATTTGCTAAGAAATTCTTCCACGTGTTTTACATTCTCTATGAGGCGAAAAAGGAAGTCAGGACCCAATCTCTGTCCTCAAGAAGCTTGAAATTTAGTTGAGGAGGTACATGAAATCCTTAGACAATATTTCCAGATCTGAAATCACATACCCAGCCCCTAGCAAGTGCCAAGTATATATAGTAGGTGCTTAATAATTGTTGGTTGAATGAGGTATAATACATGTGTGCATACTGCTATGTAGTTTATAATAATAATTCAAAATGATGAGAAGATTATTTATTTTGCAACTACTGTGCACTTCTACTACATGATAGTTTGACATGAGCTTCAATTTTTAAAATGTTTTTCGAGATAGATCAATTGAAGGGTGAGTGTTTGCATTTCAAAAAAGAATATTCCTACCTGAAAAAAAAATGTATTTAAAGAGTCTAACAGATTTACAATAGATTTTTCTTTGTGTGGAAGTTTAAGAACATCGCTATGAGTAAATGAGGGTAAACCTGAACTTAATATGTCAAGAGATAACTTCATCCAAAAACTTCTGCCTGTCCCTTAGATGCCAGTGTAATAGCACTTGACATACAGCAGTACTAAGCAGATGAAGCTGTTAAAGCCGCAGGCCACTCACCAGGCCTGTCAACACGTGGAGGTCTCAGTAACACAGGGGACTTTTGATTCAGGAGGCAAAGTTCACCCCGAGGATCACAGTGCATTAGGGAGGAACGAAAGCCTTCTGGTATGGCCAAGTGGACGAGACCAGGGAAAACCTGAACAGAAAATGCAATAAAATTAAAATGCAATGGGAGGGAACTGTGGTGGCAGCAAGCATAACCTTCTTGGTGTCTTTAGCAGTGTTAATGGATCCACTTATGGCACAGATGGTGGTTTTCAGAAAAGTCATTTTTTCTCTAACAAATTCATGACTAAACTAAAAAGACCACTATCAACTTCATTATGCTTTCCAATTGACTTGCTTTAAGGGTTATTCTTTTATTATAGCTCTTAAGCTCCCGTTTCTTTTTTAAAGTACTTCTTTTAGTACCAATTTTCACAGCACTAAGAAATTTAACACTCTTCAGTGGTTATATTAATGGCAAGGAACTGTTGCAGGCTGAAGAGTAGCATGAAAGACACTGGTATTGGTCATTTGTTATCTCGTCTACCACAAGTTACGGACCCGGATCCCAGGGGGTGACACTGAGGACAGTGGTGATGAGAGAAAGCTGGTGACATACCTCCTTTCTACAACATAAGAGTTTATGACACACAGCATATTCCATATTGCTCTCTTCAAACACAATCCTACTTCAAGCCTCTCCTATCCAAGTGTGCCCAGTTAGCTCTTTCAAGTGACCAGAAGATCTAATTAATTGCACAAACAAATCCGTAAGTATTTTACAAACATCGTCGCAAGTAACTGTAAACACAGAGATAAAACAGTTTGTGTAACATGGGGTAAGCCAGAGTCCTGAGCCAACAAAACAATTATATTTTTTCAAAGTGAAATTGACTTGGAGGAAGATCAGATTTCATAGGAATAAAGAAATTACCTATTGTAATATTACTTATAAAAGCAAAATTGAAATAAATTTCCCAGCAATGGGCAAACAATTAACCATATCTGCTCAGCTATTAAAGAGAAGTTTTGGAGGGAGCACAGTGGCTCACGCCTGTAATCCCAGCACTTTGGGAGGCTGAGGTGGGTGGATCGCTTGAGGTCAGAAGTTTAAGACCAGCCTGGCCAACATGGTGAAAACCTGTCTCTATCAAAAATACAAAAATTAGCTGGGCATAGTGGCACATGCCTGTAGTCCCAGCTACTTGGGAGGCTGAGGCAAGAGAATCACTTGAACTCAGGAGGCAGAGTTTGCAGACAGCCGAGATCGCACCACTGCACTCCAGTCTGGGCAACAGAGTAAGACTGTGTCTCAAAAAAAAAAAAAAAGAAGAAGAAGATTGGGAAGAATATGCACAACTATGGAGAATCATTCTAATGTTAAGAGAAAATCCAAGACATAAAATACCTTAAAACCGGATAATACAATTATATATGACACTTGATACACAGGGAAAGTCTTAGCAGAAATATGTGAAGATGCTGATAGTTGTCTATGGGGGCAAGATTACACACATGTGTTTCTAAACTCCCATTTTTCTATTTTCCAATCTTATTTCAATGTGTTTATCTATTTAAACTCACAATGAAGAAATTTTAATATTTTATCTCACGTGAAGAAAAGATAGTAATCATTCACACAGACATTTTGGTGGCAAAAAAACTTGTTTTTAGGGATTTGGATTCTGTGTGAAGACCCCTATGCTATGGCTTTTGAACTACTTTGATAACCTTCCATTGAAAAATCACATTTTGCATCAAAGCTAGTTAGAGGAAAGGGCACATGCTCCAACTCTTCCATTTAACGGATGGAAGAACTGAGGTTCAGAAGTCCCTTTCCTGAGACCTAGGGAGATGCCTCTTCCCTCAGCTCCCTCACCTCTCAACCAGATCATTCCTTTCAAGGCAAATCCTCACCCACAGCAGAAATCTAAGACTCAAAGAAAAGAAAAGAAAATTTAGACCCCACTTAAATCAGGCATAATCAAATTGTTTCACTCTATTTTGCCATTATGTTCCAAATCAGTCTCAAACTCTGCTGCTGTGTTAGCTTTAAGGTGACAATTCCTCCTCCCAACAAAATTTGTTTTTGGATTTTACTTATTTTGTAGAGATGGGGTCTTGCTATGTTGTCCAGGCTTATCTCAAACACTGGCTTCAGGCAATCCTCCCATCTCGGCCTTTCAAAGTGCTAGGATTACAGGCATGAACCACTGTGCCTGGCCCTAATTCTTAATTTATAAGAGGAACACTGTGGCCTCGCCCTTTTGTTTTGAGGCCCACTCTGGTTATGGGGTGCTATGTGATGGTGTGTGCAAGTGACTACAGTTGTGAGCTCTTGTCTCCTTATTTGGCTAAGAAAACTCTGGAATCTGCCTTTGCCCTGCTTCACCGTGACATAGGCAGTGCACGGTCCAGATGATCCGTCCATGTGGAGAGGCACAGAGAAGGCTGCATTATCTAGGAAACAGGACCTTGATTGGAACACTCAAAAAAAAAAAGTGGTTTGTTTAATCCTCTCCTGGAGGGAAGGTGGGAAATAACGTATTGGAATATCTGAGGAAAATTAAAGTGCTTTTCAATGAAAGGTTGACTTTTTTGAGAAAGTTTTCTCCCTTCCCTTCGTCGGAGACATTTCTCCTCTTTGGAAATGGAGAGCAATTATTTTTTATTCAACCTGTCTTTAATTTTTATCTCATGTGAAGAAAGAACAGTGATCATTCACAAAGAGGTTTTAATGACAGCAAAAATGGTCTCATGATTGATCATTTCATATCACGCATTCCACCTGGAGCTCTTGCAGGCCACCAGCCTGGGAGCGCCTCTCCCTGCACAAGCTGGGGGCAGGCCTCACGGGCTTTGTGTAGGGGGGCCAGTCTTTGAACAAAAAAAAGAAAACAGGAACAAAGGGCCACAATTAGAGGCACTTTTAGAGATGGGAGAAATAAAGACTCAGACTGTGAAATATTTGAGCACTTCTGAATGTACTTTAAACTTTTAAACTCTCCCATCATTTCTCAAAACCTGATTTTTAATGAGGAACACTGCAGACAGAGAGAGAGAGATACAAAAAAAAAAAAACTGAATGAACAATCAGGAGAGTCCTTAAAAATCAGGGACATTTGAAAGAAGTGACATCTATCTGTAATTCAAACTTTGAGTTAAAACAATGTTGAACTATAAGAAAACTGTTCTTTGTCTTAATGTACAAAGTTTCTCTCTAAGTTATCCTTAATACTATATTTCTCTCTCTCTTTTTTTTTTTTTTTTTTTTTTTTTGAGATGGAATTTTGCTCTTGTTGCCCAGGCTGGAGTGCAGTGGTGCAATCTCGGCTCACTGCAACCTCCGCTTCTCGGGTTCAAGTGATTCTCCTGCTTCAGCCTCCTGAATAGCTGGGATTACAGGCACCCGCCACGATGCCTGGCTACTTTTTGTATTTTTAGTGGAGATGAGGTTTCACCATGTTGGCCAGGCTGGTCTCGAACTCCTGACCTCAGGTGATCCGCCCACCTCAGCCTCCCAAAGTGCTGGGATTACAGTCGTGAGCCACCGCACCTGGCCTTTATCTCATTTCAATTCTGATTTCCCGACACAGTCTTCTCTGCAGCAGAGTCTTAGGTAGAATGGGACATCACATATCCCTGTGGAAAATGTTACTTTCTTTCCATGGACTTTCAAGCTTCAAGATTGCTGACTGACACTCCTACTCTGAGCCTCCCAATAAAATGCCCACAAAAGTCCTAGGGTATCTACAACACTGTAAACCAAAGATTGAAAAAATAAATAAAAAGACCTAAAGACAGGGAGAATCGATTCTCGCTCTATCATTGAGACTGATGTAGAAACACATATATACTCTAACCAAAAGGAAAGGGTTAGCTCAAATAAGGTAAGAGATGTTTTAACTCCCTTTCACTACCTATGGCCCAACTATAAGACGCAAGGGTTGAACTGATAGAAAAACAGCCATTTTGCCATCTCTGACATTCCTAAGTAGAGCCCCAAGCTTCTCTCCATCAGCTTTTCTTCCCATCCATTCAGAATATCAGAATCCAGTATGCAACATGGCATGGAGGAACACAGAAAGGGCGGACCAGAGGTGTTTTTTGTATTGTTTTGTTTTGTTTTGTTGAGACGGAGTCTCCCTCTGTCACCAAGGCTGGAGTGCAATGGCATGATCTTGGCTCACTGCAACCTCTGCCTCCCAGATTCAAGTGATTCTCCTGCCTCAGCCTCCCAAGTAGCTGGGATTACAGGTGTGTGCCACCACGCCCGGATGATTTTTGTATTTTTAGTAGAGACGGGGTTTCACCATGTTGGTCAGGCTGGTCTCGAACTCCTGACCTCGTGATCCGCCCGCCTCGGCCTGAACAGGGGTGTTTTTGTAGCTGAAGCTACACTGTCTTTGCAGGAATAGAATAAGAAACAAGAATAGAAAACAAAAAGTGCTGGGAGCCATGGAAGGTATTGGAGAGAGAGTAGTTTTCATTTCATACGCTACTCAAAATACGGGGAGAAATCTGTAGCTCAATTTTAAATCGGGTTGCAACACGATCTGTAAAAGAGACAAAAATAATATATAGCAGCCCAGTGGCCAATATGCAACTGATTTGCTTTCATTAAAACAAAGGCACATAATTTACATGCAAACACACACACATGCACACACATACACATACACATACACATACACTCCTGTTCCAGCAATATCTTTCTCATCATCAGGGCCTGAGAAAAGTCTTAGCTATGAAAAGCAGGAGAGATGCAGTAGGATTCTTTAAAAATACAGAAGCCCAGAGAAACAGCAAAAGCATCACTCAGAGCTGAGTGTTTAGAAATGGTTTGAAACGTTCTTCTAATCTGAAATAATAAAAATCAAATCCTGGACAGTGTCAGAGGATTTTAGTACTTAACTTTAAATAGCTGTTTAGTACCTCACTTTGGCTACCTCAACAAGTTTCCCAAAAGTGACAAGTGGTGTTAGCCATTATCATTTGGCTTCACTTCCTTGTCTTAAGACAGGAATGTGATAATGACATTTCTTGAAACACTACAATAAAGAGAAGACATTAAAATAACTCAGATGGTCTGCCTGAAACATTCTCTAAGGCCAAAAAGAAGTCACATGCATTTATTATACGGCAGAAGTGGCAAATATGAGAGGGACTGGGGAAGGATCCTGTTAAATGAACTCTTTCGCTTCTACTGTGTTAACATTTCCCTACATGACCCAAACGAACTCTCAGGCTTGGAGAAAGAAGTTCTTCCTCAAATCTGATTTTGTAATTAGATATCTAAAGAAAGGCAAGCTAGTGTACATCCCTAGATATTGGAGCATCTCAAATGCCTGATATTTCTGATTTTGTGCTTTTAAAATGTTAAAGTATAAAAGTCCTTAGGAGAATCATTGCCTCCAAGGAAGAGTACCATTTAAGGAACCCCAGTCAACTTATTCTTTGGGGACTTTTACATAAGAACTGTTTTGGTCATACAAGTTCTAGAATAGCCATTGTTAGGAGTACTGCACATTTTCCAGAACTAAACTGCTTCTAGGAATATCAAGGCACAAACTGGGCATTTTACTGAGACAGCTTCTCTTCCCACTCTCCAGAAAATTTCTCTACAAGAAAAGTCCTGATGCTGAACAAAAATTCATCTAACTACATTCAACCAAATTTTATGGAGTCCTGAGCAGGAATTCAAGGGAAAGAATTATAGAATTTCCAGAGACACAATATGGAAATCCTGTTTCATAGCAGTTCCATAAAACAGTTCAAGAGAAAAACCAAGCATGATCTTTGAGGATCTAATTAATAATCTTAATAATAACCTTAGGTATCAAGTATCTCTTGTGAGTGGCACCAGGGAGCCACCCCATCCAACATTCTTGTCCCTACAGATGCTCTACAGCACTGGACACAGTTGACCACTCCCACTATGCTAATATAGCCTTCTCTCGGCTCCAGTGACATTGCAGTCTGCTGATTCCCTCCACCCCAATGGCCACTATGTCTCGATATTTTCCTCCAGGCCATCTCTAAATGTTGGCACAACACACAAACTTGAAGGTCAAGGGCTTTCTCTTCTCCATCTACAAGCTCTCCATAGCTGATTTATATATGTTTTAGTCTCATGGCTTTAAACATTCTATATACAGAGAAGTTCTGGGCTCTCACCTGAGCTACCAACTCTGGGTCCAAGTGCCTATTTGGCATTGACACAGGTGCTGTCCCTCTCCCTATCTTGCCACACCACCAGCTGCCAGCACCTACATCTCTTTATCTAAGGGCTTTCTCTGACTGCTAGTGGCTGCTCCAGCTGCACACATAGCAGGCAGGAGGTGGTGCCAGGAAATTCATTTTCCCTCAATCTATGAACAGCCTTCAATCTATGGCTGCTTGAAGAAACAGCTTCTCAACATCACTGATTATTAGAGAAACGTAAATCAAAACCACAATGAAATACCATCTCATGCCAGTCAGTATGGCTATTATTAAAAAGTCAAAAAAACAACAGATGCTGGTGAGGTTGTGGAGAGAAAGGAGCGCTTTTACACTGTTGGTGGGAGTGTAAATTAGTTCAACCATTGTGGAAGACAGTGTGGTGATTCCTCAAACCTAGAGGCAGAAATACCATTTGACCCAGCAATCCCATTACTGGGTATGTACCCAAAGGAATATAAATCATTCTATTATAAAGATACAGGCAACATATATTCCTTGTAGCACTATCTACAATAGCAAAGACATGGAATCAACCTAAATGCCCATTAATGATAGATTGGATAAAGAAAATGTGGTACATATACACCATGGAAGACTATGCAGCCATAAAGAGGAATGAGATCATGTGCTTTTCAGGGACATTGATGGAGTTGGAAGCCATTATCCTCAGCAAACTAACTCAGGAACAGAAAACCAAACACCACATGTTCACATTTATAAGTGGGAGCTGAACAGTGAGAACACATGGTCATGGGGAGGAGAACAACACACGCTGGGGCCTGGGTTGGGGGAGAGCATCAGAAGGAATAGCTAAGGGATGCTGGGCTTAATACCTAGGTGATGGGATAACCTGTGCAGCAAACCATCATGGCACACATTTACCTGTGTAACAAACCTGCACACCCTGCACATGTACCCTTGAACTTAAAATAAGAGTTGAAGTTAAAAAAAAAAAAAAAAAGAAGCTCAGCTTCCTCGACACTCAGGTGGAATAGCCCTGAGGTGCATGTTCTACACCGACTCGCAGGGTTTCCCCATGGGGTTAAGCTCCAGTTGCCCTTAGAGGTAACTTGCTTGATCATGTACCCTGGATTTGTTGCCTTCCTTCCTTCCTCACCTTCCCCTCCCTCCCTCACCTTCCCCTCCCTCCCTCACCTTCCCCCTCCCATACCAGTGTTTCCTGGAACCACCTTCTAAACAATCTAACTGCACTTAAATCTTCATCTCAGTATCTTCTGCGGGAAACTCAAACTAAAACCGCATCGCTACCCACATATAAACCCCTCCCCACCTGCTCCTCTCCTAGTTTCTCAAACAAAAATCTAGGAGCTATCCTTGATGTCTTAGCTCAAGCTACTCTAACAAAAATACTGTAGATGAGGTGGTTTAAACAATAGAATTCTATTTTTCCCAGTTCTGGGGGCTGGAAGTCCAAGATTAAAATGCTGGCCAATCTGGTTCCTGGTCAGGGCCCCCTTTCTGGTTTGCAGACGGCCACTTCTCATTGTATCTTCACACAATGGAGGCAGAAAGCTCTAGTATCTTTCTCTTCTCATAAAGACACTAATCCCATCCTGGGAGTTCCACCCTCATGAGCCTGTCTAAGCCTAGTCACCTCCCAAAGGCCCGACCTTCTACTACCATCCCACTAGGGGTTACAGTTCCATATGCATTTGGGGGGAACATAAACATGAAGTCAATAACGCTTGCTGTTTCTCTTTCCATCCATTTCCATATCCAAGTCCTGGCTCTTAGTTTGACTGTAAAATGCACCCCATGTTCTTCCACTTTTCTTCTCTAGTCCTATTGTCCAATGACTTTTGTTTGAACTACAGCAACAGCTTCCCATCTGGCCTCCCTGCCTCTATTCTTGCCTCCCTACTCAGATTATGTTCTCCACAAAACATCCAGAGTGATCTCATAAAACCTTAAGTCAGATCAACTCACTTCCTTGCTTTAAATATTGCAATGGCTTCCCACGATACATTGGGTATGATCTAAACCCATGCTCAAATGTCCCCCAACCCAGGCCCCAGTGTATGTTGTTCCCCGCCCTGCAGTGTGTCCACGTGTTCTCATCACCCAGCTCCCACTTATAAGTGAGAACATGAAGTGTTTGGTTGTCTGTCCCTGAGTTAGATTGCTGAGGATAATGGTTTCCAACTCCATCCATGTCCCTGGAAATGACATGATCTCATTCCCTTTTATGGCTGCATAGTCTTCCATGGTGTATATGTACCACATTTTCTTTTTCCAGCCTATCATTGATCTAAATGCATAGCTTCACAATCTAGCCCCTGCCTCCCTCTGCAACTCATTTCGTGCCACTCTCCTCTTGCTCACTCCACTCCAAACCTCCTTGGAGCTCTCCTTCAGGGATGCAAAGCTCAGACCTGACCTAGGATCTGGGGCTGGTTTCCCTCTGCCCAAGATGATCTGCCCACAAGTATTTTCATGGCAGATCCTTTGCCATTCATGTCTCTGCTCAGATGTTCCCTCTTCACAGAGACGTACCCAGATATGCAGTCTCAGAAGTCATACCCATCCCTCTCTATTACACACTTTGCTTCTCCACCCTCATCACCACCTGAAATCCTTATTTCTTTACTTGCTCTTGTCTGTCTTCCTATGCCAGAACATCAGCTTTTGTCTGCCTTAGGCACCACTGTAACCTCAGCCTCTGGAACTGTGCCAGACACACAGCAGATGCTCAGAAATACTTCTTGAGTGACTGCACGCTACATGTGAAGCACCACGCTAGGTGCTTTACAGCTACAAGGAAAGCATTGCTATCAACATTTTCCACTCTGACCTTCAATTTTTCAATCTATAAAGTGGCTTGCCAAAGATCACTCAGCTAATTAGTGGGGATAACGGCCTACTCGTGGATGCTGAGAGTTAGGAATGAGGGCTCATTGCTAATTGTTTCAGTTAAAACAGCTAAAGTCATGAACAGCTGCCACATCCCAAAAACTCACATAATTAGGTCACACATTTGGCCTAAATTCCCTACCTTCCTACATCCATTTTCAAAGATACTAAACTTGAGGACACCAGTACCTTTGGTATATAAAAAGGCATCTAGAACAGAATTGTGAATGGAAGCATTCTAATTTAAATCCTAAAAATGCAAATATATTGTCTCTATGCTAAAGAGGCAAACTTAATCAGAGATTTTGAAAATTAGATTTCACAGACATAAAAGTTACCAAATGACAGCAGGGTCTTATGATAGTGTTTTATCAGAATTCACACTTCAGAACCTCTCTTGGTGAGTGAGACTATTTTTAGCATCCTTTTGATAGGTTGGGCTTGCTGGATGATCAAGGCCCAGTAGGAGGAGTGTGTGTGTGTGTGTGTGTGTGTGTGTGTGTGTGTGTGTGTGTGCGCGCGCGCGCGCGCATGTGTGTGTATTATATATATATAATTCTTTATTACTTTTAGCATGCTTTACTATGATAAAGTGCATGTTTTTCAAACCGTCAAAGGACTTTCAGAATTTAGAAACCCAGGCACAGTCCTCATAAAGCTTTTGTATGGTTTCTTACCTAATAAGGTAAGGGAATTAGTTGAACTAAAAATTGTTTGGCTATTTAATCACAGTTGGTTACAGAAGATTCAATTCTGATTACAAACATACTTCTTGGCCAACCCAGTGTTCTATGAGACTGTTTGCAGATGAGAAAGACTATCTCAAAAGAAGCAACCTCAAAACTGAGCTGGGTGCTGGGCACGGTGGCTCACGCCTGTAATCCCAGCACTTTGGGAGGCCGAGGCAGGCGGATCACGAGGTCAGGAGATCTAGACCATCCTGGCTAACACAGTGAAACCCTGTCTCTACTAAAAATACAAAAAAAAAAATTAGCCAGGCCTGGTGGCGGGCCCCTGTAGTCCCAGCTACTTGGGAGGCTGAGGCAGGAGAATGGCGTGAACCCGGGAGGCAGAGCTTGCACTGAGCCGAGATGGCACCACTGCACTCCAGCCTGGGCGACAGAGCAACACTCTGTCTCAAAAAAAAGAAAAAAAAAAAAACCTGAGGGGGAAAAAAACCTTTACTTTTAATAAATTCATTGCACTGATTTGTACATCTCTTACTTAGTAGGCATTCTATCAATAGAAGTTAGAAGAGAAAAATGAGAAAAGACTGTCTCTATAACTATGAGGTATATTTGAGTTAAAAGCCGGAAACCAAATCAGATATCTGGACACTACGGACATTCATTCCCAAGATAACTGCACCTTTTGTTCATTGTAATCCAGATGCCAGCCCTTGAATGGTGGGAAAGGAATCAGTCGATAATACTCCCACCTCCCATCCTTTGTGTGGACATTCCTGGGAGGTGTTCTATTTGCTTCTCAGGAATCCTGGTAAATTTGAACCTTCACTGCCCGAGCAACAACCTCAATTACACACCCTTGTGTCTACTTTTCCTCCTTTACTGCTGCCTTCTTCCTGTTTCCTCACTCCAACCTCCTAGGGGCACTTTCCTCCAAGTTTTTGTCTCAGGTTTTCAGGGTAATCTAATTAAGACACTATTCACTGGAATTTGTATACATGAATTAAAGTGATCACCTCTTCTGTTTTATATAGTACCTTACTCCTTTCAATTTCCAAAGAAATTTCACATACTTCTTCATTCAGATCTCTTAGAAATGTCCAGGCTTGTTAATGGAGACAAGGTTATCTTTCTCATTTGGACAGTTGAGGAAGTTGAGATGCAGAGGTGAAAAGAGGCTTGTCCAAGATTTCAGGGGTTGTACATGGTATGGCTGGGACATCATCACCAACTTGGGGCTCACAGCAAGTTCTTAGCCCTATCCAATGCACTTTTACTTATCTCAACTGCCCCCTTCATTGTCTGCCTGGCACCCTTCTTTCGCTTGTCCTACAAGAGTTAGTTCCAGCCTCATTGAGTCCAGGGAGACTGCCTTGAGTATTTGTTTTTTTGATGGGATTTCACTCTTGTCGCCCAGGCTGGAATGCAATGGCACTATCTCAGCTCACTGCAACCTCCACCTCCTGGGCCTTGAGCTCTTTTAGAGGGAAAGACCAGGTCTTGCTGGTTGTATTAGGATTCTCTGAGAAATAGAAGATAGATAGATGGATGAATGGATAGATAGATAGATAGATAGATAGATAGATAGATAGATAGATAAAATGAGATTTATCAGTGGATTTCAAAAGGTTTGTGAAGATGGAATTAAACAATAAAATAAAAATTATGAACTTTATTTGTGAACATAACCTCCATCAAGGTCAAGACACTTTTGCAAGCAATGATGCCCACCATTTAGTTCATCCCTAAAGAATCGAGGGTCCTGGCAATTGAATTATGTCAGTAGTCTTTTTTACGTTATTAACTGATGAAAAAATGGGTGCTCTTAAAGAATTTTTTAAGATTTGGGGGGAAAACAAAGTCAGAAGAAGCCAAATTAAGACTGTGAGGTGGATGCTTAATGATTTTCTATTGAAATCCTCCCAAAATTGCCCTTGTTTCATGAAAAGAATGAGCAGCATTGTCACGGTGGAGAAGGATTCTCTGGTGAAGCTCTCCCAGTCATTTTTCTGCTAAAACTTTGGCTAACTTTTTCAAAACACTGTCATAATAAGCAGATGTCATCGTTATTTAGCCCTCCAGAAAGTCAACAAGCAAAATGCCTTGAGCATCCCAAAAAGCTGTTGCCATGACCCTTGCTTTTGACTAGTCCACTTTTGCTTCAACTAGAACACTTCCACCTCTTGGTAGCCATTGCTTTCATTGTGTTTCGTCTTCAGGATTGTACTGGTAAAGTCATGCTTTCTTTCCTGCTACAATTCTTCAAAAAAATGTTTCAGGATCTTGATCCTATTTTTTTAAAATTTCCACTGAAAGCCCTGCTTTTATATGCAGCTGATCTGGGTCCAGTGGTTTTGGCACTCGTTGAGTAGAATTTGCTCAACTTCAGTTTTCAGTCAGAATTATGTAAGTTGAACCAGTTGAAATGTCTATGTTTTTGGCTATAGTTTCTGCTGTTAATAATTGATCCTCTTTAATTAGGGCACAAACAAGATTAATTTATTCCTCAAAAATTGATGCAAATAGTCTGCTGCTCAGGCTTCATCTTTAACATTGGCTCATTCTTTCTTAAAACAAGTTATTCATTTGTAAACTGCTGATTTATTTGGGGCATTGTCCTTATATACTTTTCATAAAGCATCAATGATTTTAACATTCTTCCATTCCAACTTCACCATAAACTTAATGCTTCTTCTTGCTTCAATTTTATCAGAATTCATATTGCTCTGATAGTCTCTTTTCAATGATGTCTTCTCCTTCTTAGTGCCTCAAACTAGATCCTGTTCAGAAATGTTATAACAAGTTAGCACGTTTATTTTCATGCAAAAACATTTTAAATCCATGCATTGTTTTTTCATAATATGCATTTTCTGTGAACTTTTTGAAGACCCTTTGTATTATAATGAATTGGCTTATACAATTATGGAGGATGAGAAACCCCAAGATCTGCAATTAGCAAGCTGAAGACTTAGGAGAATCAATGTATAGTTCTAGTCCAAATCTGAATGCCTCACTCTTTGAGGCATTCTTACTCTGCCTTATTACCTGTTTACCTGTCTGACCCCCCATCAGTCTGTGAGCCCCTTCAGAAATCTCAGACATCACCACTAAAGAACTTATCCATGTAACCAAAACCCTAAACTATTGAAATAAAAAAAGAAAAAACTATTGAAATTAAAAGAAAATGATTGAAATAAAATTATCCCAAAACTATTGAAATAAAAGGAAAAAAAAAATCACGTTCGTCATCTCTGTCTCCCCTGTGCCTAGGACAGCATCACACGCTATTAAGCTGGTACTTAATAGCATTTCCTGAATGAATGAAAGAGAACTTTACATTCCTAAGAATACTATGACACTAGGCATAGGAAAAACTAGCTGGATGAAAACTCTGGAATGAGATCACAGAAGAATCAAATCCACAAAGAAACAAATGTGGAGCCCATGCTTTTACTAAGCAGTTATTGGTTATCTTAACCCAACAACTGTAGTTATATATAATAAATATTAATTATGTCACAATTGATGATAAACAATGTATGCCTGGTAGTTTTTGCCCTATAATGATGGTTTTTTCACAGAAAGAGCAGATAATCATGAACAAGTTCTATAGCCTTTGTGTACCTTGGGTTTCTCATTAATAATAGTAATAATAATAACAATAATAATAGCTTCATATATCAAGCACTGACTTTGTGCCAGAGCTGCCGCATTAATTCTCATCCACGAGACTGGTGCCCTGTAGAGTTGCAGTTCACAATCAACATGGTTTTACCTGATGGTCCTACATTGTACTAAGCACTTCATATGTAGTATCTCATTTAATCACTCTTAACAACTCTGAAAAATATAGAATTACAGGTTCCATATTACAAATAAGGAAGCAAGTCTAGGGAGGTCAGGTGTTTTATTCAATATCACACAGCCATAGGCTATGAAATCAGGATTTGCACCTGTGGAATCTAGCTCTGGCTTCCAGTATTAACCTCGGGCAATACTTTGTAGTATTACTGCAAAGTTATAATAAACTCCTAGAAAAGAAACATTTTACAAAGAGTAAAGTCAATAAATATATCTTTTAAAATTATTTTTATCATGACTTTTCCTTGATGGCCAACCTGTGATGGTCAAAACCTGAGAGGTTTTATAAATAACCTGGGAAAATTTCTAAGGCATCTTTACAAATGCATATTTTATAACCTGAACATGAACTATACATAAGGGAGAAATAGAATAAATCCCAGCCATTATTGATGTTCATTATCAATAATAATAAATATAGAATGATTCTGAGCAAAGAGGAGACAGAGCTAGAATCTGTTGAATGGGGAGTCACAAAATTTCCTTCCTTGGAAAAAGTTCTGGAGAATGTACTGAAAAAATCCTCAAAGGCATCAATTCAGCAGCAGCCCAACTATGGTCGAGTGATAAATTTCCAGGGTTTCAAGCTAGAAACAACCAATTCCCCCCAACTCCAAGTTTAACTTGAGTTGTCCAAGAGACCCTTTTCCCTAGAACACTGTTTTTCAGCCATCAGTATGAACTGTGAGTACATAATGTACATTTTATCATTCTATATAGATTTTTGTAAAAATGGAAGGAGGAAGGGGGTAATGTAGATTTTGAGTATTCTTCTAAGCCCCACAGAGAATCTGTCCAAAGATGCATGTGGAAAGTTGGTTTCATTAGCTCAAAGAGAAAAAAAAATTAAAAATACAGTGACACTTAAAAAGCTACATTTTTCAGAAAATGGACGATTCCATGAGTTTTTCAGATAACTGATGCTTACCCCATTAAGTACCAAAATGCCTTTTTATTTTAATCTGCTTGGTTAACTCTTTCAAATACATTTTCTAATTTCCTGTCTTTGTAATCAAAATACATAAGATATATTTAGATAGTGCATGTAGGTCTTGGGACCTTCATTATGAATCTCAGTTATCATATCTGAAAACATATCATCAATCTTACTATGATTCTCCCAAAACCATTTCTCCCTTGGGAAATGGAAGGGTCTTGAATAGGTGCACTTTCTACATGGTTCTGTCTGCCTTGAAGATGTTTTCTTACCCTTTCTTCTGTCCAACAGCTACCTCTTACGACTGCCCTTTCTGTGCCCTGCTAACTCTAATCTGTCACCATACTTGAGATCAGGGATGGGCAATTACAGTCTGCCGGCCAAATCCAGCCTGCTGCTTATTTTGTAAATAAAGTTTTATTGGAACACAACCATGTGCATTTCTTTCCATATTGCCAATGGCTGCTTTCACTCTACAACAGGCCAAGTTGAGTAGTTGCAACCAAGGCCACATGGCCCTGCAAAGCCTACAATATTTACTAACTGCTCTTTACAGGAAAAGTTTGCCAGCTCCTATTTTAGATTCATGGATAAGTCAGAGTCTTTTAGAAAAATCTCCTCCTCTCTTTCTGGAAAAAAGAAGATGCTTGGCAACAACTGTGTTCTTAGCAACTGAAAGGCTGTTTTTCACTTCCATCCATCTATGTTTCCAAATGTGTCCTGGGAGGTTGAAGAGGCTACAAGACTAACCTTCAAAGAAGGGAGCATTTCCCAGACTTTTAAAAGTTATCAAATTCCATTATATTTGATGCTAGATTCCAATGCCTCAAAAACAATATTTATGTGTTCCTGTAATAGGGCTATCTCTATCACCTTAAACCAGGTGTCATTTGGAGAAGATCTGATGCCTTCAAGTAATTGAGCACACAGCTAGTCCCAACCCTCAAAGACCAGCTAGAGTCACTGGCTTAATAATAGAAAAATGAGATGCAAAAAAAGAAATAGGAAATCACTCAATTTTTTAAAAAAGTTTTTAAGGAACAGCAACTGAATCAAACCTGTCCCTGAGATTTACAGAGGAGAAATCAACCAAAGACATTGTTTAAAAATGAACATGGCATTTTAACCCAAAGCAGATTTCCAGCTAGAGGGATTACAGCATATGGTATTTCACACACAAAAGGTAATTAAGAACTGCCTTGGAAAAGAGCATTTGTAGCCACCTCATCAGTGACCTAGCAGGCTGGTTTGTATCAGTTACTATTCATTACTGTCAGTAAGAACAAAACAGGGTATGATTAATGCAGTCCGGTGCAATGAATTCCAACAGAAGATGATGCCTTAAAAAAAAATGAAGTTCAGAAAAAAAGACCATCGTTTATGAAGGCTAGGGATTCTATTTGCATTTTATACCTACAGTATTGTTATAATTATTATTATTACTAACAAAGTAATGAGCATTTAAACACTGCCTAATACTAGTCTATATGCTATATGTGTATTAGCTCATTGACTTCTCAAAAATTTCTGTGAAGTAGATATTAACATTATTCCTAATCAACAGGTAAGGAAACAGCTTCAAAAGGGCAGGTAACCTGCCCAGTGCAAGGGTCTGAATTCACAACCAAGCCTGAGTGACTCCCAAGGCCACACTCTGAATCTTAGTTCTATGACATCCTATCACCCATTTTACTTGGGCTTAGAAATTTGCAGCTAGACATTCAAGACACTCCAATATAGTCTATTACATCAGTGTTGTCCAATAGAAATACAATAAAAGCCATATACATAACTTTATATTTTCTAAGTAACCACATTCAAAAAAGGAAAATTAAATAAGTGGAATTAATTTTAGTGATATATTTCTGTTTAACACAATATTTCCAAAACATTATCAACATATAATTAAATAAAATTATTAATAAGCTGCTTTATATTATTTCTATGTTATACTTTCTAAATCTGATGAGTTTTTTACTTACAGTACATCGCAATTTAGACACTAAAATTTCATCCGAAAGTACATGATCTATATTTAAATATCATAACATTTACAGTTGAGAAAAGGAAATTTATATTTCAAACATGCTTAAAAGCTTTCTAATATTGAATGGGGTATGTCTTTAAATTTAAGCTTCAATTAATTACATTAAAATTCAAACTTCAGTCCCTTAGCTATATTAGTCATTCAAGTGCTAAATAGCCAGAAATAGCTAGTGGCTACTATGTATTGACAATAAAACTTTATATCCTACTTTTCACACCCTAAGTATTGGAGAAAATTCAGCAAGTGGTAAATGACATGGGTAAATTTTTTTAAAAAATTAAAAAAGGACAAATTGGGACTCTAAGGATGGATTTCTCTGATTCTGAGTGTTCAGAATTGTGTGACCTTGGGCAAGCCATCCAACTTCTCTGGCCCTTTCTTATCCTCTATGCAAAACAGGGTTAATAAGAGCTAGTCTATCTACCTCCTAAAGCTTTTCATTAGGATTAAATAAGATGGTGTCATTGAAAAAAGTCAAAAATGTAATTGCTATATCGATGTTAGATTCTATGACCAGCCTATCTACTTTTCAGGATGAGTAACTCGAATTCGGTCTGGGGTTACAGGTTAATGTCAGACCAAGTCACACCAGCATAAATTGTCATTCCAGTGAGGGAAGGACTAGAAGAGCAATAATTGAAGTATTGCAACTTGGACTCATGTGTGAAAATCTCTAAATTATTACCTCCCTAAGGTTATAGGGACTGTAACAAAGTTGTGACAATAAATATGAGTTAAATTCATTAATAAATGATATAATAAATCTCTCAGCCAACTGGCCTGGTTTAAATATCAGGTTTATCTAATTTGGTTGCGTGGCAATCTAACTCTATGTCTGAAATATTTACATTTTCCCTGTCAGATACATAATGTCTTGGTGGTCTGTAACACCTCCAGTGGGGCTGGGATTTGAAGTGGCCCCAGCCTGATCACTGGAAACATGGAAGGATTTCTCCCTTCCCAGAGAACAAGCCAGCAAAGTGTGTTCCATAGGACAGTAATAGGTGTGAGCCAAGCTTTTAAAAAATGGTACCTTGGCCAAGGAATTCTTGGAAAAATAGAACTAATTTTCTTAAATTCTGAAATTCTTAGAGCCTTTAATGTTTTAAAGTGCATTGGGAATCACTAAGTAGAAGAATCTAGTCTACAGAATTTACCAAATTCATTTGGCCAGGGAAACTCTTTTTCTTGGAGTGTCTTATAAAACTATTATCCTGAGAAATCCCCACTGGGAAGTGTTGTTATAGAGAAAGATGAATGCACCAAAATTTTTCAGAATAACTAAAAACTTATTATTAACACAAACTAGTGGTGCAGAAAGACAGAAACCTGGGAGATTTACTTGTCAGCAGTAGATCTCTGGTTTCAAGCGCAAATGAATTCTGGAGCTCAAATATGGTCATCGGGATTCGGTTCCTCTCCAGGCCTTAGTATCCCTATCCACTGTGTGGGCTTCCTTCCCAGGCTTCACAGGGTAGCCCTGGAGTGCCTCCTCTCACTTGCTCAAGCAAAAACCCTAAGATTTCTCCAATTGAGCCTAACTGGCTTGGCTTAAGTGTGTACACCCTGACCCAATCACTGTGGCCAGAAGACGAAAATTCTCTGAGTGGCCAGAGCAAGTCACACGTTCCACCACTGTAACTCAGTATAGAATTAATACTTCCCAAAGCACAAGGGCTAACAGGAGAGGAACAGAGGAGTCTCCAGGGAAAATATGGGGGACTCTTACTAGAAGATAGGAAAATGGATGTAGAGAGACTGAAATGACAAATCTGCATTACGAGAATTAATTTTCTGTATTTCTAAAATGCAAGTCGTTTTCTGGCTGGTTTGGGGAATGCCCCCTTCACATTAAGAGTTGATTAAAATTCCTAAGCTAGAATAACAGCTGAGAAGGATGTGAGATCTCCAGAACTCTTCAGGATCTAACCCAACTAGTAAACCTTGTTCCTTGCTATTTATTTCCCTTTCTGGGTCTCACTCTGTCACTCAGGCTGGAGTGTAGTGACGTGATCAAGGTTCATTGCAGCCTCGACTTCCTGGGCTCAAACAATCCTCTCACCTCACCTTCCTGAGTAGCTGGGACCACAGGTGCATGCCACCAGGCCCAGATAATTTTTTAATTTTTTTTTTTTTTTGTAGAGATGGGGTCTTGCCATGTTTCCCAGGCTGCTCTCAAACTCCTGAGTTCAAATGATCCTCCTGCCTCAGCCTCCCAAAGAGCTGAGATTACAGGCATGAGCCACCATGCCCTGCCCCTTTCTGTGATTGCTGTGGCTGTAGTCATCAAATTAGTTGGCAGAGTGCCATCTATTCCATGTTTTTCTTCTATATGTTAATTCCTATTTCCCAAGACTAATAATAATTACTAATAAGGAATAAGAAGAACCAAATATATGCTCATTTCCTTCTTGACAAATCTCAAGTGTAAGTCTCTTAGTCCTATGATCTACATAAGGAATAGTATGATTTCACCGCAGCTACTTCCCTATTGTTCGTTATTGTACATTGTATCACAGTATTAAGGAAACTGTTAAAAATAACAGGTTCTCATGTTCTTAACCTGTGAAAGAACTAAATATTCATCTGCCATAATGGGAAACGTCTAAGTCTGTGCCATGCAACATAGTGGCTACCAGCCATCTGTAACTAGGAAGCACTTGAACTGTGGCTAGTTAGGACTGAGACTTTCTCTAAGTTTAAAATGCACAATAAATTTCAAAGAGTACAAAGAATGTAAAATCTCTCATTGATTTTTATATTGGTTGCATATTGAAATGATAATATTTTAGATACTTTGGATTAAACAACATAGAGTCATGCGTTGTTTAACAATGGTAACATGTTCTGAGAAATGCATTTCATCATTGTACAAACAGCATACAGTGCACTTACACAAACCTGGATGGTATAGCCTACTATACACCTCGGCTAGAAACCTGTATAGCATGTTACTGTACTGAATACTGTAGGCAATTGTAGCACAATGGTAAGTATTTGTGTGTCTACCACATATCTAAACATAGAAAAGGTACAGTAAAAATACGGTATAAAAGATTTTTAAAATAGTGCACATGTATAGGGTGCTTACCATGAATGAAGCTTGCAGGATTGGAAGCAGTTCTGTGCAAGTCAGTAGTAGTGAGTGAATGTGAAGACCTAGGACGTTACTGTACACTACTGTAAGCTTTATAAACTCTATACACATTAAAATTATTTTCAAAGTATTTTTCCTTCCTCAATAATAAATTAACCTTAGCTTACTGTAATTTTTTTACTTTATAAACTTTTTAATTTTTTGACTTTTGTAATAACACCTAGCTTAAAACAAAAATACATTTTACATCTGTAAAAGAAACTTTATATTTTTATTCTATAAGCTTTTATATTTTAACGTTTTTTATTTCTATTTTTACTTTCGAAGCTTTTTGTTAAAAACTAAGACACAAACATACGTTAGCCTCAGTCTACACAACGTCAGGGTCATCAATTTCACCATCTTTCACCTCCACGTCTTCTCCCACTAGAAGGTCTTCTGGGACAACAACACGCATGGAGCTGTCATCTCTGACAGCAATGCCTTCTGGAACACCTCCTGAAGGACCTGCTTGAGGCTCTTCTGGAGAAGTAGGTTTATTTACACAAGCCTCACCACAAACACATGGGTAATGCAAGCACCACAACATTACCATAGCTACAGGGTTAAAACTCTTATGAGTCACTGGGTGATAGGAATTTTTCAGCTCTACTATCATCTTATGAGACCACCATCATATATGCAATCCATCATAGATTGAAACATCATATGATTGTATATTATTAAAATTAATTTTTCCTGTTTCTATGTTTTAACAATGTGGCTAATAGAAACATTTTAATCACATAGGTAGTTTTCATTACGTTTCCTTTTTTTCATCTACATCGTCTTTTTAAATTTTATTTTATGTTCTTTTATTTTATTTTGAGACAGGGACTCACTCTGTCACTCAGACTGGAGTACAGTGGCATGATCATGGCTCAGCTCACTGCAGCCTCAACCTCCTGGGCTAAAATGATCCTCCTACCTCAGCCTCCTGAGTAGCTGGGACTACAGGCATGTGATGTCACATCATGTTGTTTTTTGTATTTTTTTCTAGAGATGGGATTTCATCATGTTGCCCAGGCTGATCTCAAATTCCTGGACTCAAGCAATCCATCTGCCTCGACCTCCCAAAGTTCTGGGATTACAGGCATAAGCTACCATGCCCAGTCCATCTTTTTATTTTTTAGAGCAGTTTTAGGTTCACAGTGAAGCTGTTCTGATGGTACAAACACTTACCATATACTCCCTGCCCATACAAATTCACAGCCTCACTCATTATGAACAACACCCACCAGAGTGGCACATTTGTTACAATCAAATCTACATTGACACGCCATTATTACCCAAAATCCATAGCTTACATTAGGGCTCACTCTTGCTGTTGTATATTCTATAGATTATGAAAAATGTATGCTAACATGTATCTATAATATCATTATCACATCACATAGATTCATTTCACTGCCCTAAAAACTTTCTGTGCTCCATGCATTCATCCTTTCTTCTCCTCTAACCCTTGGCAGCCACTGATCTTTTTATTGCCTCCATAGTTTTGCCTTTTCCAGAATGTTAGAGTTGGAATCATACAGTACATAGCCTTCTAGATTGGCTTCTTTCACTTAGTAATATGCATTTAAGTTTCCTCCATGTCTTCTTGTGGCTTGATAGCTCATTTCTTTTCAGTGTTGAGTAATATTCCACTGTCTTAGTTTTTATTATAGTTCTATCAGATGGCACTGCTCTAGGTAATTCCTAACAGTGGCAAAGAAACGGTAGTAGGAGCACTTTTCAGATATGGAAGTAAATACCAGAAGAGATAGCTAGAAGAGCTAAATGTGATTGCCTCTAGGAAGCCTGGATGACAATTTTCGGGTTAAGCCATTTATCTATGATCTAAATTATCTTTGATTATATTCATTCATCACTTTGATTTTTAAAATTTAGGCAGCTCAAAATAATAATTAAGCATTTCAGGGGACTTTATTGAGACATTTTTTAGTGAAGGTGGGCACTTGTTTATAACTGCTTCAATTTTGTTCCAAGCTCAATGCCTGTGCTCCTTAACCAGGAGAATTGTTCAGAATCACCTTGGAAGCTTTAATAGAAATATGTAAGTCTGGGAATCAGACTAGAGTTTCCAAGCATGCTATTTTTTTCCCAAAGATTCAAGGTAATTCTGTTATTCATACTTAGTTCAGAACCTCTGGTCTACAACACAGAACTCTGGGATCTTATGGTAAGTGTGCTGACAGAAACAAAACTATTTACTGAGGAAAATCTTGGCAGAGTCTATAGATATTCTATAGGTAACAGGTGCACCTTCCTTTGGTTCATCTTAAAATCAAGTGTGTTCTTTTCAGACTCCTCAGTTTTACCGTCAGGAATATATTCAACGCATTATGGCTTAGTACTTTTTGCTCCCACAGAATAGCTACAAGGCAGGTATTTGTCAAGGTGTTACCTGAAATGCACCACCACTCAGCACATGTCTAAAGCCTAACTCAGGGAAATTTTTTTTTTTTTGAGTCAGTGTCTTGCTCTGTCACCCAGGCTGGAGTGCAGTGGAGTAATCATGGCTCACTGCAACTTCGACCTCCTGGGCTCAAGCAATCCTCCTGCCTCAGCCTCCGGAGTCGCTGGGACTACAGGCATGTGACACCATATCCAGCTAAATTTTGTATTTTTGTAGAGATGGGGTCTCCCCATGTTGCCCAGGCTGGCAACTCAGGAAAATATTAATGGAAGATTTCAAGAGAGATACACAATCCAGCCATTTCTCTAGATCAGTGCTTCTCACAATATGGTGCACAAACTATCTGCATTGAAAGCAACTGGGGTTCCCATATAAGATACAGATTCTCTTCTTTCAGGCCCAAAGCATGGTTGCATTTTGCCACCCCCTTTGCAGTTAGGCATGACCACATGACTTGCTTTGAGCAATAAAATGAACTTGGGAAGTAACATACGTATCTTCCAGGTGGAAGCTTTAGGAACCAATATGCAATTTGCCCCAGGCTTTGTTCTGCTTTGGCAATCATGGAAGCATAGAGATGGAGCCTGGGTCCCTGAAAGCAGAAGCCACAGAGCAGAGACACCACCACCCATCACCCACCCCCGACTTTCCCCGCTGACCTGCAGGGGTTATGGAACATGAGCAAGAAAAACACCTTTGTTATTTTAGTCTGCTTAGTTTGGTAAGTTGCTTGTTTCTGTAGTATAATCTGGTTTATTCCTACACATGGGGAGAGGAGGAAGACCTGACAACTTTTATTTGCTGGGTGAATCTTATGCACAGTGAAGTTGGAGAACCACTACTTTCGTGTGCTAAGCTCTTTTCTTGGCTTAAGCAAGGACAAGAGAAAACTGCCTGTCTAGGCTGCATATTTGGCCCCTATAGAAATGCTTCTGCTGCTTAGTACTGGCCCATCGGTCTTCAGGAAAGTACAAGTATAAGGAGAAGCCCAATTAATTGATTGTGTTTCTTAAAGATCTATTGAAGACTCTTGTCCCTGAATTATAGTGTCCTCTTAGTGAGGGCTCAGAGGAAAAAACTCACTCTGGTGTCAATACAAAGGACAGTTTGGCTTCTGCTGAGTCATTAATACGTTTCTAATCTAATGGTTGCCAGGAATTGTGGCATTAATCCTAGAAGGAGCCTCCAAGCCAAATGCATGGCTCCACTCTAGCAAAGTGCCAGATTTCATAGCACATTCATTTTGTGGGTCACTGTTGCCTTTATTTTATTTTTCCGAACTATTTCCCCCTTTCCACCAATTTTTCTGACTCACCCATTCTTATTTTATTTTGAATTATGTATTTTTGCAAGCTGCCTTAATTCTTTTCAGGAAAAAGGCAGGACATGAGTAAAAATATATATGCAAGCATGCATACATAAATAACAAGCCCTTATTTCCAGAGGTACAATAATGAACCTCAACTTGCTTTTTAAAGATGCCAGGAAGGGAGGAAAGAAAAGAGAGGGAAGAAAGTGGGGAGGGGATGGGGGAAGGTTGTGAAGCCACAGTATTCGTGTTCTGGCTCCTAGTTAATAGGCAGCAGAGGAAAGCAACTTTATCTTCAAGATAAATGTTATAAATTGCACATAATGAAATAAGGTCTTATTTTCCCACCTTTTGGTTTCTTATTTTTAAGACATACAGTCCTGTGTCAACCAAAATATCTAGACTTATAGCACACAATTCTATTCAGCTTGTAGAACAAATTCACTGGCACAGTCGATTTTTATTTTAATTATTTGTATAGCGTGGAAAGGAATGGCCTGATTTATTACCGAGTTGGACTCCAATGGCAATATTATTATAGTTGCAACAGATGAATAAACCAATATATTTCTTACAGCCGTAAAACAACCAGCTACGTGTCAGAGAAAATTGTTCTCCAAAACAACTGAAAAAAAAATCAAGAGAAATAGTGGCCTCTTTAGCCTCCCTAAGTATTCCAAAGAAAACAGGACTCCCACAAACCAGGAAAAATTCATTTCAACAAATTTATTTTCCATCTACCAGCTGAAATTAAACATTCACCAAAACAATTTATAATATTGTCTCCAGCATTGATTTGTTTATTCCATTTGAATGTGCTTTAAAAAAAAAATCAGTAGCCACAGAAGATCACTGTTCTTCAATAGCCCAAAGTTTGACATGCTGATGTAGCCTTCGGCAGCAAGCTACGGGATTAAGTTGATCAGAACTATGTACCATGATGACATTTTAATGCCTGATCAGAACAGAACTGTTCTTTGCAATTTGCTTTGAAGGGGGAATGGTGAGAGAGGGGGCAGAAATGGGAGGAGGGGTTTTACATCCATCTTTGCTTATCTACAGCATGCACACCAACCCTGCATGGGCTCCTCACAATGAGAAGCAGAACACAGAGGGTACGTAAAAGTCAAGGGCAGCACTGAACACCTCTCCTGAAGCCTTCATTGGATTAGTGGAACTCAGTCTGTGCTGATTGCCAGGACTCAGGGTAACCAGAGCTTCCTGGCACTCTGTTATCCACCGAGATGCCAGTGTTGATTTTTCTGGTGTGTTTTCTATTTGTCTCTATTTCAAGCAATGCCTCTAGGTGGGCCACACACCTCAAAACATGCAGAACTACCCTGTGAATGTGAGATGTGAATTTTCAAGAAATGTGTGGCCGTTAGGACCTCAGGCTCTAGAATCAAAAACTCTGAATGAAATCCTGGTTCCGTACATTTCTTGCCATATGTTTTTGGCAAGTTCCCTGACCTCCCCAAGCCATACTTTTCTCATCTGCTGAGTGGCAATATTGATGCCTACCATAGGAATGGTTGTTGAGAGGACCTCATGCAATACATTTAGCATGGTGCCTACCTCACAGTAACAACAACAGCAGTTCCAGTTGGTTGTTTCCAGCAAACTCAACCATTTCTAAATTATACACACAACCTTTTGTGCCAATAGCCAGTTCCAAATTCTCTCATCAGGTCTGTACTTTGCTGTATGGGAGTTCTCTACGAGTACTTACAGTTTCTTGGAATGTCCTATTGGAAAGTCTGTCTGTCAACGTAAGTACTACAGCATCTTAATACAGAGAAGATAAAGCACTTGCTAGGAAACATGGAATGTAAATGCTACGGGCCTAAACATACTAGTATGCCCACCAGATCCCCAGGGCTGTCAAACGTCAAGTGTTTTGCTTGTGGGCAGCAAAATGTGAAAACAATAACAACCACCACAACCACAATTGCTAACATTTACAGGACACTTACTGTATCCCAGGCACTATACTAAGCCCTTTCTATGCTCACTTGATCATCACGACAGCCCCATAAGGTGATTATAGCTGCACCTCCATTGTACAGAAGAAGAAACTGGCTCAAAGAGGTCAAGCAACTTGCCCAAACTAGGAAGCGACTAAGTGAGAATTCAAACCTAAGTTAGGGTAATTCCACAGCCATGCTTCCAACCAGCCCTTAGTGAGAATCTGATTTGCTGGTCACTAACATGCTGGTTCTTCCCCTTTCAGGTCCTTGCTCCTGCTATTGGTGAGGAACTAATACGGCCCCTCTTGCTTCTGCTGTTGGTGCGATTCATTCAAGGAGCTCATTTCCAAAGGCACTGTCATTATTTAAAGGAATGACTCCAATCATGGGAAGCTCTGGCTTTGGAAGAATGGATTCTCCATCAACAAGAATTCAATGCACACTGTTCAGGCACTGTAGAAATATATCAAATTATTAAAAAGATTGTCTCTGCTCTTAAGCAATTCCCCTTTGAAACCAAATGCACAGATGAAAGAGTCCCCCATTCACAAACGCCCCTGGACTTAAAGGGAAACATAGCACAAAGATCAGAGTAAAGAGGACCTTTTTTCTGAATGCCAATCTTCCCTCAGCATAATTAATTAATTAATTAATTTATAGCTAGAAAGCCTCCAACTCATCCAGCCTGAATACCTCGTCTCCAGCTCAAACTAGACAACGACCAAGGGATGATCAAAAGAGCAAAAAATATATGATTTAAACCTCTCTCAACTGTGAAAGAAAAACATTCATACTTATTTATTCCTTATTCCAAAAAAATTTCATTTCCAGCTCTAAAAGAATTCATAGTTTCTTTAGGCCATTGTTCTGATTTGGTGCAATTCATCACAGGGTGATAACATGCTGATGATGTGTTACACTAATACATCCTTACATTGGTAATGCTCTAATGATCTGGCAGGCTCCTAAATCACCAGAGAGCTGTCACTCCCATGATGTGTTACTCAGAGATATGGCTCTGATCAGGGGAAGACATCCAGGAACTCAACAATGAGAGAATTATATTTTTTGACTTCAGAATTTCTGGACTATAAATAACATCCTCTTTCATAGAAAACAGAAAACTCAACCTAAAATCAAGAGAGGCAGCAAAATTTCTTGCATTTTGGAATATACCAGAGATACAAAAATAAGCACATATATTAGTGGAAGCCTTAGCTGTGCAGTGGAGGAACTTACTGATAAGAAAATGATTTCTGAAGTATCAATGGGGTGCTGAATCTGTTTCCGAAAGGTAATCAGTTGGGTGCTTATGGACCCATTTATCACTGATGTGGATTTCATCAATGCCTTAAAATAAACAGTGCTAAGACGTGAGTCAAGAGAAAAATAACAGAGTGGGAAGACAGGTACCCTCTTCACACTGTTGGCAGGAGAGTAAATTGATACAACCTTTCAGAGGGCAATTTAGTAATATTTATCAAAATTTGAAACATGTATACTCTGGGCCCAGCAGTTCCATTTCAAAAAATCTATCCAGCAGACATATTCACACAGGTACAGAAGGACATGGTACAGAAGGCCATCTATGTGTAAGAACACTTACTGTAGCAATTGCTGCAACTGACCAAAAAAAAACAAAAAACAGAAACCACCTAAATATCCATCAATAGTGGAGCGCTTAAATACATCAGGGAGAATCTATTCTGTGAAGTTTATGTGGCCATTAAAAATTATGATGTGGATCAATGGCCTTGAAAGTGTTGCAGAGAATTGTAGAGTTATCAAATTTCTGTGTGTATCAGAATCACCTGGGGAGCTGATACAGAATACAGAGGCCCGGCCGAGTGCAGTGGCTCACGCCTGTAATCCTAGCACTTTGGGAAGCCAAGGCAGGCGGATTGCCTGAGGTCAGGAGTTCGAGACCAGTCTGGCCAAAATGGTGAAACCCAGTCACTACTAAAAATACAAAAAAAATTAGCCAGGCGTGGTGGCGTGCGCCTGTAATCCCAGCTACTCGGGAGGCTGAGGGAGGGGAGTTGCTTGAACCAGGGAGGTGAAGATTGCAGTGAACCGAGATTGCACCACTGCACTCCAGCCTGGGCAAGACTCTGTCTCAAAAAAAAAGTACAGAGGCCCAGGCTTATTGAAGTAGAGTAAGTCCTGGGCCTCTGTATTTTCATCAAGTTCCCTAGGTGGTTGTGAGATACATGAAAATCTGAGAACCACTTTTCTAGGATACCCTGGAGAGGCATCAGAAATCCTAGATTCTCACTCTATCTCAACCAGAGAAGTTTCATGTGTGTGTGTGTCTATGTGTGTGTGTGTGTGTGTGTTTAATTATGGCTCTAATAATGTTTTATCTTTTATTGCTATGTAATATTTTACATAGTTACGGGTACATGTGAGTGTTTGTTTATGCATACAATGTGTAGTGAACAAATTAGGGTATTTGGGGTGTCCACCACCTTGAGTACTTATCATTTCTATGTGTTAGGGACATTTCAAGTCCTTTCTTCTAGCTACTTTGAAATATAGAATACATTGCTGTTAACTATAGTCACCATACTCTATTTTTCAGCACCATTTATTGAAAAAGGTATCCTTCTTCAAGGAGAACTACAAAACACAGCTCAAGTAAATAAGAAAGGACACAAACAAATGGAAAAATATTCCATGACCATGGATAGGAAGAATCATTAGAACTTTTATCTTCTATATGTAACTGCATGTTTGTACCCACTAACCAACCTGTCTTCATCCCCGCCCACCCCCTCAACCCACACACCCTTTCCAGCCTCTGGTATCTATCTTTCTATTCTCTATCTCCATGAGATTTACATTTTTAACTCCCACATGTAAGTGAAAACACACAATGTCTGTCTTTCTGTGCCTGGCGTATTTCACTTAACATAATGACCTCCAGTTCCATCCATGTTGCTGCAAATGATGATTTTCTTTTTTGTAGTATTCTATTGTGTATATATATCACATTTTTTTATCCATTTGTCCATTGTGGACACAGGCTGATTTTACATCTTTGTGTTGTGAATAGTGCTGCAATAGATATGTGAGTGTTTTCTTTAGAGACAGGGTCTCACTCTGTCGCCCAGGGTAGAATCATAGCTCACTGTAACCTTGAACTCCTGGGCTCCAGAGTTACCTCCCACCTCAGCTTCTTGAGTAGGTAGGACTACAGGCATTCACTACCATAATGAGCTTTATTATTATTATTATTATTTGTAGAAATGAGGTCTAACTCTGTTGCTCAAGCTAGTCATAAACTGCTGGTGTCAGCTTATCCTCCAAACTGGACCTCCCAAAGTTCTGAGATTACAGGCATGAGCCACCAGGACCAGCCATTTGCCCACTTTTTAATGGGATTATTGGTTTCGTGTACTGTTGAGATGTTTGAGTTCCTTGTATATTCTGAATATTGGTCCTTGTCAGATGAAGAGTTTGAAAATTTTTTCTTCCATTTGAGAGATTATCTCTTCACTCTGTTGATTATTTCCTTTGCTGTGCAGAAGCTTTTTAGTTTAATATAGTCACATTTGCCTATTTTGGTTTTTTGTTCTCTGTGCTTTTGAGGTCTTAGCCATAAAATCTTCAGCTAGACCAATGTTCTGAAGTGTTTTCCCTATGTTTCCTTCTGGCAGTTGTATAGTTTGGGGCCTTACACTTAAGTCTTCAATCCATCTTAAGTTGATTTTTGTGTATGATGAAAGATAGAGGTCCAGTTTCATTTTCGGCACATGGCTATCCAATTTTTCAGCACCATTTATTGAAAAAGGTACCCTTCTTCAAGGAGAACTACAAAACACTGCTCAAGGAAATAAGAGAGGACACAAATGGAAAAACATTCCATGTTCATGGATAGGAAGAATCAATATCATGAAAATGGCCATACTGCCCAAAGTAATTTATAGATTCAATGCTATCCCCATCAAGCTACCATTTACTTTCTTCACAGAATTGGAAAAAACTACTTTAAATTTCATATGAAACCAAAAAAGAGCCCACATAGCCAAGACAATACTAAGCAAAAAGAACAAAGCTGGAGGCATCACGCTATCTGACTTCAAACTATACTACAAGGCTACCGTAACCAAAACAGCATGGTACTAGTACCAAAACAGATATATAGACCAATGGAACAGAACGGAGGCCTCAGAAATAATACCACACATCTACAACCATCTAATCTTTGACAACCCTAACAAAAACAAGCAATAGGGAAAGGATTTCCTATTTAATAAATGGTGTTGGGAAAACTGGCTAGCCATATGCAGAAAGCTGAAACTGGATCCCTTCCTTACATCTTATAAAAAAAATTAACTCAAGATGCATTAAAGACTTAAACATAAGACCTAAAACCATAAAGATCCTAGAAGAAAGCCTAGGCAATAGTCTTCAGGACATAGGCATGGGCAAAGACTTCATGACTAAAACACAAAAAACAATGGTAACAAAAGCAAAAATTGACAAATGGGATGTAATTAAACTAAAGAGCTTCTGCACAGGAAAAGAAACTATCATCAGAGTGGCCAGGCGCAGTGGCTCACACCTGTAATCCAGCACTTTGGGAGGCTGAGGTGGGCAGATCATGAGGTCAGGAGTTCAAGACCAGTCTGACCAATACGGTGAAACCCTGTCTCTACTAAAAATACAAAAATTAGCTGCGTCTGGTGGTGCAGACCTGAAGTCCCAGCTACTTGGGAGGCTGAGGCAGGAGAATCGCTTGAATCTGGGAAGTGGAGGTTGCAGTGAGCCAAGATTGAGCCACTGCACTCCAGCCTGGGTGACAGAGTGACACTCCGTCTCCAAAAAAAAAAAAAAGAAACTATCATGAGAGTGAACAGGCAACCTACAGAATTAGGGAAAATTTTTGCAATCTATCCATCTAACAAAGGGCTAATATCCAGAATCTACAAAGAACTTAAACAAATTTACAAGAAAAAAACAACCCCATCAAAAAGTGGGCAAAGGATATGAACAGACACTTCTCAAAAGAAGACATTTATGCAGCCAACAAATATATGAAAAAAAAGCTCATCATCACTGGTCATTAGAGAAATGCAAATCAAAACTACAATGAGATACCATCTCATTGTAGAATGGCGATCATTAAAGAGTCAGAAAACAACAGATGCCAGAGACGATGTGGAGAAATAGGAACGCTTTTACACTGTTGGTGGGAGTGTAAATTAGTTCAACCATTGTGGAAGACAGTGTGGCAATTCCTCAAGGATCTAGAACTAGAAATACCATTTGACCCAGCAAACCCATTACTGGGTGTATACCCAAATGATTATAAATCATTCTACTATAAAGACACATGCACACACACACGTATGTTTATTGCATCACTATTCAAAATAGCAAAGACTTGGAACCAACCCAAATACCCATCAATGATAGACTGGATTAAGAAAATGTGGCACATATACACCATGGAATACTATGCAGCCATAAAAAAGGATGAGTTCATATCCTTTGCAGGGACATGGATGAAGCTGGAAACCATCATTCTCAGCAAACTATCACAAGAACAGAAAACCAAACACTGTATGTTCTCACTCATAAGTGGGAGTTGAACAATGAGAACACATGGACAAGGGGTTGGGGTGGTGCATCACACACCACCCCTGTTGGGAGGTGAGGGGCTGGGGGAGGGATAGCATTAGGAGAAATACCTAATGTAGATGATGGGTTGATGGGCACAGCAAACCACCATGGCATGTGTATACCTATGTAACAAACCTGTACATTCTGTACACGTACCCCAGAACTTAAAGTATAATAAAAAAAAGAAAGAAAAAGGTATTCTTTTTCCCAATGCATATTTTTAGCATCTTTCTTGAATATCAGATAGCTGTAAATACATGGGTTTATTCCTGGCTTCTCTAATCTGTTCCATTGGTCTACGTGTCTGTTTTGATGCCAACACTACGCTGCTTTAGTTACTGTAGGCTTGTGATATATTTTAAAGTTGGATAGTGTGATGCCTCCAGGTTTGTTCTTTTTGCTCAGGCTTGCTTTGGCTATTCAAGCTACTTTTTGGTTTTACACAAATTTTAGGATTATTTTTCTATTTCTATAAAAAAAATCGGTATTTTGATAGGGATTGCATTGACTCTGTAGACTGCTTTGGGAAGTATGGTCATTTTAACAATGTTAATTCTCCTAATCCATGAGAATGGGATGTCATTCCATTTGTTTGTGTCCTCCTCAATTTCTTTCATCAGTGTTTTGTAGTTTTCCTTATAGAGATCTTTCATCTTTTTGGTTACATTTATTTCTATGTATTTTAAATTTCTTGTAGCTATTGTGCATCCCATATTGTAAATGGGACTGCCTTCTCAATTTCTTTCTCAGCTAGCTCATTATTGATGTATAGAAATACTACTGATTTTTATATAATGATATTATATTGTATTTCTGAATGAGTTTATAAGGTCTAAAAGCTTTTTCACAGAGTCCTTAGGTTTTTCCATATGTAAGTGCATATAATCAGCAAAGAGGGACAATTTGACTTCCTCTTTTCCAATTTGGATGCCTTTTTTTTCTTGCCTGATTGCTCTGGCTAGGACTTCCAGTACTATGTTGAATAAGAGTGGTGGAAGTGGGCATCCTTGTCTTGTTGCAGTTCTTAGAGGAAAGGATTTTCAGTTCTTCCCCATTCAGTATCATCTTAGCTGTGGGTTTGTCCTATGTGGCCTTCATTATGTTGAGATGTGTTCCTTCTAAGCCTAGTGTTTCAAAAGTTTTTATCATGAAGGGATGATAAATTGTATCAAATTCTCTTTCTGCATCTTTTGAGATAAACATACGCTTTTTGTCCTTCATTCTATTGATATGATGTATCATGTTTTTTGATTTGCATATGTTGAACCATCCTTTCATCCCTAGGATAAATCCCACTTGATCATTGTGTACTTGCTTTTATGTACTGTTGAATTTGGCTTGCTAGTATTTTGCTGAGGATTTTTTTGTCTATGATCATTAGGGATATTGACCTATAGTTTTCTCTTTTATGTTGCATCCCTCTCTGGTTTTGATATCAGACTCATGCTGGCCTTATGGAATGAGTTAGAGAGAAATCCCTCCTCTTCAATTTTTTGGAATTGTTTGAAGAGAAATGGTGTTATTTCTTCTTCAAAAGTTTGGTAAAATTTTGCAGTGAAGCCATTCAGTCTTGGGCCTTGTATTTTTGATGGGAGAGTTTTTATTACTGATTCAGTCTCATTACTCGTCTGTTCAGGATTCCTATTTTTCATGATTCAATCTTGGTAGGTTGCAGGTGTTCAGAAATTTACCCATCTATTCTAGTTTTTTAATTTGTTGGTGCATAGTTGTTCACAGAGTGGTAATCTTTTGTATTTCTGTAGTATCAATTGTAATGTCTCCTTTCTCATTTCTGATTTTGTTTATTTGGGCCTTTTCTCTTTTTTTCTTGGTAAGTCTAGCAAGTGGTTTATCAATTTTGTTAAAGTTTTTTAAAAAACAACTTCTCATTTCATTGATTCTTTGTATTTTTTTTAGTCTCATTTCTTTTAGTTTTGCTCCAATCTTTATCATTTCTTTCCCTCTACTAATTTGGGGTTTTTGTTTGTTCTTGCTTTTTTAGTTCCTTGAGGTGCACCACTAGCTTGCTTATTTGAAGTCTTTCTACTTTTTTAAAAAAGAAAACCAAAGACTGCTTTTATTGATGCACGAATAGACTCATTCACAATTTGGAAGGGATAACAGTAATACAATAATAATCATCAAAACAAACTAAAATAGAAGGGTTATCTGTTCCTTTCTTTCTCTCTTATTGTTTATTCTCATGGTTTGGTAGTTTTCTGTAGTGGTAACATTTAAGTCAGATATGGTTTGGCTCTGTGTCCCCACCTAAATCTCATCTCCAATTGTAATCCCCAAGTGTCCAGGGAAGGACCTGTAATTCCCACTTGTCAAGGGAGGGAGGTGATTGGATCATGTGGACAGTTCCCCTCATGCTGTTCTCATAATAGTGAGTGACTTCTCATGAGACCTGATGGTTTTATAAGTGTCTGACAGTTCCTCCTTCACACGCACTTCTCTCTCCTGCCACCACCTAAGACATGCCTGCTTCCCCTTCTGCCATGATTGTAAGTTTCCTGAGGCCTCCCAAGCCATGCAGAACTGTGAGTCAATTAAACCTCCTTTCTTTATAAATTATCCAGTCTCAGGTATTTCTTTATGGCAGCGTGAGAACGGACAAATACATAGTCTTTTCCTCATTTCTTCTCTACACCAGTGGTTTTTATATTTTCATGTGTTTTCATGATGCTAAATATCATTCTTCCACTTCCAGTTGTAGGGATTTCTTATAGGTCTGCTCTAGTGGTGATTAATTCCTTCAGCTTTTGTTTCTCTGGGAAAGACTTTCTTTTTCCTACATTTATGAAGAATAACTTTGCTGCCTACAGTATCTTTGGCTGATAATTTTTTTTTTCTTCCAGCACTTTGAATATGTCATCCCATTTTCTTCTGGCCTGTAAGGTTCTGGCTGAGAAATCTGCTGTTAGTGTGATGGAGCCTCCTTTATAAATGACTAGATACTTTTCTTTTACTGTTTTTAGAATTCTTTCTTTGTTTTTTGACTTTTGACAGTTTGACTATAATATGCCATGCCTTGGAGATCTTTTTGCGTTGTATCTGTTTGGGGATCTCTGAGCTTTCTGTATCTGGACATCTAAATGTCTTGCTAGTCTTTGGAAGTTTTCATCTATTATTTCATTAAATAGGTTTTCTAGCACTTTAATTTTCTCTTTGTCTTCTGGAACTCCAATAAATAGAACATTTGGTCATTTTATGATTCCCTATTTGTCATGCAGGCTTTTTTCATTCTTTTTTATGTTTTTTCTGACAGAATTATTTCAAAAATCCTGCCTTCAAGTTCTGAGATTCTTTCTTCTGCTTGCTCCAGTCTATTGTTGAAGCTTTCAAATGTATTTTGTATCTCATTAAATGAATTTTTTAGTTCCAGAATTTGTTTGGTTCTTTTTAATGATGTTTATCTTTTTTATTTATATTTTTATCTTATTTATGATCTCTTTGGTAAATTTCCTATATCCTGAATTGTTTTTCTTATTTCTTTATATTGTTTTCCAACATTCTCTTGTATCCCACTGAGCTTCTTTAAAACCAATATTTTGATTTTTATCCAGAGTTTTACAAATTTTTTTTTTTATTGGGATTTGTTGCTGGCTAATTATTGTGTTCCTTTGGAGGTGTCATATTTTCTTATTTTTCATATTTCTTATGTCCTTACATTGATATCTGGGTATCTGGTGAAACACTCACTTCTTCAGTTTTTTTAAATTTGCTTTTGTAGGGGAGGACTTTTTCCTGAAGCTGTATCTATGGAGTGGGTTGAGTAGGGCACTTTGGCTTTGATTCTCAATGTGTATGGTAGTGTAGTCTCTGTATGATTTCTTTAGCTATAAACAGAGTCAGAGGTGTCTATTATTTCCTCAGTAACCTAGAGTGTGCTTATTAGTGAAAGCTGTGGTGAAGTTTTGCTGGAGACTAGGATGCCAGGTGGTCCATTCTTTGGGCTCCAGTGGAGGCAGCTCTCCTTGGACCCTAGGGCAGCCTTTGCATGCCAGTTTTAGCTGGTGAGGTGGATGGATTCTTGGGCCTTTGGGTGGATTGCTGAAATACCAGTAGTGGTAGCAGTGGGCTGGATGGGTGGGTGGGTTCTCAAGCCCTTGGGCAGCAGGCATGATGTAGGCAATGGCAGTAGCAGAGGCAGGATAACTATCCTGGTCTTAAATGGTGTGCATTGATGTTAGTGGTGGCAGCAGTGGCCTTGGCAGGCCAGTTCAAGCCCATAGGTAGCATGGGCAGGTGGGTGTCAGCTGTGGTGGTAGTGGCAAGTAGGTGGCCCAACCTCAGGCTCCCAGGAGAAGTGCTCAGGTGCTGACAGTGGTGGGTGGGATTGGTGATCCCCAGACCCCCAAACTACATGCTCTGGCATAAGGGTAGGGGCAAAGCCAGGCTGGGAAGGCTTGTCCTTAGGCACCCTGGTGGTACATACAGGAACTGGTTTTGGAAGGCAGGGATAGGGAGATTTCCAGGCCCTCAGTAGAATGGTCAGGTGAGAAGTGGCAGCAGCTATATTGCAGCCCTGTACTAGGGAGGGCAGAGTGGTTTTCAGTGGCAGCCATAGGCAAGTGGATGGAGAACATGCACTTTCCTTGCGCTTCAGTCCCAGCGGTGGTAGCACATGCTTCACTTGCACCTCAACCCCGGCAGCAGCAACCTGCACTTCACTCATGTCCCAGCACTGGTGGCAGCAGCCTGTGCCCCACTTACACTTAAGCCCCAGTAGCAGCTGGATCACCCACAATGATGGCATCTGGGGGCAGCGGACTCTGTCTAGGTGCATGAAAATTCATGGTGGCTCTCCTGCTGGTGAGAGCAGCATCACCACCAGTGGCCTGTGCCTTGGCTCCAGTGACAACAGCCAGCAGCAGTGGCGGCTGCAAGCAAGGGATGTCCTTGGAGCCCCAGGAATGTGGAGATGCAGACACTATTGGGCCCCAGGGCAGGGTGCAGTCTGTTTGGGGCTGGGCTTTCAAAACTGTGCCTTGCTGTGTAGCAGCTTAGGACCTGGCGGGGGTGGGGAGGATCCAGCATGAGCGTCCTCTCTGGAGCAATGCCATTGCACAATCTCCAGGCAGCTCCTTAAGTCAGTTTCAGGGCCCGTGATGGTCAAGGGGCTCTCTTGTGACCAGGATTGCAGAAGGATTCCATGTTGGAAATGTGGACCACTGAGGGTCTCTCACTTACCTGTTGCCCTTACTGGGCAGTCTCTCCAGTCTCACAGCCATTCCTAGCCAAGCAGGCTCCCTTGTTTCCCTCTCTTTCCCTGCTTTAGGTGGTTCCTGTCACCTCTCTTTTGATCCAGTGTTCTCTCTTAGGTGATCTGTTTGAAGTGCGGTCATCTACTCACTATTTTGGTCCTTCTTTGTGGAGAAGTTGAGTATGAGATGCCTCTAGTCAGCCATCCTCTCTGCAAAATAGTTTTTACTGCTTTAAACTAGTTCGAAAGCCATTGATGTAGACAGATAGCTAAACTTATTGAGCTCTTATACTGTGCCTTACAGTCATTCTCATTTAATCCTTGTGGAAACACAATGAAGTAGGCCATATTATTCATCATTTGGCAGTTTAATAAATTGAGGTACAAAGAGGGTAAGTAAATTCCAGAAGATCAACATGGATAGTAGTCCTAGATCTGGGCTGTGAACCTGGGCAGTGTGATTTTAGAGCCTTAGCACTCTGCTTTCTGAATCCAATGTGTACTAAAGTCATATATTTATTAACTTGGGAAGAGGTTCACAATATATCAGTTTTTTGAGCAGATTAATAAGTAGCATGTGCAATTGGATATCATTTTATTATATGTTCATGGAAAGGGATGGTTAGGTTACTCCCATGAACAGGGAAAAAAAAAAAAAAAAGCTATCTCCAAAATGAAGGAGGAGAGAAACATGGGTAAACCAGCTAGAGAATGTGTTCTAAAGATTCTGAATTTGGTATGTGCACTTCTCCCAAACACAATCATGCCCTTTCTTCAAGGGTTGACTACACTTTGGGAGCCTGTATGTACTGGAGCCGTTTGTGTGTGACCAGCCACATTTTCTTTTTTGTTTGTTTTTGCTTTTTGGTTTTTTTTTATTTTTTATTTTTTGTAATTTCAACTTTTATTTTAGATTCAGGGGGTACATGTGTAGTTTTGTTACCTGGGTATATCGCATGATGCTGAGGTTTGGTGTACAATTGATCCCATTACCCCGATAGTGAGCATAGTACCCAACAGTTAGTTTTTCAACCCAGTCCCACTCACTCCTCGTAGTAGTACCCAGTGTCTATTGTTGCCATCTGTCTGTCCACGAGTACCTTGTTTAGCTCCCACTTACATAAGTGAGAACATGGAGTCTTTCTGTTCCTGCATTACTTCTCTTAGGATAATGGCCTCCAGCTGTATCCATGTTGCCGCAAAGAACATGATTTCATCATTTTTGTGGCTGTGTAGCATTCCATGGTGTATATGTACCACATCTCCTTTATCTAATCCACTGATGGACATTATGAACACCTAGGTTGATTCCATGTCTTTGCTATTGTGAATAGTGCTGCAGTGAACATACCAGTGCATGTGTCTTTTTGGTAGAGAGATTTTTTTCTCCTGTGTATATACCCAGTAATGGGATTATCAGATCAAATTGTAGTTCTATATTCTTTGAGAAATCTCCAAACTGCTTTCCACAGTGCCAGCCCACATTTTCAAGACTTATACGTGTCAGGTGTTAGGGCACCATTGAGGAAGGGGATCCTGTGTGAGCTCCATGCAGGCAAGTTTCAAGAATTTTCCATGATGAGTTCAACATAGGGTTAATTAAACCATCTTCTTGCCTTTGCTTAAATCATCTAATCTAGATAAATCAACTTAATGGTTATTTTCAGCATCTATGGGTAGAATTGAATTTAATTGACTCAGAAGCCAATGGAAGGGTGACACAAAAGAAGCCAAAGATCTATCTTCGTGGAATTTATAAGTTATTAGAATGAGAAGCTTACATTCAAAGGACAATCACAAAATGTAACAAGAATTTACAAAGTACATGTTAGACTACGTGATGTAGGCTGAGTTAGAAGAAAGGAAGAAGGTCACAGAATCTGAAATGTTCAAAAAACACATAGGGCTTTTAATTGGGCTCTATAAAAATAATTTGCATTGGCTGAGAACAAAACTAGATTTTCCATCTTTACTATCTAGATCAGTGGTTCTCAATCAGTGGCTACTAATGAACAATGAAACCTGAACAGTGTTACAGTGAAATTTTGCCCAATGTGACCTTTTTTTTTAAATGAAAACACACAGAGTTGCAACATCATCTGTCTGATGGATCCTTTAATTGAGCAGGCAGAAAAATATAAAGGATGATCCAACCTTCTTTGAACCAGAGTAAAGTGTGAGCTTTGGCTTGTGGGTTTGTAGCAGATTGTCATCATGGCAATAAATAATTCTAATCAAATAGCAGGACAGTGTGAAAGGGTGACCACTAACTTCTTTCAAAACACTGGGAGACATTGTTAGACTGTGGCAATTACTGCATTGTAATTGTTCCTAATTTATTTAAATGTTGTTTTTAGTCTCCTAATCATTCCAAGAGGGCTGCCAAAATTCTAATATTCCAAAATGTGCCATGAATCCACAAAGTTTGGGAGCCACTGATTTGTTCTCTCCCATGCCACATTTTGTTTCATATTACAGTTTGTCCTTAGGAAATAGCATTTTAATAATACCAAGCAAAAGCATTTATGGGCTATGGAATTTAGCAATTACCTTGAATTGCTTAAGTTGAGCAGATTCTTTTAAAAATAATTTATTATTCTGAAATAATCTAAAGTTCACAAAAAGTCACAAAAATAATACAGTGTTCCCATGTACCCTTCTCCCAACTTCCCCCAGTGATAGTATTTTATATAATCATAGTATGCTGTGAAAACCAGAAAATTGTTGTTGGTATAATACTGACTCCGGTGTATTTATTTTTAAATAGTATTCTCCAAGTTTACAGGCAGTCTATGGAATATGAGTCAACAGGTTATATAAAATAAATTAACTAGATTTTAAGTTTTTAACTTTGAAACATTTGCCTCCATATGCTAACTCAGTTGGAAAAAAATGAATAGAAAAGTTTGTTTTGGGTATTTGAAAATCAGAAAATAATGCACTATTGAGGGTCGAGCATGTGCTAGGTGTTGCACTAGTAAGTCAGGAATAGAAACAGTACCTTCATACAGCTCACAGTCCAGAGGGAACTACAAACAGGCATTGGTAATTCAGTGGGAAACAAGTTGTGACATTTCTTAAGAAACACGTGGGGAGATCATGGGAAAGATACAATCAGGATTTGGGAAGTCACGGAAGGTTTTCTAGGGGAAGCTGAGATCTAAAAAATCACATAGGAGATAGCCGGATACAAGAGGAGTGGAGAAGAGTGTTCCAGGCAGAGGAAAAACCTATGCTAAGACATGAGGTGAGAAAGAGCATGACCCACCTAAAGGACAGAGAGAAGTTCTGTGGCTGGAACACAACAAGGGAAAGGAGGGACACGTTTCACAGGAGGGCAGGCAACCAACCTCACCTACAGCTGCACTGTTATACAGGAGCCCCTGGCCACAAGGGGCTATTGAGACTCAAAATAAGGCAAGGTTTCATTAAGATGTGTTGTAAGGGCAAAATATGCACCAGGTTTTAAAGACTTGCTATCAAGTAAGAGTACTAATGTATCTCAGTAAATTTTTTTTTTTCGAGATAGGGTCTTGCTCTGTCACCCAAGCTGGAATGCAGTGGTGTGATCACAGCTCACTGTAACCTCAAACTCTCCTGGGCTCAATGATCCTCCCACCTCAGCATCCCAAGTTGCTGGGACTACAGGTGTGCACCACCATGCCTGGTTAATTTAATTTTTTATTTTTCTATAGAAACGGGGCCTCACTTTGTTGCCAGGGCAAGTCTTGAATTCCTGGCCTCAAGAAATTCTCTCATCTCAGCCTCCGAAAGTGCTAGGATTACAGGCATAAGCCGCAGTGCCCGGCCAGTAATTTGTATATCAATTTCATATTGAAATGAAAATATTTTGAGTTAAATAAAATATATTATTAAAAATCAGCTGCTTCTATTTCTTTTCACATTTTTAATGTGGCTAAAATTACATATGTGACTTATGTTATATTTCTAGTGGACAGTGCTGTTCTAGAGGGCCAGCGATGGTTTCCCAGGAAAAATGTTATTAAACTGAGATCTGCAGTGAGGATAAGTTAGCCAGCAAACAAGGGAAAGGAAGAACATATGGGAAGGCCCAGAGTGGAGACAGGCAAACCAGAGCCTGAAAACGAAGCATCCTCTAGGTTAAGTTGAGAGTGTAAACTTTAATCAGAAGGCAACAGAACCATTGCAGAATTTTACACAGAGGAGTGACATGATAGTTTTTAGGTTAAGAGGATCACTCCAACCAGTGGGATGGAGTAAGAGTAAGTAGGGGGAGCAACACAGGTGTTGAAGGATTCCAGGGTTAAATATCTTTCTTCCTGCCCTGTCCCTTGATTCCCCATGTCCACCCTAAAGCAAATCCTGTCCAAGCATGTGTCCTAAAAAGTGCATCAAAGTGAGGTCAGGGCATAATTGAAACCTTACAGTTTCTTTACAAGAAAGCCTCTTCTCTGTAGCTCAGTTTCCAAGCTTAAGTAATTACAAATAAGACCACTTCTGGAAGCACATGTCCTGGTAAAATTCAAAGCTAATTACAGAGTCGATGCCTTTCCACTCTCTGTTTTCTTTTACCTTATGTACATCAACACAAAATGATCTCAAAACAACCATTAAGTCATCTTCTGTTGCATTCCATCTTTTCAATGTTCCATGGGCATCTCAATTCTCTAATTAGGGGACTTAGAGATTGGACGATAAGCGCTGAGTGTGCCTGCCGAGCCCTGTTCATCAGTTCCAGACATTGCCCACTTGAGTGACCAGCAAGGCTCCTGCTACCAGCCAATCACATGGATTGGATTGGGGAATGGAGATGGGAACAGAATCAGGGCAATATGGTTCTATCAATGTGCCTACATTGACCATTGCTAGTGGCCTCTTTTGGAGGTGATTTTAACCACCAACTCCTCAATTATACTTTTTTCTAGGTTGACTTTGTTGCTATTGTTATTATTCTTATTGTTTTGTTTCTTATTTCTGTTGTTTGGGTTTAAGTTTTGTTCTTGCTTTTTTCATTAGTTCTGTTTTTGCATCACCTTAGAGACATTGTGTAGATGAAAACTGAGATTTGAAGTTAGGTGTATCATTTGTGTACTGGAGTGCTTTGGAATGAATGCAAAAATGAATAAGGAAATGATCTTGCCTTAAGAAAATGTTTAGCCTAGAAAGATAATGCAAATAGTATATGCAATAGTATAGACAATGCAATTGTATATGAAAATAGTGGAGTACAATAAATTGAAGGGCGCAAATCAGCTGTTGCCTAGCCACACTAAGCCTGTAGATATATTTGGCTTAATTTAAACATTGACTATAAAATATTCCAATTAGGCTGGGTGTGGTAGCTCACGCCTGTAATCCCAGCACTTTGGGAGGCTGAGGCAGGCAGATCACTTGAGCTCATGAGTTTGAGGACCAGCCTGGACAACATGGCGAAACCCCATCTCTACAAAGAACACAAAAATTAGCTGGGTGTGGTGGCATGTGCCTGTAGTCCCAGCTACTCAGGAGACTGTCATGGGGAGGATGGCTTGAGCACGGAAGGCTGAGGTTGCAGTGAGCCAAGATTGCACCACTGCACTCTAGCCTAGGCAATACAGCCAGAACATGTCTCAAAAGCAAAGAAAATATTTGAATTAGTTGCTGGAACTTAAAAATTAGGAACTTTTGTTTGAGAATCTACATGTCAGTCTTCTCTTGAAAAACAGGAAGTTTTTGCCATGTTGGACCTGTCTTCCTACATGGCAATAACTGGCTAAAGTAGCCTAGTGGCTGCCACTCATGCAGCTCTGGGTGTCCAGTGTCCCCTATGAACCACTATTTTATATCCAGTCTTCCTTGCTTGTTTATGTTGTCTGCCAGGCCCCTGTAAACAGCTGGTTAGCAACCTTTAGTGTAAATGCACAGAGCAAAAGGAGTAGAGGATATGCCTCATGCCTTAAGAACGGTTACGTTATAAGAGTCATGGGACTGAGAGACAGTCTCTATTTTTCCCTTTGTAACCATATTTATGAAGGTTTTAGAACAAGAATATATTCATGCCTTATTATCATAATTTTTCAAAAAAGTATATTAATATATTATGATCATGTATGTATATAACTAAAATTCTCTAAAAATACTATAAAAGCAGAATAAATGGAGTACTGTGGCTCCTCAGAAGAGAGATAATCTTCACTGGACAGAGCCATGCGATGATACCAGAGTCTCAGCTATGTACATTACTCGGCATTTAGCATAACAGATGTTACATGGTAATAGTCAACATATTTTCTGTGAGTGGATTCTCTAGATACATACAATGGCAAAATAGCCAAATTGGAAAGTCAAACAGAGCTAGTTTATATGAAACCTTGGACATAGTAGGTCATATTGAAAGAAAAAAAAAATCAGCCTTAGACCAATCTATGATATATTTTTTGCCTTTACTAATACAAAAAATAAGCTTGACCAGATTTCATATCTCCTTAAGATGGAACCATCTGAGCTAGTTGTGTTCTTGCCCACCCCATGCAGAAGCATGCATAAGCATGACCACCAATTGGGCAAATCCCAGAAAAGTTTCATTCTCTTTATATGCTGCAGGACAAGAATGTGTGCAAATGAATAACCACTACTTAAGCAAATCATCTTGACCCAATTTGTGGACCTGTTAACTTTTATTTTTCTTAATTTACTCTCTACAGAGTAGCTTTGTCCCATATACATCACGAAAAATTATTTAATCAGATTTTATTTTTAATTTTTCATTAAAAGCTGAAATAAGAGATTTTCTAGAATATATCCAAAATCTACAGAAAGCAGCGAAAGTAAACTTTAATAATCAGTCAGAATGCATAAAAATAAAAGGGAATAATTCTTTTTGTAACTCACATTGAAGCACTGATTTGTAAGGAGAAGGGTAATGTATAAATTACCATTTCTGAATTGGTGAGAACTGCAGTTATTTACTCATACCTTCGATTTGTGGCTATGCAGACAAACCAGCTTTACTTTAAAGATTTTTTAAAGAATTCCCTTCTTCTTAAAATAAGTTTGGATGCGATTAATCTGTTAGTCCTCCCAGCTCCAAGATCCTATGTTTTGTGACAAAAAATTCACTCAAACAGCTATTGTTTTTTAAATAATTAATTAGCACTGCCATAGCTAAAGTTGATTGGAGAAAAAAAAGAGCCCAGTAATAAGTTGTCTGAACCCATGTAATGATTTCTTCATTATGCATTATCTCTAAATTTTTTGATGGGATTATCTTATTATAAGGTAATGACAATATTCATTAGGTATTGAGTATTTTTATGTACCAGACACTTGACTTGTGTTATCCTCTTAATCTTGACATCAACACTATTAAGTGGGTACCATAATTTCTCCCATTGTATACATCAGAAAACGAAAGTTCAAGGGGTTAAATAACTTTCCCAAGGTTACAGAGGTAAGAAATGGTACCAAGATTCAAATCCAGGTTGATTTTGTGCCAAAATTTTGCTCTTAATCATTATACCATACAGTGTCCAGACCTAAGAATAAGCTTTTGTATGAAAAAAAAAACCCACAATTTTAAGCTACCCCTTTGATTGACTGATTAGATGATAGACTAAATATATCTTTATATTTCCCTATAGTTGTAACATCGCGTTCATTAAAAAGACATCAGAGATCTATAATTATTTTTATCAAGTTGCAAACACAATCCACACTGTTAAGAGAAATTCTTATAAATACATGCCTGAGGCCTCCCACTTACTCCCTGTACATTGCTTGATTACTCAGCTCTCTTGTCTGCATGGTTCCTTTGACAAAGAGTATGTCACTTTCATACCTAATAGCTAAATAGGATTGATATGATACCAAACAAATGCCTTTCCATTTGGGAGAATTTATGCTTGAAAAAACATATTTCCCCCAGGAAGCCTCCATTTATCATCAAGATGAATCTTGGGGATGGGTACAAGGCAGCCTCCAAAGGGAGGATTTGTTCACTTTCTTTGATTTGTCAGGTTTTCAGCTCTTAAAAGGGCACCTACAAATTAAGCGCACAGATTATTTTCTCAAACTCTTCTTGGTTCTGTTCATTTCAATGGGAGAATAGTAAAGTAGCATTTAGACCCAAAGTATTTTCCAAATGGAACATGCAAGTTGGGTGCTAAACATTTACCAAGAAGGCAGACGTGGAGTCCAGTCATCTTATTTCAAACAGAAACATTGTTTGGCCAGAAATCACTTCAGGGCAGAGCTGATTCCAACGTTCACAGCGGCTACAAAAAGGATTCTATTTTGGCAAGCAAACACTTCGAAAAAAGCATTTTTAGCCATCCATGAAAAAGGAGTGAGTGCCCCCTGGTGAAAATGTGGGAAACGTTTCCATATGTTATTTTTGGCTGGCAAGAAGGTGCAGATGTCTTCACAATAAAAATATACTCGCTATGAGAGCGCGCCTCCTTGAGAAGAGTTGGCAAGATTTGGGGCACTGGATCCACAGAGTGGCAAAGAAGCACAAAGGGAGGAAGAAAGCCAAGCCATCACCAAGACAGTCAGGAGGGTGGGCACTGGAGTCAGTCACACAAGCTGGGATCATGGGTGACTTCCGTTTTATTGTTGTATTTTTTATACCTGTGTTGGGTGGTCTGCCCTCTCCAAACTCACTCTCCACGTATCTTCACTCTAATCTGTGTCCAGGGAGGCTGACCTTTACAGATATATTAACACACTCCCTTCCCCTCTGGCTTGTAGGTGAGTTCAACCAAGGGAAGACACCAGCAGGTGACCAGAGGGTGGAAAAAGTGACACTGAGGTGTTTATTCCCAGAGCTCATTCTTTGCCAGTGCAGGCTGGAAGGGACTGTATCCCCCATCTTATGGTCTCAGCTCCATTAAGATAATCAGCTGACCTATATCTGTAAGTCTGTCTCTCTCCAGGTGAACTCTCCCTTTCAAAGTTCCTTCATGCTTAAGGGTGGTAACAGCTCCCCATTTTTGCTGACCTGGGGTGCTTCACCATTCTTGTTGAGTTCTTTTCTTTTTTTTTTTAAGACTGTGTCTCACTTTGTTGCCCAGGCTGAAGTGCAGTAGCATGATCATAGGTCACTGCAGCCTCGAACTCCTGAGCTCAAGCCATCCTCCTACCTCAGCCTCCTGAGTAAACAGGGCTACAGGTATGCACCACCATGCCTGGCTACAGGCTGGTCTTGAACTCCTGGCCTCAAGCAGTTCTCCACCTCATCCTCCCAAAGCACTAGGATTATAGGTGCGAGCCACCACACCTGGCCTTGCTGGGTTCCCTAAATCTTACCCACACCTCTGTGAAAAATCTATGCAGTAAATGTATCTTCTTGGTCTTTGTGAGTGTGCCATCTCTTTCCCATGAGTACTCTGACTGATACAGTACTTTCCATATATTCCAAAATTTCTACAATAAGCATCCATCCCTATCTAACTCCAGGGAAACCTAAGGCTTCTGGTAGTCCCAAATTCTAATCCCACCAGTTCTGACCACTTGGACTGGGGTTCAGTTAGAAGAATCGCAATGTGGGACTCTTTGTCTTCAAGGTCTCACTTCACTGCCGCATGCTCCAGTGATTAATTAGTCCACTGCCAACCTTTTGACTCAAGCTGCTGGCTTCACCTGCACCTCTACATTTTGAACAGGAAGAAGAAAGATTCTGTTTACATTCAGCCTTCACCTATCTCAGCAGGAGGGAAGGAGAACAAGTTGTTCTGTCAGGAAGAATCGAAAAGATTAAACAAACAGCATACTGCTTCTGCGGGTCTAGTGTTGGCAAGACCAGGAACTCTGTAAACCACAAGAACAGAAGGGCAGCCTGCTGGTCAGTGCCCAGGCATCCAGCCCAGGGATCTGTTTTTGACAAGAGAATACAGAAGTATTTAGGCCTTGCCAATTTACACCTGTCTTCCAAACATCCGGACTTCCCTCATTAATCTATTAGTTCGGTGCAAAAGTAATTGCTGCTTTTGTCATTACTTTTAATGGCAAAAACCTCAATAACTTTTGCACCAACCTTTAATATTATGAACTGTCATCCAAGATTGTCCCTATATGCTTTTTGTTGCAGTGAACAGAGATGATGAGTGACGAGCATGCCAGATTGCCTCCTCTCTTACTATGTGATGAGGACCAATTTTAACCTTTCCAAGACTGACTGCAATTGTCAAATGGAGACGATAATGCCTACAGCATAGGATGGTTTTAAGGGTATATGTGGCCAGGCAGGGTGGCTCACACCTATAATCCCAGCACTTTGGGAGGCCAAGGCGTGTGGATTGCTTGAGCCCAGGAGTTCGAGATCACTTTGGGCAACATAGTGAAACCCCATATCTGCGAAAAGGTACCAAAACATTTGCCAGGCATGGTGGTGAATGCCTGTAATCCCAGCTACTCAGGAGGCTGGGGTGGGAGGATCACTTCAGCCTGAGAAGGTTGAGGCTGCAGTGAGCCATGATCACACCACTGTGCTCCAGCCTGGGCATCAGAGTGAGACCCTATCTCAAGAAGAATAAAAGGGCAAATGAAGCCATGCATACAAGGGGTGCCATCCCAAACACAGAGTCGGCATTCAATAATATGGTTTTGCTCCTTCTCTTTGTCTTCTTGAGATATTCTAGGTTTCCATATCCTCATCAAACTTCAATAGTCTGATCATCATGAAGAAAACTGCTTAGAACTAACATAAAGACTGAGTCGTTCACGTCAAGGAAAGTTTTTCTTGCTTCCTTTCACAGTTGCCCAGGATTGAGCATACAAGGTATAATAAAGTTAGTATTAAGGGCTAATTATTGAGGACTTATTACACAGACACTCTGCTGAGACTTTTTTCCATTTTATATTTATCAAATATATGTGTCCATATTTAAAGAGTCAAAGAGTTTTACAAATTTGTACGAAACACAGCAATTCCTACCCTTTGCCCCACATCTATCTTCCTAGCGGACTCCACTTTCAAATCTAAAAAGGGAATATTTTGGCATTTACCTTCACAATTCTGAACAACATATTTCTTACCACTTCTTCATTTTGTAGTTTAGACATAATCTATTGGCCTCCTTCTATGGATAACGATAATGGAACTTTTATTCATTCCCCTGCCCCATCACTGCACATCCTTTCCACTCCCTCGGGTACCTAATATAGCTATTTGGTAATTTTGTCAGATCGATATTGTGTTGGCATATGACTATGTAAACGCTGCTCACAGCTGAGTCATGTGTACACTAATTATTTTTATTTCCCGTGCAAATTTCCCCAGAGATAATTGTCTTGCTTTCTCATTCGTTTTGTTTTCTATGAACATACCACTAGTGCAACTCCAAACTCCCAGCCTTTGGTCTAAAACTCTTTTTAAGACATTTATGTTATCTGATGTTCTACCAATTTCCTATTCTTAGAGAAATCTTTCCTGGAGGTTTCTGGTATGCTCCAACCTGAATTGGTTGCCTTCTAGGCCTGTTGCATGGCTACTATCTTCAACATCTTCCTGTGGATTCTCTTTGCCTCTTCCTTGTGTTGGATCTCTTCTTTTCTGAATCTCATATCTTCCTTCTTATTGGTTTATTCCCTCTTTTGGGTGGAGTACATACTTTAGTATCTTCTTGGGAAAGGATATGTAGGAAATAAAATTGTTGAAACGTTGCTTACCTAAAAACAGGTTTATTTGACCCTCATGCTTTGTAATTATTATGGGAAATAAAGAAATGCTTTGTAATATTGTTTCGAGCAAAGAATTTAAGAACAGTAAAACAACAGCAATAAAAGCTTTTGACAACTCTTATTATCTAGACAACAGGAAACTCCTATCTTTAAAGTAAAAGAAACAAAACTGGGGCCAGCCCAAAGAAAAAGCATTTCTGATTTTCACATACACCTAAAATAGCTCCTATTGCCATTTTTTCACCATCTCTGCTAGAAAACTCACGTAAGGCTTGTCCACTCTCACACATGATTGACAGTCTGGCTGTGTATAGAATTCCAAGTGGCAATCATTTTTCTTCAAATTCTGAAAACATCCTTCCATTTGTCTTCCAACATCCAGTATGGCTTTTGAGAATTTCAAAATCATTCTGATTCCTGGGCCTTTGTGTGCAACTAGTTTCTCTCTCGCTTTCTTTTTCTCACTCTTTCTCGCTGCTAGTGTTCTGAGATATATGAGGCTTGTGTATTTTCAATCACTAATAGTAATAGCATTCCAGCTTCCAACTCCATGGCTCTCCCTATCTGGGAATTTGCCCTTCCGTTTTGAGAAATGTTCTTCTATTGTTTCTCCCCACGTGTTTTCTTTCTGGAACTCCCGATGTTCAGATCTTGAACTTCGTGAGCTGGTGGTCCTCTAAATTTTCTTACTTTCTATCATATTGTCTTTTTAACTCTACTTTCTAGATTTTCTTGTTTTCATTTTTCCTCAGCTGAATTCTCTAACTCTTGAGTTTTTCATCTCTGCCCTCGTTTTTAATTAAGAACTCTATTTTGTTTTCTAAATGTTCCTTTTTTAAAGCATCCTCTTCTTGATTTATGGATGTAATAATGATAGGAAATTTTTTTTTCTTTTCCCTGCATGGTTTCTATTTTTTACCAGATTGGTTTTTGTTGATGTTCACTTTGACTTCTGTCAATGGCTAAGCTTTCTCTTAACTCTGGTAATCCAATTGTCTGCTGTATTGAAGAATATGGAGAAAAAAAGAGACTAGAAGCTCTAAGTGTGCTATACTGTCTGTGAACTTTACCAGGTGATCGGGCTGGGCTGTTCCCTTGTAAAATGTCCACAAACCAGACCAGATTCCCGAGAGAAGACTCATTTCCTAGATCTCCTAGGAAGGAAAAAGGCCTGAAAGTCAATTCCAGAAGCTGAGTGAAAGGATAGTTGGGGGGAATCTTAGCAGCCAGAATGCATTCATTCATTTACACCCAGTGTTTTCAGTAGGATAAACCCACCTTCTGGAATAACTGAGCTACCCTCATCCACATACCTCTGCTTTAACCTTGCCAAAGAATGAGCTCCAGGTCTTTCGTTGGGATAAAGGAGGGGCGGTTGTCCAGCTGCATGCCACTGGGGAGGAAATGTGAGCCTCAAACTCTTCCTAAACAGTCTTTGAACCAGTCCTCCTGGGCTCTGATCCCATATTTTACCTCATTTTCTGGTACCAATTTCAATCTTTTGAGTCAGTGGTTTAAATCAGTTGATTTTTGGTTTTCCATGCTGCAGGCTTAGGACTCCATCTTCTCAAGTGTGTTAAGTCACTTAGCATTCCAGCTTCCACAAATTTGTTGCAACTGTCTCCTCTCCCATTTATTCATTCAAAACAACAACAACAAAAGCCCATCTCTTTTTAGTATCGTTTTAGTGGGGCTTAAGAGAGAACGGAAGTAAATAAGTAAAATGCATGAATTCCAAATGTCATCTTTACTCAGATATCCACTAAGCAATTTACATATGTGATTTCATTTACTCCTCACACATCTGCCCCCCCGCCCCGCCCCACCCAGACAGGTAGAATCATTATCCCCATTTCACATATGGGGATAATCAAACAGAAACCAAAGCTCAGAGATATTAATTTACCCAAGGATACACAATAAATAGATGGCATAACTGGGATTTGAAATTTCTGTACAATGTACAGAAATAGCATAGACCTAAGGAGAAAAACATATGGAAGCAACTCTAGATCTTGTAAATTGCATTTTCCTATAATCAGCAGATATTATGTGAAAACTGGCTAGATTCAAACTAAAACGCATTGCACAAGTATTTGTAGCATGGTGTTTTTGTCTTAAGCAATTGTTTAAAAGTTTGGATTATAATGGCATTTTATTGAATTGTAATATGATGGGTAACATTCTAAATAAAATACAATAAAGGAAGGAAACTGAAATTAGCTCCTTCAGTAAGCACTTGGATCAAGGGCAATGATAGATGATACATGATACATAGATAGATAGATAGATAGATAGATAGATAGATAGATAGATAGACAGACAGACAGACAGACAGAGTAGTATAAATTTAAGGAGCACAAGTGCAGTTTTGTTACATGGATATATTGCATAGTGGTGAAGTATGGGCTTTTAGTGTACCCATAACCCAAATAGTACACATTGTGCCCATTAAGTAATTTCTTCTTAGCCTCACCTCTGTCCCACCCTCCGCCCTTCCAGGTCTCCAGTGCCGATTGTTCCACACTCTATGCCCATGTTTACCCATTATTTAGCTCCCACTGGTAAGTGAGAACATGTGATATTTGACTTTTTGTTTCTAAGTTGTTTCACTTAAGATAATGGCCTCCAGTTCCATCCATGTTGCTGCAAAATACATTATTTCATTCTTTTTATGGCTGAATAATATTCCATTAAATATACTGGAATATGCCACATTTTCTTTATACAACCATCTGTTGATGGACACAAGTTGATTCCATAGCTTTGCTATTGTGAACAATGCTGAAATAAACCTACAAGCTTTTTGATATAATGATTTCTTTCCCTTTGGGTAAATACTCAGTATTGGGATTGCTGTATTGAATGGTAATTCTATTTTTAGTCCTCTTTGAGAAATCTTGTGTACCATTTTCCATAGAGCTTGTACTAATTTACATCCTCACCAACACTGTATAAGCATTCTCTTCTCCACATTCTTGAAGGGCAATAATATTATTAGAGGAACTTCAGCTGGTAAAATAAAGCAGTTCTAACATTCATACTTCTTATAATTTGAGTATGTAAAATAAAATTTTCTCTCACAGTTCTTGATTATCTTTGTTTTCCTCAAGAGTTTGAGGGAGTGAGAAAAGGCTTATAATGTTTTCTTTTACAAGAAGGGATCTATTTTAGCATAACATTAAAAAGGCATATCTCTCACGCTTCCTCTCTCTTTCTCTTTTTCTTTTTTTTTTTTTATTTAAATATGCTCTTCATGTCTTTCAACTGATTGGATGAGGCTCACCCAGATTATTGAGGATAATCTCCTATACATAAAGCCAATGTTAACCACATCTACAAAATTAACTCCACAGCCACACCTAGATTAGGGTTTGATTGAATAACTGGGTGCTATTGAGAGGTGAAGCCAGCTGAACTTCTGGGTTTGGTGGGGACTTGGAGAACTTTTCTGTCTTACAAGAGGATTGTAAAATACACCAATCAGCACTCTGTAGCTAGGATTGTAAAACGCACCAACCAGCGCTCTGTGGCTAGCTAGAGGTTTGTAAAATGCTCCAATCAGCACTCTGTAAAAACACACCAATCAGCACTCTGTGGCTAGCTAGAGGTTTGTAAAATGGACCAATCACCACCCTGTAAATTGTGCCAATCAGCACCCAGTAAAATGGACCAATCAGCAGGACACAGGCGGGGACAAATAAGGAAATAAAAGCTGGCCACTCCAGTCAACAGCAGCAACCCGCTCAGGTCCCCTTCTACACTATGGAGGCTTTGTTCTTTTGCTCTTCCCAATAAATCTTGCTGCTGCTCACTCTTTGGGTCCACACCACCTCTAAAAGCTGTAAAACTCACGATGAAGGTCCACAGCTTCATTCCTGAAGTCAGCAAGACCATGAACCCACCAGAAGGAACAAACTCCTGACACACTATAGTGTAGCCTAGCTGACCACCACAGTCTTCAAGCTCATTGTTGATTCACACTTAAGTTGCATTCTCAGATACCAGCTTTCCTTAGCACATAGTAGGTGTTCCAGATGTTCTGATTTGAGTAAGTGCCTGAATGATGCACTCCATCTGCTTACTCTTCTCAATTTGTTTGTAACTCAGTAGGCATGAAAAGATACAGTTTATCATAACCCCTCAAACTCTCTGTCCTCTCCATACTCTCCAGTCTGAGTCCAGTAAGTTCAAGGAATGATAGAAGCCAAAACTAGAGGAAAATTGTCCCATAGAACAAAGAGGGTCCCTAAAGTGGGATTGTCTGCAGCCAACAGCAATGTGGAAAGAAAAGACATGTCTGCCTGGTGAAGGACTTTGGACAAAGTTGGCAAGTTGCCCTTGGCCTCAGAGTGGAACAGGAGAGCAATCAAATGTTTTTCGTGACCCTAAATGGGGAGCAGCACTAGCTGAGGGAGATCAAAGCTGGAAAAGCTGGGCTTCCTGAAGTGAAGGACAACACAGCAGCCTCAATCAATGATCCAGGCCAGGTGGGACATTCTCAGCAAATGACAGCCATGAGATTTGAGGATGCAAGACTTGATACCCCTCCTCTATAAAGCTGTAACCTCAGTAGGGATCCAAGAAATTAGACACAGCCCTAAGAGAAACATGCAGAAATGAGCAGAATAGACCCCAAATAGATCAAAATTCTGTCCCACCCTCTGCCGTCCCTCTCAGAATGGAAAGTCAACAGCAAAATTAAGTTTGGTGGTGAAAAAATAACTTTACATTTTCTTCACATCAATTTGTGGGGCAATATGCATACTTGGCTACACACACAGACTGGCGGTGTGGACTGCAAATGATTTAGTCTGAAAGCTCCAGCCCCACGGCCACCCTTTTTTTAACTAAATAAAGCTTTTTGATCATTCCATAGATTAGACCTGGGCTAAAAGAGTGCCCCAAGTTGTCTAGGATCTATCTTCCCAGCAACTGAAGAAAGAATAATGTCTATTATTGGAGCAGGAAAAGGTAGATGTGTGCTCTAACCCAGCAAAGAAGCATATAGGTGCCTTGCTTTATCAAGAAGCGGATGGCCGGCCAGTTTGGGGAGGTGTTTTTTCATTGCATACAAAATATGAAATTTTCAGCCAGGCACAGTGGCTTATGCCTGTAATCCCAGCACTTTGGGAGGTCAAGGTGGGTCGATCACTTGAGGTCAGTAGTTTGAGACCAGCCTGGGCAACATGGCAAAACCCCTTCTCTACTAAAAATACAAAAATTAACCAGGCATGGTGGTGCACGACTGTAGTCCCAGCTACTTGGGAGGCTGAGACAGAAGAATTGCTTAAACCTAGGAGGTGGAGGTTGCAGTGAGCCAAGATGGTGCCGCTGCACTCCAGCCTCGGTGACAGAGTGACTCTACTCATGGTAGAGTCACACAATAAAATAATAATAATAGTAATAAGACTAAGTGATCTACAACTACACTTAAGAACTACACTTAAGAACTTGGATGAATCTTACAAAGAGTTTAGTGAAAGAACACAGAAAGAAAAGTGTGTGCACACTATGATTCTTTTTATATAAAGTATAAACGTGTGAAAAAATAGACGAAACTATTCAGTGCCATTAGAAGTCAGAAGAGTGGCTTCCCTTGTGGGAACAGTGACTGAAAAGGAACGCAAATGGGGCTTGAGGCACTAGAAATGCTCGGTTTGTCAATCTGGGTCATAGAGGCATGAGTATTTTCAGGTTGTAAAAGTTCAACAAACTGTAGACTTATCTCATGTGCACTCCTCTGTACGTAATACTTCAATAAAAAGTTTAAAATATGTATCTTCTAGATTGTCTACTATATTGGTGTCGTTGAAAGTAGGACACACCTTTCATGTCAATGTGTGACTATATATGGATTCAGATTCTCCAAAAATGAATTCCCCAAATGTAGCTTAAAATTATTTTATTGAGTTCTGCTAGCCATGAGTTCTAGTTACAGTTGCCTTAAAATTAAAATAATATATTTCTTAAGGTTTTGCTAGAAACATGAGGCCAGTCTAAAAATAAAATTTGGAGTATTGCTACCCTTGAATATCATCTACAATGTCTTGGTTAAATAATCAAAGTACTGGTAAATAATCTGATGAATAATCAAACTACTGTTTATTAGATAACTAGCATATCTTGGGTTCTATATGAGTCTCTGGTGGGAAGGAAAATGGGCACTTTGGCTATTCTCAGGGAATGTAAGTTCTGGTGAGATATACTTCAACTTAACCAGTAACAGGGAACTCATTATTTCACAAGGAATCCTATTCTACTCTGGTAACTTTGATTGTTAGAAATGACTTTCTTACATTAAAATGAAATCTCTCTCCCTGTGGCTTCCTGTTTGGTCTCTGAAGTAACAAAACAAACTTCCGTGTCTCCTGAGGCACACTTAGTTTAAATTAAATACCCTGTGTCCTTTTCACCATACCTTATTTGACACTGTTTCAAATCCCTCACTTTCTGGCCACCCTCTTGGGACAAGCTCCAGATTGGCAAGATTTGTTTCAAAGTATTGGACTCAGAGCCAGACACAATATTGCAGCTGAGACTTGATCTACAGCAGGATTTCTCAAGGATTGGCACTATTGAGGTTTTGGGCAGGAATCATTCTTTGTTGTAGGCCTCTCCTGTGCATTGTAGGATGAGTAGTTGCATCCCTGGCTTCCACCCACCAGATGCAAACAGCAAACCTGCACCAGCTGTGACCATCAAAAATGTGTCCTGACATAGCCAAAGGTCCCCTGGGAGGCAAAATTGTCCCCAGGTAAGAACAGCATGATCACCAGGCTTCCAGTCTAGATGTTCGACATCTACCCTTAAGCCATTAAGTTGCCAATGTTGCATGGCTTCTTAGGCACTAACTATAAGGTCATTCTTGCTTGCAGGTACATCACCCAAAATAAAGACATACATAAATATTAATATAATAAAGTGGAATAAAAAGGCAGTCCTCAAGAGAAAAACAGTTTGCATAGAGTCCCCACGAAGTGGAAACTCTCTTGCCACTCTCTGTAAAATACAGTTGAGAGTTTTATTTTATATCCATGTCTCTTCCAGAAGAGAATGATCACAGTAGAATTCAACAGATAAATTGAGTCTCTATGACCAGATAAAGGAGAACCAGGATTCAGAAACAAAGTATGTATAATTAAACATAAAAGTATGTTTAATTCCACACCAAACCCATCTCCTATCCCATTATGATGAGGCAGGAAAACTAATAGTTTATGGAAAGGAGAGACATGCAGTAGACCATGAGGTTCTTAAAATCCTCAAGAGTCTTACAGGTAAGAATCAAAAATCTGGTCTTGATTCTATGCTTAATAAGCATATCTTGCAACTGAATGAATAATAACCCAGTGGGTAAAAAGCAGGCAGAGAAATTAGCAGGCAGTGTGGTTTTACTGTGGAATCCAAGGAGTATCTTAATCAGTCTGATTTTAGTTTAGCGGGTAGACTTTTGAAATGAGCAATAGATTGGATCTTAGATACTTTGTAAACTATAGAAATTCAAGTTTGTTGCTTAACAGGGATTCGTTGGTGCATTCTAGAATTCTCTTTATAAAATGAGATCAGCTTGTCGCCAAATTACTCTTCTGGAATAGGGTGGAGTAAACACTTAGCACAAAAAGATAAAGTTATCTGCTCATTTTTCTTCTGTCTAGAGTAAGTGCTCTTTGAGTTGTCTCATTCATTTGAGAGGGAAAGAAAACACAGTATTTTGGTTTGGGTGTGCATAACTAGAGGAATTCCTTAAAGCTTGGGGTGGGAAGCGGGCAGTGAAAGGCCGATGGTTGATTCTTTTGTTTGGTTTTTATTGTGCATGACTAAATGTATTAGACATGTTGGATCACAGAGAATATGCGTCCGTGAATCACGGCGCTGTTGAATTTGTATGTGTCTTGCCTGCTAATATCAGTTGCTCTTTCCAGCAAAGGCCTCCCTACTCACATGATATCAGAGTTACTTTAATAAAATTAGAGACACAGCATGCTATGTGAGTCTTCTGTAAGAAATAAGAGATCCTTCCCAAAACGATGCCTGGCGATTTGCTTTTTTTCTTCAAAACAAAATAGCAAAGGACCAGGGATGGGGAAGTAGGAAGCATGGTGCAGGAAAGGGAATAATGAACATAATGGGTTTTAGGAACTACTCTTTATGGCCCACACCAAACTACAAGTAAAAGCACGTTTTTAAAAATTTAATCTTTTCAACAAAAATACATTGAGTCTCTACTATGTTAAAGGGGTTTGGCTTGGCTAGGGTATGTTCCCTATGATTTCTGGAAAGCTACTGATTCAAAGGACAGACCATTCACTAAATGCATGGGTTTCTTTTTATTCTTTTATGGATGGAGTAGTAATAAAGTATTGCACTGGGCTACCACTAGACACCAGGGGGAGAAATCTGAACGTCAAAAGGTTTTCATCAGCTTTATTATCATTCCTTGGGAGAAGAAAAATGAGATTTACTTAATCGCAGAAGTATGACAAATTTCTTTCTTCAAATCTCGAAATGTTTTTCAGTGAAGATTTTCAATTGAGAGAGATTATTATTGTTGGAGGGGGAATCCCTGAAAACGCCCGTGTTTGAAAATCCCTCACCAAGAGGATTACTGCTAGCTTTATTGCTATGTCACAAAGCCAGGTGCTTTGTTGTTTAAAACAACGATAATATGGTCTACCAGACCAGGAGCCAGTGGTCAGATAGTGCTCCTGGCCTTCTCTGTACTATGCAACCTTGAATTTGTCATTTTATTTCTTTATGCCTTGGTTTCCCCATTTGCAAAAGAAGGGCTTTGGGCTAGATTATCTTTAAGGCCGCAACAGCTCGAAGAAATCTTAAGATTAAATTTGTTCCTGCCTGCCAGCCAGATATCACTCTAAGCAAACATATTTGCTCCACTGAATGGCTGTGTTTTTCCACACACATAATTGAAGATATTTTATACCTGAAGTTACAATTTCATCACTTACCTACCCCATATCATTTAAGGTCTCCTCATTCTGCTTTGAAGTTCAAAGAAAGAGAAGACTCTGTATAATGAGAATGGCCCCTTTGAAATGCTCCCTTTCGCAGCTGCAAGCTTGGCAGATCCTGCACTGCACGAAGGCGAGGAGGCTATTGTGATGCAGATGTGCTCCAAAGTGCATCTGCAGCAAGAACATTTCCATGGGTCTTTACTGTATTTCTTCTATTATTCATAGAACACAATGTAAATGAAGCCATAAATTTTACCCCCCACACTAGATGGAGAAAGAAGATAATGGAAATTGTGAATTATGAATGAATCACTGTTATTGTAATTCCTTAAGGATTCTGATGGAGATGATTAAATTCATGCAAAGACACAGATTCTAAACTTTTATGCCTGAGTGAGTCCCTAGTAATGCCTCTTGGAATTTCACAAGGAATGGAATAGAGACGATCTTGGTGTTGCATTTACCTGCCAAATTATCTCACAGATAATCTACCTAGGCCTGGACAGATCACCTTATTAAAGATAAAGAATTCATTCCCGGGGGAGGAGAGGATGTTGCAAAATATATGTGTCTTGCAACTACTCAGACATATTGCTTAGGATCCTAAACACAAAACATTTGAAACCCCTAACCCTGAGTCCTTGGAATGTATTCTTTTAGAGAACTGGAGGGAGAAAGAGCAAAATAAGTAGGAGTCAATATCTTTCTTAAAAAGATAACCCTGGCCAGGCATGGTGGCTCACACCTGTAATCCCAGCACTTTGGGAGGCCAAGGTAGGTGGATCACTTAAGGTCAGGAGTTTGAGACCAGCCTGGCCAACATGGTGGAACCCTGTCTCTATTAAAAATAAAAAAATTAGCTGGGCATGGTGGCCCACTCCTGTAGTCCCAGCTACTCAGGAAGCTGAGGCACAAGAATCACTTGAACCCGGGAGGCGGAGGTTGCAGTGAGCCGAGATGGCGCCACTGCACTCCAGCCTGGGAGACAGAGGGAGATTCTGTCTAAAATAAAATAAAATAAATAATGCAAATTTTTTTTCCTTCTAAATAACAAAAATTCTGGAGAACAATAATTCTCTCAACCATGGTACTCAATTCTTCTTAATAATGACAGTAGACCACAAGATTCAGAAGCCATTCTGGTTCTGATGGTGATAGAAAGTGATCAGAAGTATTTTACTGATCTGAGACAAAGTCTCTGGAAAATTTCAACCTTAATCCACTTTTGCCCTGTGCCAGGCTTTTAGAAGGTGATAAGCCCCCTAAATGAGATTTGAGATGATATTTAACAGTTCAAGTGCCATTCCAGAAAGAATTCTCTTTTGCAGAACCCCAAAATAGATCTTTGACATTTTTATACAACCGAATATGCATGGATTGATAAAGATTTAGGCACATGCAGACTTCTGTTCAGTCGCTGCTTTCTACTCTCGAACACAAAATAATTTAAGATTTAGAATGTTTCAGGGTGTGAAAGGTAGGAGTGGAGATTTTTTTTTCTAAATGATATTAAATATTCACCAAAATTTAGTAGATGCAAGATGAACTAGGAGTTCTTGAGCAGCCAAAATCCCTTCCCTGAGCCTCAACATCCTTGTCCACAAAATGAAAAATTTGGACTAGAGGGTCTCTAGGTAATGTCCAGCTATAACCTTCCCAGTTCTTGAGAAGAAAGCAAAAAGTGATGCAAATGTTCTTCCTTTATTATCGATGGGGCCTGAGCTATGAGGAGTTTTAGAGGCTAGGACCTCGTCTGTGGTCTTGAGGGCTCACAAGTGTCCTAGAGCCTTAATAGGGGGTTTTCTATATAGGGTAAAATTTGGGGGCCCAGCAAGGTTGCTGTAGCTGCTGGCCAAGGGGAGTCTTTGCCAGGTGCCAGAGGTAAGGGCAGTTAATGATCTAAAGATGCTGGTTTCTCAGCCCCTCCGAGCTGCAACCGTGCTCACTTGATCAGGTGCTGAAATGGAGGCCAGACAGTATCTTAGAGAAACTCCTGTCGGATCCATCCATATGGGACCTCCAGTCTGCTTCCTTCAGCACAGGTCCCATCATCCATCTCTCTCCTTCCTCATGAACCCTCCTGACAACTCCAAGGTATCAGTCACCATCCAACCAGGAAAACAGAACTTGGGCCAACTTGAGAGCATTGAATGTGGAGAATGAGTAACAGAGGTGTTAGAAAAGCTGAAAACACATCAGGGGACATTGAGGCAACCTGGAGAGTTGCAGGAACGCAGGATGGAGGAGGTGTTCCCAGAGCCCAGGTGTTCCCTACAGATAAGAGCCAGAGTGGGGGTAGCTGCCTACTGGGAGCTGGAGCCATGGTAATGCAGCTACTGTCAGAGACGCCACCAGAAGCAGAAAAATGAGGGAGAAATATCCTAACTCCCTCCTCTCACCCTCAGACAGAATGTCTATGGCTCGCCTTGGGCAAATCTACCCAGAAGCCAGAGGAACAAGAGAACCTGGGGGATGGGATGGACTCTGTAGGAATCAACCCTAAGACAGGAACCAGAGGAGCAGAAGGATGAGAAATGAACCTCACAGCAAACAGGAAGTGACCCCATGCCGGGATATCCCTTCCAGCACAAGGAACTGTGGTGTTTCTCTTGTAGGCAACTCTAATCCTTCTGTTTCTCCCAGGCCTACGCTTTTGGAACTCAAAACCAAGAAGAGACAGTGGAGGAGGTAAAACTTTCCCTTTACCTTCTGAGGGTTTGATCACTGAGTCTGTGAAAGAAATTATTACTAGCCGGATTAACAGGAGAAAAAGTGTACAAATTTAAGAGAATACTCAAACCCCAGTGAGATCTGGAAGCTTGTACATGCTCTTCACAGAGGAGATGGAAGGGGGGATGCAGGCAAGTTAGGGGAGAGTAAGTGATTTGGGGAAAAGATGATTGAGACCACAGAAGAATAGGGGACAGGCCAGATGCAGTGGCTCATGCCTATAATCCCAGCACTTTGGGAAGCAGAGGTGGGCAGATCACTTGAGGTCAGGAGTTTGAGACCAGCCTGGCCAACATGGTGAAACCCCGTGTCTACTAAAAATACAAAAAATTAGCCGGTGTGGTGATGCATGCCTGTAATCGCAGCTACTTGGGAGGCTGAGACAGGAGAATCACTTGAACTCGGGAGGTGGAGGTTGCAGTGAGCTGAGATCGCACTACTGCACCCCAGCCTGGGTGACAGAGTGAGACTGTATCTCAAAAACAAAAGAATAGGTGGCAGCCTGTGACAAAGGCTACCTGGCCATGATCATGACCCCCAGTCTTCTCTCCTGTGATACAAATCAATCTTCCCTGCTTGGTGGGATTCCTGGGAAGGGGATTCATGACTATTGAGTCCCTTTTGGAGGACTGTCATTAGGTAAATAAGGGACGTTCCAAGAAAGTCTCTGCCTATCATCGCTCTTCCCCACATGCCCTCACTTCAAAGTAATTAACATGCCAAAACATCATATTTTCCGGTGGTATTTCCTGAACTCCTTCGAAACTCTTGTCTCTGAATCTCTGCAAAGGCAGTGAAGATGGAGAGCCAGGCTCAATGAATGGAGAAGCACGAAGAGCTGTAGAGAAACACAGAGACTAAAACCACGTGATTAATACTTTCAAAATGTTATACCATGGCATGTTATTTTCCACACTCACTTGGATTTGCTGGTCTCAGAGCCCTGTTGCCTGCTACAATAGCCTCCTAACCGTACTTCCCATCACTGACACCCTGCATTAAAATTAACTTTTTACATGTGGAAAATCCCCATCAACTTTACATCACAGACATAGCCCATATTAATTCTTCATATGTTCCAATTTGATAACACCAGGAGACAAATACCTATGACTCATTCCTCAAAAGGTAGAAGTCCTTTCCCACCCTCATCCCTCATTTCTATTTTCTTTTTTTTTTTTCTTTTGAGTCTCGTTCTGTCGCCCAGGCTGTAGTGCAGTGGTGCAATCCTGGCTCACCACACGCAACCTCTCCTTCTAGGATTCCAGCAATTCTCCTGCCTCAGCCTCCCAAGTATCTGGGATTATAGGCACGTGCCACCACACCCAGATGATTTTTGTATTTTTAGAAAAGACGAGGTTTCACCATATTGGCCAGGCTGGTCTCAAAATCCTGACCTCAAGTGATCCACCTGCCTTGGCCTCCCAAAGTGCTGGGATTACAGGCATGAGCCACTGTGCCTGACTCCCACCCTCATTTCTTACTCAAGGTGTTGGGTCACACTTCTATAATGCCCACTGCTTCTCCCTTTGCAATGTGATTCACACTTGTACTTATCCCTACAAAAGCTGTCTTTCCCTGCATTATTAAGCTTTAACATGTTAGGGACTGTGTCAATGTGATTCACCAATATATTTCTGTTTCCATAGTACCTGGCGTTTAGCAGGCATTTCATCAATATTTGTGGAATGAATGGATGAATGAATGAAGGAAAGAACAAAGCCAACCTATAGGACTGCCTTCAAGCATGATGGAGAGACACTTTCCTCTTCGGAAAGATGGCGCTTCACATAGAGAAAGAAGGAAGTGCCAAAGATATCATGAGTCCCAAAGTTATCTACCTGCTGACCCACCATGGTGATGAAATTCTTTGCACAGATTCACCTCTTAGGACCCACATGCATAGTCCCCAAGAAGCACCTATTAAGTACAAGTTGTTAGTTAAGTAGCATATTTAGGCCATACCAGAAAAGAAAGTAGTTGACAAGGATGAAATGAACATTCTGAGGCCACTGAAGCTACCGGATTTAGGCTTGGGAATAGCTGCTTCAATTAAAATAATTCTTTCCAAGTACAATTTGCAAATGTAATTTTTATGTCTGACTCTCCTTAAAAATCTTTCACCTTTTTATGAAATTTCCATAATTACTTTTTGACAGGAAAGTTTCCTTTTCCAAAAACTGTGAGTTTCCGAAATACCAGTGATTTCTTCCTCAGTCCCATGGTTCTTAAAGTAAGATGAAGCAAAGGTTTTGTTTAGACAGAAGGCTTAAATCAACGAATAAGTACATAGGTATTTACAAACCGCCTAAAGTATTAAAATATGAGTAGAAAGAACAAGGAATTCAAGGAAGAGTTTCCCAAGTGTGACAGCTCCTCAAAACCATCTCAGATTGTTTGAGCTCATATTTCCAAGTCTCTGCCTAGAGATTCCGATTTGATAGGCTGGGACTGCAGCCCATGAGTCTGCATCATAAAGCTCCCCAGTGATGCCAATGAGCAGACATTTGAGGTCCCACTAAGCTCTCTTCTGACTTTGATGTTCTAATGGTCCCAGTCTTTTCATAGCAACAAGCACTTGCTCCAGAAACCCCTACTTTGTAAGGGGACCATGAAAAGGTGAAGGTTCTCCCCCTACAGGGCTCTGCTTAGAGGGTCTCATCAGTGATAACAACAGCCACTGTTCACAGAGTGCTTTCCACACACAAAGTCTTGCTCTCAGCATGCACACACACATGACTGAGCTAAGGGCTTTCCAAACACTACTAACTTAAAGGGTTTTTTCAACACTACCTTAATTCTTTCAGTAAGCCTCCCATGTAAGTCTAATAACCTCCCTTCCATGAAGGGACCAACCCAGGCTTAGAGAGGTTGAGAAGCTTGCCCAAGTCCCCTATCTTGTGAGTGGTATAAGCAGGATTTGAACTCACAGCTGTCTGATTCCAAAGCCATACATTTAGCCACTGTTCTGGCCCATCTACCATAACAAAGGGCAGGCGATTCCCATTTATACACAGGTGCTGGAAACAGGGACAAGATTCAAATCCCAACCCCTCCTCTCAACAAGAAAGGAACCACAAAGTAAGCAAAGAGACACAGAAAGGTAAGCACATCCACTTCTTTTCCACACAAAAGTCCTGCTACAAGCATTATTCACAGCAGCCAAACAGCAGAAACAATCTGCATTTTCATCAGCAGATAAATGGGATAAAGGCAGGGTGGCATATACAGGCCATGGAATATTATTCAGCTTTAAAGAAAGAATGTATCATGTTCTAATACATTCTACAACATGGATGAACTTTGAAAACCTACGGTAAGTGAAATAAGCCAGACACAAAATGACAAATATTGTAGGACCCCATTCATATACTCATCAGGTACTTAGAATAGGCAAATTCCTAGGGACAGAAGGAGACTGGAAAATAATGATAACTCCCCGTTCTGCATCTGGGGGAGGGTGCATGGGGAGTTATTTTTTAATGAGCACAGAGCTTCTGTTTAGGGTGATGAAAAAGTTCTGGAAATGGTTGCACAAGACTGTGGATGTAGTCAATACCATTGAATTTTATACTTAAATATGATTAAAATAGTACCCAAAAAATCACAACCACAAGCATACTAGAGATTAATCACAGAAATACAAGAATGATTTAATATTATAAAATCCATACATGTAACTGACTTTAATAGATTAAAAGAGAGAAAATATTTTTTAAAAAACACCCTGTTACCATCACTGAGCCCAAAGCTATTTCCTATGCTAATGACTGCCAGTCAACTCTGCCTGAAATTTTTAAGCAGGCCGTAAAGTCAGGTGTCAACAGGAGAACATTATAAAAATGGCACTAGATAAGGGTCATTTGTAGAGCTTTCTATTCCTTTATTTTACATTTTTCTTCTGTTTGTCCAGAGAAATCAATTCAGTAAACCTATGGACTGTCTTTTAAAACGTGAATTATGGGGTTATTTAAGTTCTCATCGCTGGAAATTCTTTTTCCCTTAGCACTTCCAGTTTCACTATTCCCCAAGACTTCAAATTACAAATGTTTCAACAAAGTAAACTTTCTAATGTACAGTGGATTTCCATTTTTTCCCCATCACAAATAGTGTGGTGTTCCCCACTCACCTGTAAAGAGACTTTAATACAGTAGTTCTCTACAGCTCTGAAGGAGGATAGATGAAAGTGTAACAAACTGTAAAATCACAACCTGTATGAGACTGCAGAGGGACATTCACCAAATTCTAAAAAGCCAAGGTCTAGGGAACGTCTGCTTTTAAGTACCAAAGAGGTAGTAAAAAATAAAAACCAAAGAAAAATGAAATGGTTTACTCAACATCCAGCGGCATAATGAATTTACAAATAGTCAGACTCCGTATGTAAATACCACCATGGCTGTGGGGAAGTTTGTGGATGACACCTTCATTCTGGATTCTTGAATAAATGGTCAATAATTATTATTGATATATCATTTAAATTTAAGTAACTTAGAATGAATAATATTTCAAGAGGCCCCTCCCCCTTCCAGACAACTGCAGTATTAAGGGAGGCTAGATTAATTCACGGATCACACAGCAATAATTGGACACCAACGAAAGGAGTCTGTGGGTCACTTCAAGTTGCCACCTGAGAATATCTATTAGTATAGAAACCTGACCACAGTACATCCAGACCTTGGTGTTCTTGCGAGAGAATCCTGTCCTCCTCCCTTGATCACTGTGCTCTGCCCACACTGGCCTCCTCTCTGATTCTAACAGGTCAAGTTCCTGCCTGGGGGCCTTTGCACGTGCTGTTTCTTCTGCCTGGAATGATTTCCCTAGAGAACTTGACATGTTTCTAATAAGTATTTAAATGGCTCTTCTTCTGAGTGTCTTCACTTACTCCAGAATAGGCTAGGCCCCTGTGCTTCATACCCTCCCAATACCCTGTACCTGATGCCTAAAAGCCCTCGTCACAACTGAAATTAGTAGGTTAGGTAATTAGCCCATGTCTATCTCCCCCACTAAATTATCAACTCTGTGACAGCAGAAATGACTTTGTATTTATCAAGACCAATGATATATTTTGCAGGGCACAGTGCGAAATGAAAATTTGGGGCCTTTTATTTGAAATTATTAAAAAATTCAAGATGGTGACAGTAGAACAGTAAACCAAGCACAAGGCTCTCCTAAGCTTGTGGTCTTAGGCAATTGCACAGGTCATCCGCCCATGAAGCTAGCTCTGATCTTTATTATTCACCACTGTATTCACAGCGCCTAGCCCAGGGTTTGGTGCATAATAGGTGCCCAGTAAGTATTTATTCATAAGTAGAGTATATGAATTATCTGACATTCTCCTCCTTCTTTGTTCCATCCATCTCCTATGGTTTCAAGCCAGGAAACATGATCCCTGCTATGGTCACTCCATTGCAACCAGCTTTGCACGTTTTTCTTTAAAAGTCAGAAATTTCTCTAGCAGCTTCATCCTCAATCCCTAAGATTGAGATTTCTCAGAAGTCGCAGCTGAGAAATGTATTTTTGTGTTTCCTTAAAGGAGACTCCAGTGCATCCTTCAGTGAACTGTTCTTGAAGGGGAGGGAAAAATCAATGCTTTCAGATAGCATTACCTTGCCCTGAATAATCCTGAAGCTGCCCATGACTTACTGTAGAGGATATAATTGAAGTGAGGATAAACTGCACACCATTTCAAAGTCTACTAAATTGAAACCGTTCTTTTTGTTGACACATGCTTGGGAAGCTGTAGATAATGTGATTTAAAATAAATACACTAGCCCAGTATACTTATATAATTGAAATAAATATGGAATAACCCATAGAGTCCGTGGGCAGTTGGGCAAATTAACCCCTTGTGTACCAGGTAACAGGACCCCTGCCTAAAAAGGAGGACCTGGCAGCAAGTAGATTTTAGAAAGCAGAAGAGGTCACACATCCTCAAATGAGATGGACTCTTTCAAATATTTAGTTTTTAGAGACTTGGCATGAGTTTGTTTAGGAAAATGTTGCCAAATGATGAATTCTCTTTTGACTCTCCCACCATGCAATTCTGCTTAGTCAATATTAAGGGCTCCTGATGCCAGGGACAATAGCTACAGAGGAATTTTTTAAAGAGAGAGACAGAGGAAAAAGGGGGAATGCAAAGAATCCATTCTCCTCCTTCTTCTGATGGTCTCCAGAGAACAGAGAGAAAAACACCAAAAGCTGCATTAAAATAGTTTCATCAGAGTCCTTTGGGGGATATTCCAATGTGTACCTTCTCAGTCTGGATGTACCCCCAAGAGCCAATGGGGTGTGCATCTATCAGTTCGGTTGCATCAGAGAAGAAGAACCACCATGAGTGATAGGACAGGTTGCTAAAGGATTTCGGTCATCAGAGAACATGGTTGCCAGTTATTGGTCTGTGAAGGTCTTTTGCCCCTGTGTCTGCTCCTGAAGTCAGCAGACCTGGCCGTTGCAAAGGGAAGATGGCCATGAAGCGAAGGTGAATAAGAACAAGATGCAACCGGAAGAACATTCTAGAACCATGAGGAGGAACTGGAACTGGGGTCTGACTCTCACCACCTCCAAACCTCCAGCGTTATTGATACAGGTGATCTGCAGGAGAGCTGGTGCCCTTCACCCTGGGCCACACACAGGCCTGATCCAAGATTCTGAAAATCTGAGGAAGGACCTGGTGGGGACAGGAGGCATTGTGGCCCTACTGCTGGTCCACCCCAGCAATGGAAGCTAGCAGACAGAGACATCCAGTGTGAGCAGATGCTACAACTATAAAACAAAAGTATCCTAATAACCACTGCTCTTATTACATAGAAAGGATTATATGACAAAATGCTTTCCTTTTCTTTCCACCTGGGATGTTGGCTACAAATACGGTTGCAGACATTTTGATACAATCTAATCCAGGTATGGAGGACACATATATGAAAGAGGGCAGAGTATTTGCCAAAAAAAAAATTGAATCTGCAAAGAAAGACAATATTTGTCCAGAGAAAGACAACATTAAAGATTTTTCGCTGGTCACAATTTTTAACTTGTAGGATACGTGACATGAAGTTGCATTGATTTATGAAAGAGCTGGCCCCATCAAAATGGCCTGCCTCTGTTGGCTTACATTCTAGATATGTGTGTGGGTGTGGGGATAAAGAGTGTGGAAGAGGAGAGACCATAAATTCAAACAGAAAAGTAAAGTAAAATAAAATGGAGTGTATTCGTCTGTTCTCACGCTGCTGATAAAAGACATACACTAGACTGGGTAATTTATAAAGAAAAAGAGGTTTAATGGACTCACAGTTCCACGTGGCTGGAGAGGCCTCACAATCACGGCAGAGGGCAAGGAGGAACAAGTCACATCTTACATGGCAGAAGGGAAGACAGAAAAAGAACCAATGAAAGGGGTTTCCCCTTATAAAACCATCAGATTTCATGAGATTATTCACTACCATGAGAACAGTATGGGGGAAATCACTCCCGTGATTCAGTTATCTCCCACCGGGGCCCTCCCACAACACATGAGAATTATGGGAGCTACTATTCAAAATGAGATTTGGGTGGGAATACAGTCAAACCATATCATGGAGTTAGGCTATAGAAAGTCAATGAGGGCTAAGGGGGCCCTGTCCACTGGGACGGCCACACAAAAAGGTAACTGTGGCCTGGATGAAGAAGAGCCTGCCATATGCCCTACAAGAAGAGTTCCCTGCAGAGGGAAGAGGAAACACAAAGGCTCCAAGTCAGGAAACTGCCTTGGCTCATTGCAAGTGTCACTGCATCTTCACAATTAAGGGGGACTATGGTGTAAAATGTGGCTGGAGAAGTAGGTGGGTGCCAGACGGCAAAGTACCTTACTGCCTGGTTTCATATGCCATAAGGAGTTATGGTTTTACTCCCATTGTTATGGGCTGACATAGTGTTACCCATAATACAGGTGGGTTTGGCCACTTGGCAGGTGACAGTCCAATGACCACAACCAAGAAGGTTTTAACAAGGGGATTTTATTACTTGGAACAAGTAAGCAGAATACTGGGGATGGTTCCCAAAGCAGGGTCTACCTGAACCCAGGTGAAAACAGGGCTTCTATTGGGCTGGTGAGTTGAGTCATCCAATGTAGAGGTGGGGTAAAGTTGGTGAGGGCATAGTCATCACTCATGCTCCTACACATGTCACATGTAAGCTGCTCCCTGTGCAGGGATTTTAGTACAGCAATACAGAGAGGTTGCCAAGTTTATCTCCAACTCAGTCATCTCTGAATCCAAACCTTTTTTGTTTTGCTATGGCAAGGCTTCTTCCTGGAACTTTTTGAAACAACAAAAAATTCAAGGTGCAACAGTTACAAGTGGGTGCTTCTCCACAGTGTGTACACAAAAGCCTGGGGAACCTGGGTGACAATAGGAAAACTTTTAAGTATTAATTCAAGCTAATTTAAATTTTTTAAAAGATCACCCCTAGAAACCGTGTAGAGAATGGGCACACAGCAGGGATTGGAGTGGGACAAGAAGATCAGTTACAGATGGGGAAACTGAAGACCAAGGTTATAAAAGGAACTTGTTCAAGGTCAGGCATCAAGAAACTGGTGCCACTGAATGAACCTGCTTCCCTCCTTTCCCATCCCTTCTTGCTCTAGCTGGAGAGAAAATACCAGCAGGAGCCCACACCCATGGCAAATACTGAGCCCTCCTGGGTGCCATATAGCCTCTGGGCTGCCAATAAACATTCATGATTGAATTTTAAAATGTTTTCCTAAATGTGCTAAAAAAAAAAAGAAGAAGAAGAAGACTCATTTTATTCACAGTCACTTTACAGCTGGTGGCTGCTAATTGTCATCTGATAGGTTGGGCATCAGAATGTGGAATCAGAGAGTCTGTCCATCTGTCCTGGGCTCTGTCAGCCTTCCTTATGTCTCCCATCCACAACCTGCCTCCTTAAACTCTCTACAGAGCCCGCCCCGTGTCTCTTGGCTCTCCGGCCAGGCCTCTCCGGGAGGGGAAGACGAATTCCTATTCATGAGGTTTCATTGGCTGAAGAAGTGGAAACAGCTGCATGAATTCAAAATTCAGAGCCTGAAGAAATGAATCCCAATATGGGTTTGTCACTCAATGGCTATGTCAGCCCAACACTTCAAATCACTTTGGTACAGAGGTTGTTAGAAAAATAACAATAATTACATGAACAAAGAAGGAAATAGACACACAAACACTCATCCTCCCTGAGCCTCAACTTCACCCGAAAATGGGAATATGAAATGTAACTGGGGGAAGATCAAGAAAGATATACAGCAAGGTGTTCACAACTCCTACATCTGCATGATGAGGTTTTTATTTTTTTCCTTTTTTTTCACACAGTTTGGTTCTAGAGGAAAAGTGCATCATTTTTGCAATAAGAAATAAAACAATAAAAGCTTCTTCATTTTTTTGAAATAGAGTCTCTCTCTGTCACCCAGGCTGGAGTGCAGTGATGTGATCTCGGCTCACTGCAACCTCCGCCTCCCGGGTTCAAGCAATTCTCATGTCTCAGCCTCCCAAGTAGCTGGGACTACACACGCATGCCACCATGCCCGGCTACTCTTTGTATTTTTTGTAGAGACAGGGTTTCACTGTGTTACCCAGGCTGGTCTTGAACTCCTGGCCTCAAGTGATCCTCCCACCTTAGCCTCCCAAAGTGCTGGGATTACAGGGGTGAGCCACTGCGCCAGGCCAATTAAAGCTATTTTTAAATGAAGAGAGTAAGGACTGTCTTGCCTGCCTCAAAGAGATGTAGTTTTTAAAAAAATGACATCTGTGAACAGGCTTTATAAACAGGAAAGCCCCAAAACATGTAAAGAATTATCATTGTCCTTGTCAAGGAGCATAATTTTCTTAGCTGCTATGCATAAACTTCATCACACACATTCTTTTCCTTTTCCATCTCTCCTTCTTCTCCTTTTCCCTTCTTCCTCCACATTCTTCCTTCCTTTCTTTTTGCCAAGTACTTGGCCAAGGAAAACAGAGTATCCCACTGTCCTGCTCAGACCTGCCGAGATTCAGAACTGAAAGACTTCCGGGTATAGGAGTCTCCCAGTTAAAATCTTTCACAGTGGCTGCTGTTTCTGTCTCCTCCAGCTCTGCCTCCACTGCTTATCTCTGAGAATCCAGCGTCAGGACGCTTGTGAACCTAGAATCTGCCCTGGTTTCTTTTTTTTTTTTTTTTTTTTTTTTTTTGAGATGGAGTTTTGCTTTTGCTGCCCAGGCTGGAGTGCAACGGCACAATCTCAGGTCACTGCAACCTCCGCTTCCTGGGCTCAAGGGATTCTCATGCCTCAACCTCCCAAGTAGCTGGGATTACAGGCACCCGTCACCACACCTGGCTAATTTTTGTATTTTTAGTAGAGACAGGGTTTCACCATGTTGGCCAGGCTGGTCTCGAACTCTTGAGCTCAGTTGATCCGCCCGCCTCGGCCTCCCAAAGTGCTGGGATTACAGGAGTGAGCCACCACGCCTAGCCGCCCCAGTTTCTTAAAACCAAGAAAGGTCCATCCCAAATATGCTACTGCATGACACTTTCACTTGCTTCTTTCATTCATGGATTCATCTGGTACGTCTCGAGTGTCTCCTCTATTCCAAGCACTATGCCGGGTGCTACAGAAGCCATGACAAAAGGGTCTCCTGTCCTCATGGGTCTTGTTCTGGCAGGGGAGAACAATTTTAATCAGTTATATGGTTATTTAAGTTCACTTGGAGAAAAATAATACAAAAATTAAGTATGGGGTGCGAAAAGAGTGAGTGTGTTAGGGGATTCTGACCTAATCTGGGGATTTGAAGGCTTCCTCAAAAACAGTGACATTTAAGCAGGGAAATGAAGGATAATAGAAATTGACAGGTCAGGGGAAAGGGAGGGAAGAATGTTCCAGGAGGAGGAAACAGCCCATGATGCATTTTTAAAAATGAAACTTGTGTAACAAATGAGGGAAACAGCAAGCTGATTGAGAGGGCCAGGAGGCTAGACAGGTTGGCAGAGCCAAAACCTGCAGACCTTATAAGCCACGCAAGGGTCTTGGTCTTAATCCAACCACAGTAGGAAGCCATGGAAGGGTTGTAAGTAGGAAGATGACATGTTCAGGTTTTGGGTGTGTGGGGAGGTATGTGTGTTTGTAACAGTTCTGGCCTTTGTTATGAGGAATGGATCCGAAACCCGGCACATGGCAAACTGCCAATTATCCCCAAATCCTTCTTCTCTGTTACTTGGACACATGTTCACCCAGCTAGAACCTCCATTTCTCATCCTCCCTTGCAGCCAGGTGTGGAATGAAATAAAGTCTTGCCATAGCACGTGAGCATAAGCAGCGTGAACAACATCCACTCCATGTTTAAAAGGGGAGTGCTTGCCCCGGGGCTCCTCTGGCCTTTTCTGTGGCTGGAAGGTGGATGTAGCAGTGACCTGGAATCAACCAAGATGACAAGGACAACACCCTAGGAATTGGCAGAGCAACAAGGTAGAAGCCATCTGGGCCAAAGAAACCTCATGGCACAGACCTGCTCACCCATGCTGCACTATTGCATGAGAGAGAAATACATTTAGAGCTCGTTTCAACAACTGTATTTTGGGGTCTCTGTTACAGCAGCTGAGTGCTTATTCTAACTTATATAGTGAATATCCTGTAAAATTATGTGGTTGTAAGCAACAGAAACCCACTCAGGTTAACTTAAGTGGAAAAACAAAGGAAAAGGAAAGCTATGGGCTAGAGCTCAGAATCAAAGAAAACCTTAAAGAACCTGACTTAAAGACAAAAATTGTAATAAATAATACCTTCTGACACTGCCAACAGGATGGATAACTCCAGTCATCCTCAGTCTTTATTATATTCTTCTCAAAATTCAAATGCCTAGATCAGAGAATCCAAACGCCTAACACAGGTCACACGCCCACTCCTGGTCTAGATGAATGTTGATGAGAGAATGGAGAGCACCATGTTTGATACTCACTCTGAGGTCATCTAATGGAACTGGATGGATCCCCCAAGGAAAATCATGGTGCTCCAACCAAGAAAATAGGAATGGGTGTCTACCCTGAGAGAGCAAGAGTGGATATGAAGCAACCTGTTAGGAGGCTACTGCAGAAGCCCAGGCAAGCATGGATGCTGTTGTGAATGAGGATAGCCATTGTGATGATAGAAAGAAATAGACAAATGTAAATCTATTTAAGAGACAGAATCAAAACGACCTAACTTATATTTACTGTGTACTGAGTATCTGTCTTATAACACAAGTAAATTTTGAACTATGAAATCCAAAACCAAGATCACATTTAATTGCATTTCCAGTTCCAGTAATAACGGAGTAGCTTATATCAAATTAATCTTCTGGCATATAACACATATAAATTTTGGCTGGGCACGGTGGCTCATGTCTAGAATCTCAGCACTTTGGGAGGCCAACAGAAGAAGATCACTTGAGGTCAGAAGTTTGAGACCAGCCTGGGCAACATAGCAAGACCCCATCTCTACTGAGTGAGAGGGTATTGCTCTGGTGGAAGTTTGAAATAGAGTCTAAAAAGTTCCCATGTCCAAATCTGCCCAGATGACACTTGGACCATTTTCAGAAAAGCATTTGTAGGATTTAGTCCTTTCTATATTAGATCCTGCTTCTTCCATGTGGACCTCTCCATTGACTGAATCTCTTTCTTGTCATGATCTTTGGTGTGCCCCAAAACTCTTTCTTGGGGGAAAAAAACAACAACAACTGATTCGCCTGTCATTCAATCTTGAAAAATAAACAAGGATGAATCAGTTTCTGACAATAAGGCAAGATTAGAAGTATCCATCCTGAGTGCAGTCATACAAAATGCTTGTATTTTTGTACCTGGCACATGGCTAAAATTTTAAAATGAAAATAAGATGTATTTCTATCTATATGTTTATGTATGTCTGCATGTATGACATATATGTGTGACATTTTTCTATCTTCTTATGATATTGCCAAAATTAAATGGTAATGAGCTTTATTTAATTAGTTTAAGGAAAAATAAGTGCTTATATAAATGAAGTGTTTTCTCAGAAAAATAAGAACTAACCCAAATGATTTTCAAGCATGTGACTTGGGTAATCTTTGGCAAGTAAAAATATTGTTGGTCTGATTAAAACAGATGCAGAACTTTTTCTACCTAGGTTTATTGGTAAAATAAGCTCATGTTATCTCTATATTTTAAAATTTGTCATAAAAAATAACAATGGCTAGTTGCTTATGTCTTATCTTCATGAGCAATCCAAGCATAATTGTTAAAAACCAAGTGAGTTAAACAGATATAAGTAAGATAAAATTACCATAGGAAACATGTATCCCCCTAGTCTCTTCAATAAATGGTGGTGGGAAACCTGGATATCCACATGCAGAAGAATAAAACTAGACCCCTATCTCTCGTCACATAGAAAAATCAAATCAAAATGGATTTGAGACTTAAATCTAAGACCTCAAACTATGAAACTACTACAAGAAAATACTAGAGAAACTCTCCAGAACATTGGACTTGGCAAAGATTTCTTGAGTAATAATATGCTACAAGTTCAGACAACCAAATCAAACATGGACAAATGGGATCACATCAAGTTAAAAAGCTTCTGCACAGCAAAGGAAACAATCAACAAAGTGAAGAGACAACCCACAGAAGGGGAGAAAATATTTGCAAACTACCCATCTGACAAGGGATTAATAACCAGAAAAGGAGCTCAAGCAACTTTATAGAAAAAAATCCTAATAATCCAATCAAAAATGGGCAAAAGATCTCAACAGACATTTCTCAAAAGAAGACATGCAAATTGCAGAAAGGTATATAAAAAGGTGTTCAACATCATTGATCATCAGAGAAATGCAAATCGAAACTACAATGAGATATCACGTTACTGCAGTTAAAATGCCTTTTATTCAAAAGACAGGCAATAACAAATGCCGATGAGGATGTGGAGAAAAGGAAACCCTCATACACTGTTGGTTGGAATGTAAATTAGCACAACCACTATGGAGAACAGTTTGGAGGTTTCTCAAAAAAACTCAGATTAGGCCACACACAGTGGCTCATGCCTGTAATCCCAGCACTTTGGGGGACCGAGGCCAGCAGATGGCTTGAGCTCAGAAGTTTGAGACCAGCCTAGGGAACATGGCAAAACCCTGTCTCTATAAAAACTAGCCAGGCATAGTGGTGCATGTCTGTAGTCCCAGCTACTCAGGAGACTGGAGTGGGAGGATTCTTTGAGCCCAGGAGGTCAAGGCTGCAGTGAGCTGAGATCACACCACTATACTCCAGCTTTGGCAAGAGTGAGACTATACCACAAAAAAAAAAAAAAAAAAAAGAATTACCATATGATCCAGCAATCTCTTTACTGGGTATATGCCCCCAAAAAAAGGAAATCCATGCATCAAAGAGATAACTGCATTCCCATGTTTATTGCAGCACTATTTACAATAGCCAAAATTTGGAAGCAACCTAAGTGTCCATCAACAGACAAATAGGTGAAGAAAATGTGGCACATATACACAATAAAGAACTATTCAGGCATAAAGATAGAATGAGATCTTGTCATTTGCATCAACATAGATGAGGTAGAACTAGAGGTCATTAAGTGAAATAAGCCAGGGAGAGGAAGACAAACTTCACATGTTCTCGCTTATTTGTAGAAGCTAAAAATTTAAAAAAATTGAACTCATGAAAATAGAGAATAGAATGCTGGTTACCAGAGGCCGGGGAGGGTATTGGCTTGGGGGTTGGGGAGATGGTTAGTGGATACAAAAATATAGTTAGATAGAATGAATGAGATCTAGCATTTGACAGCACAACAGGGTGACTACCGTCAACAATAATTTACTGTACATTTTAAAATAACTAAAAGAGTGCACTTGGATTGTTTGTAACACAAAGGATAAATGCTTGATGGGATGGATACCCCATTTACCTTGACGTGATTATTACACATTGTATGCCTGTATCAAAATATCTCATGTGACCCATAAATATATATACCTGCTATGTACCCCCCAAAAATAAGAATAAAGATGTCTTCCCCACATCAGGTTTCTTAAGGAAAAAAACAATTACAGAATAATTATTAAATAAGGACAAAAGTAGCCAGGAAAGCATAATAAACCTATCAGAAGATTTTTCACATTTTTATTATCAGAAATGAAAATTTGAGGCTGGGGGAAATATTTAGAAATAATAATTTAATTCTCTGGCCTAGAAAAAAAAAACACCTGATGATAGAGAGAAAATTTTTGCTCTTTTACAGTTTCTTATGAAAAAGAAACCAAATACACTTGAGATTGTTAGTAAACACACAGTGTGCCACAGTGACAAATTATACTATGGGAAAGCACATTCCTCTAGAAATTATGATTCATAGATTTGCCAATCTACAGATTTCTAGTGTGATAGAAAATTCACAATTGCTTGTTTCCTAGTGTTCACTGGAAATTAAGGTCATGAAGGGTTATCAATTCTAATTAATATACGTAACTAAAATAACTGGAAAGAATAAGGGGAACGATTCTGGGTGCAAGAGTGCTTCTGGTAAAGAAAAGCTATAAGGTATGAGGATTTTTTTTTTTAAGAGAAAAGATAATAATTTTTTTCCTAAAGTAGAATAACTGGAAGGTCCAAAATGAAAAGAGGAAAAATATAGGACACAAATAGCTGAATGAATAAGGCCGTAGAGGATTTGTGGAAGATGAATTTAATGAGAGGAAAATTATGTGTGATCAAGGTAGCTAAGATAAGTGAAGAATTATTATAAGTTTTTCTAAAAATTGAGGATTAATATTAAAGGTACACCGATGCAAAACTAGAATTCGGTTCCTTGTGTTAAGACAACAAGACTTTCTTAGAGTATTGTTGCTCTTAATAGGAAATGATGAAAGGTTTTTCTTTACCTTTTAGGTAATTAGCCTAGGAAACAAAGGTTCTGTATTTTATCAAGACAATCTTCTCTGTTTTATTTTATCTTTATTAGGTTTTTATCATTTAAGAAAACTGAGTTCTCTCTATTAAAAAGAGTTAAGGTTTTTCTACAACTGTAAGTTTCTGTATTTAAAGTCCTTTAATTAACACTCTGTTTAAATGAATGATTATTATTTCTCGGTGACCTGCAATCCTATTTTGATCAAGTATTTTAAACTCTTGGTATTTTTGACAAACTTCTCAAAATCAAATTCTAAATTGTCTTTTCTTGACCTCAAATTAGTTTTGAGAGTTTCCGGTTGGGCCTTTAGAACACATTAAAAGGATCATCTCTCCTTACAGAAAGAGAGATGTGAAACCAAATGGGCTTATTTGATGTATTAACTTAAATTATCAAATAATAAGTAATGCTAAACCTTTTTGAGTTATATTTGTATAAATTTCTTATTAATGTATGTTCCAGAAATTGTATGAAATTTATATAAATCTAATAGTCTTGTTATAATGCTATTAGTCATAATTCTACTTATTATCTTAAAATGTTGTATGCTACAGAAATAACCAAATCTCCTTATAAATTGCATCATTATTATAATGAATTCTCATCAGATCTTCAGCCATGGCTATTTTAAATCTTCATCCACAAAGAGTTCATTGTTTTACTCTGGTACTTTCCTAAAAGCTATTGCAAGCAACTATAAACCTGAAGTATTTTCATCTTCAAGGAGATTCATGGAAAGGATTCTGACAAGTACAGGTTTCTGGTAACTTTAAAATGATACCATTAAACTGGGTGAGAATTCAGAACTCTAATGAATAAACTGATTGGCTTCATAAACTGTTAACTCAACACCACGCAGAACAAGAATTAACTGAGTACCAAGGAAATGATTTGGCAGAGTTTCATGCTAAATTAGTCAGTACTGAAATTATTAAAATATTCAATGTGAGTGAGCCCCATAAGATTGATCCAAGTCACATTACCTATGGTTACCTATTTAGTAAACAGTGTTATGCACTTGAATTAGAGAAACAAAACTGCTATTTAAGAGGATGTAAATCCAATATTAAGCATCGACTCATGAAGAACCTGGACGACTGCCTTGTCCTTTCTGAGTCCTTAAATCTTCCATTACTAAAAGCTCTGGATTCTTTGGTTCTTCATGGAATAGATAAAAAGATACAACTTGTGGGAAAAATGGTGGAGTAACTATTCTAAAATTGCTAAGTGGTTTATAATCAACATTCAGTTTGTCAAACTCACAATTCTGATAAGACAATAAATACCTCAGGTGATTCATTTCTGGCACCTGCTGGATTATTTGAACACTTTCAGGTGTATTTCATTCAATCACCACCTTCAATGCTTGTTTCTTGGTGATATAGAAGCTTTCCCATGCAGGAAGTCCAGTGCTATAATAGTAGCTAAAAGGTTATTGGAAAATGTGTTTTTCTTAAGGCATTCCTGGAAAACTCTCCAGTGATAGAGGCACTTGTTTCACTCAGTAAGTTATAAAACATTTAAATAAGGTATTACAAACCAAATGGCATGAAACAAAGCTAATTAAATTGACTGGATTGCCTTGGCCAAAAAGTATTATTGTTGACCTTGATGATAATTAGATCTACCCCCAGTGGAAAACACAGATTGACCCTTTATAAAATAGTTACTAGAAGCCCAATGCCCCTAATAATAAAACCTCATGTACAAATTCTGACATGCTTTTATAAACTCTGACATGACTCAATATTGCAAGGCCTTAACACATTATGCCAAAGTATGTTTTCACCAGGTAAAAAAGCCCTTTATGACCCACCAAGTGATAACAACCAGACTTTTTACAATCTAGAACCCAGAGATCAGGTCTTTTAGAAAAGATGCTAATGGAAGACTGCCCTTGAACTCCATTGGAAGGTACCATACCAAGTCCTCCCGTACAGCAAAACTTCAGAGTTGGTCAGAAATGGTGGCATATGCCTGTAATCCCAGCTACTGGAGGTGGGAGCGCTGAGCCCAGGAGTCTGAAGCTGGCCTGGGCAACACAGAAAGACCCTGTCTCTTGAAAAAAATCAAAAACTTCAGGACCTCATGTCTTGGATCAACATCTTTCAACTCAAGAGGGTTGTCTTAGTTTGTTCTCTGTTGAAGAACTGAATACCTGAGACTTGGTAATTTATAGAGAAAAGAAATGTATTTATTACAGCTCTGGAGAAGCTGTGAAGTCCAAGGGCATGGTGCTGGCATCTTGTGAAGGCCTTCTTGCTGCATCAAAACATGGTAGAGGACATCACACCCTGAGAGGGAAAGATTATGTCAACTCAGGTCTGTCTTCCTCTTCTTATAAAACCACAAGTCCCATAATGGGGGCCCCACCCTGATAACCTTATCTAATTCTAACTGCCTCCTGAAGGTCTCACTCCAAATACCATCAACATATGAATTTGGGGATTCTGTTTCCAAATGTAAAATTTGAAGGACACATTCAAACCAGAGCAAGGGCTACTCCAGACTCTTGGGACTGTACATCCTTTAATATTTTCAAGGCAAAGCTGACCAGGAAATATTTTTCCCCAGAAGCAGATAGCATCCTGGACACAGAAAGCTTTCCCTAGGTCATGGATCAGGACGTCTCTCCTCTGTCATCATAAAACCTTTGTCCCCTTTCCTATTTTCCCTGTGTTTCTTTTAGGTTTATTCATGGCAAGATAATCCAATCATTAAGATTTCACAATCAATAACTTCTGCAGGGAATTTAACTGAATGTTGGATATGTCATGTTAAACTTATATCCCTACATGATCTTAGAAATTCTCTGATTCACCCTGTAACAAATTTCACTAGTATCCCAAGTTTGACTATTTGTTCCAATTGCACATCTGGTCCTTTCTGTGGGGTTAGGTTTTTAGATTCATGTATTCAAATTCCTTGTTTAAATCTGTGAGTAGATAAAACTGACAGGATTTTGCAGTAAAATTATGCCAAAAATTGAATGCGAAAACAAAAAAAAAGGATAATTTGACAGTTTATAGACAAACTTAGAATTCTAAACCCTTAATTGTCAGTTGCCTGCAGCCATGTAATGATTCAGTAATGGAACCTTAGACAAATATTACTAGTGCTTCCCACTTGGTGACCACCTAATGCACAAGTATCCCACAGGGGACTGTCTGTTGTGCCCCTCTAGGATGTACTTTTATCTGTGCGAGATTTAACAACCAACCATGTAAGTGGGTAACTTCATATCTCAATAAGTGGAAAATAAGGGGCCAATATGGATTAGGAATTCTAACAGTATCACTGTCATTCCATAATCAACTGAAGAGTAAACATTGGTCTGCACCTTTAAATTTGCACTATAGAATAAAGAGAAATTTGCCAGCAGGTGTAAGTTCCTCTAAATGGGTATCTTTTGGTAAAATGCTCTTTCCCTGGTTTGGCATAAATATAAATAAAGTTATGATTAGAAACCTATCTTAAACAGTAGCTACTATAGCTGACTCTACTGCAAAATGATATGATAGCCCAGCAAATTTCTTTAAATTCTGTTGCTAAAGTTGTTTTAGATAACATGATTTCTTTTAACTATCTACTGGCTGAACAAGGTGAAGTGCAGATGATAGCTACACTTCCACTGCGCTTGGATAAACATGTCTAATATGGTAGAAACTCAGTTGCAAGAAATCTATAAATAAGCTTCTTGGTAAAACAAGTACATTCCTCTTCTGTGTCATTTTTGATATATTTGATTTTGATTGGTTTGATTCATAGGGGCTCCTGTTATGGAATATACTTTGGTCTCTTAATATTATCTTCATGATAGCCATCATAATAGTCTCCCTGGCATGCCATATCCTCTCAAGACTCTTAAATGTTTGTATGCAGCCAATTGTTACACATCAAATGGTATCACTCCGGTTAGAATAATGAAAACATGAAAATAACATAAAGAATCATCCCACTGGTGACGTCATGAATTGTGAATTCCATGCTGAAACCAAACAAATTTATTATAATGATTACAAAGAGTGGTGTCAGTGTACAAAATTGTGGTCAATCCCTCAAAATTGGGAGGCTGGACATAAGGGGAAAATGTACAAATTGAATTAAATTTAGGCTACAGCTGTCTTTATATATAGTGAACAACCTAACTTAAGCTTATATTCTTGTAACAAAAGCTGAGTCTCAGCCAATCACAGCAGCCAAGCTTCAGCCAATCACAGGCTGTCAACAGATTACACCACGCCCAAATAAGGCAAACGCCCAGCTGTAACCAATTGAGCTATTTCTGTTCTCCCTTTTTCCGTATAAATACTGCTGTCCACCTTGCTGGGTGGACTTCTCTGAACTTCTGGTTCTGAATGAAATCCAACTCAAGAATTACTTTTTACTAAAATTAATTCTGCTACATTTAATTTGTCTAAATTTTTTCCTGTAACACATAAAATAAACCAAAGAAAATACCATAAACCAAACTATAGAACAAGAAAGGGGAGAAGGAGGAGGAGGGAAGGAAAGAAGAGGGAGAGAAAAAAAGGCAGTAGCAGTGACAACCTTAAAAACAGAAAGCACAGCATAAAATAGGCCGATCTAAGACACACCTATTTTCTCAGTAGTGTAACTAGGATAGCAATATTTCAAGTAAGCTTTAAATTGAAATTACACACATCCATTGTAAAATTTAGTCCTTGATTTCTTTACTAAAAATCTGTATATTTAAATTAACAGATGTGGAATGGCCATATAGACTATGACAGGCTTCCCTTGGCCCCCAGAGACCCTAGTGGGGCATGCAATGTCTAGTGATGCTGTCTATAAGGCTAAGGCCCTACCTGAACTGAAAACCTCAAAATTTTCACTGTTCCATATGGGCCTTACAAGAAAAATGTGCATAAAAAGAGTGCCCTTAATAGAAAATATTTATAGACATCCCAGGCTCTCCAGCACTTGAGACAAACTCAAGGTCAGCAAGGCCAGCTTCCAATCCAGTAAGAAAAAAAATTAAAAATTAAAAAATAAAAAGCAAGTCCATGAGTAGATGTCTCTGAGTAACAATATTCCTTCCCACATTCCAAAGACCTCCTCATCCTGCAAAGATAAGTTCACCTCTCATAGTGGATGCTGTTAGCACCCTTCCCACAATCCGCGAGCACTCGCCCTTTCCATATGGGCCAATGGCTTCTGACTACAAGCATCTGGACAGTGCCCAAGGGCTTTCTCTGGCTACAGGAGCATACTCAATCCACACAAGGGGCAGGACAGAACTGCCAGGCAGTTAATGCCTCAGGGACCAACTCTCAGTCAATGAAGAATGGGAGTGGATGGGTAATATCCCAGGTCATATCCCTTGATTAGACAATGTACAGGTAGGTATGGTGCAGTCTTCCAGTGGTCCCTAGTGGGATTAAGTAGCAAGCTGATCATTCTTGCCTGTTTTATCTGTCTTCCCATCCTTGTCTTACTTCCCACTTCCCTTCTGGTACCTCTTGAGTCATCTCCCAAATAAATTGTTTGCTCCAGAATCCCTGTGTCAGGACCTGGGGAATCCCCATATTAAGATACTTTTTTAAAGAAGGAAAAGATTCAAAGATTGGATCACAATGTACAGTCCAACTATATGTTACACATAAGATATTATCTAAAGCAAATTTCCTAAAAAAGATTGAAGTAAAAGAATGGGCAAGACATTCCAGGTGAAACAAACAAAAAATGACAGAGTGTAAGTGAGGTCACAAGTGAAACAACAAATGTTCAACCTTAGAAACACTTCAGATAGCATTCTCTAATTGCAAAGCAACAAAGCCAAGACTAATAAGAATGCACTAAAAAAGAAATTCACTGTGCCTGAAATAGTGCACCTTAAGTAGTTTTTGGATAAAAGAAGAAATCTGGCCGGGCATGGTGACTCATGCCTATAATCTCAGCACTTTGGAAGCCTGAGGCGGGTGGATCACAAGGTCAGGAGTTCCAGACCAGCCTGGCCAAGATGGTGAAACTCCGTTGCTAGCAAAATTACCAAAAAAATTACTGGGGCCCAGTGTCAGGAGCCTGTAATCCCAGCTACTCAGGAGGCTGAGGCAGGAGAATCACTTGAACTCGGGCAGCAGAGGTTGCAATGAGCCGAGATCATGCCACTGCGCTCCAGCCTGGGCGACAGAGTGAGCATCCATCTCAAAAAAAAAAAGAAGAAGAAGAAGAAATCCACATCAAAATTTAGCATTATCTACAACAGTGAAAAAATGTGCATAAGAACTTATAGAATAAAGTAAAAACAATGTTCCGGGGAAAATCAGAGCTTAAATGCATATATTATTTTTATTATTATACTTTAAGTTCTGGGTAGAATTAATTACACATGTGCAGAATGTGCAGGTTTGTTACATAGGTATACACGTGCCATGGTGGTTTGCTGCACCCATCAACCCATCGTCTACATTAGGTATTTCTCCTAATGCTATCTCCCCTAGTTTCCAAGCTCCCGACAGATCCCAGTATGAGATGTTCCCTTCCCTGTGTCCATGTGTTCTCATTGTTCAACTTCTGCTTATGAGTGAGAACATGCAGTGTTTGGTTTTCTGTTCTTGTGTTAGTTTGCTGAGGATGATGGTTTCCAGCTTCATCCATGTCCCTACAAAGGACATGAACTCATCCTTTTTTGTGGCTGCATAGTATTCCATGGTGTACATGTGCCACATTTTCTTTATCCACTCTATCATTGATGGGCATTTGGGTTGGTTCCAAGTCTTTACTATTGTGAACAGTGCTGCAATAAACATATTTGTGCATGTGTCTTTATAGTAGAATGATTTATAATCCTTTGGGTATATACCCAGTAATGGGATTGCTGGGTCAAATGGTATTTCTAGTTCTAGATCCTTGAGGAATTGCCACACTGTCTTCCACAATGGTTGAACTAATTTACACTCCCATCAACAGTGTAAAAGCATTCCTATTTCTCCACGTCATCTCCAGCATCTGTTGTTTCCTGACTTTTTAATGATCACCATTCTAATTGGCATGCGATGGTATCTCATTGTAGTTTTGATTTGCATTTCTCTAATGACCAGTGATGATGAGCTTTTTTTCATATGTTTGTTGGCTGCATTAATGTCTTCTTTTGAGAAGTGTCTGTTCATATCCTTTGCCCACTTTTTGATGGGGTCATTTGTTTTTTTCTTGTAAATTTGCTTAAGTTCTTTGTAGATTCTGGATATTAGCCCTGTGTCAGATAGATAGATTGCAAAAATTTTCTCCCATCCTATAGGTTGCCTGTTCACTCTGATGGTAGTTTGTTTTGCTGTGCAGAAGCTCTTTAGTTTAATTAGATCCCATTTGTCAATTTTCACTTTTGTTGCCATTGCTTTTGGTGTTTTAGTCATGAAGTCTTTGTCCATGCCTATGTCCTGAAAGGCATTGCCTAGGTTTTTTTCTAGGGTTTTTATGGTTTTAGGTCTTATGTTTAAGTCTTTAATCCATCTTGAGTTAATTTTTGTATAAGGTGTAAGGAAGGGATCCAGTTTCAGCTTTCTACATATGGCTAGCCAGTTTTCCCAGTACCATTTATTAAATAGGGAATCCTTTGCCCCTTGCTTGTTTTTGTCAGGTTTGTCAAAGATCAGATGGTTGTAGATGTGTGGCATTATTTCTGAAGCCTCTGTTCTGTTCCATTGATCTATATATCTATTTTGGTACCAGTACCATGCTGTTTTGGTTACTGTAGCCTTGTAATATAATTTGAAGTCAGATAGCATGGTGCCACCAGCTTTGTTCTTTTTGCTTAGGATTGTCTTGGCTATGTGGGCTCTTTTGTGGTTCCATATGAAATTTAAAGTAGTTTTTTCTGATTCTGTGAAGAAAGTCAATGGTAGGTTGATGGGGATAGCATTGAATCTATAAATTACTTTGGGCAGAATGGCCATTTTCATGATATTGATTCTTCCTATCCATGAGCATGTTATGTTTTTCCATTTATTTGTGTCCTATCTTATTTCCTTGAGTAGTGGTTTGTAGTTCTCCTTGAAGAGGTACTTCACATCCCTTGTAAGTTGTATTCCTAGGTATTTCATTCTCTTTAAAATGTATACACTATTAAACTAGAAAGAATAATAGTAAGTTATATAAACTTCCAAACATTTTTTTAAATACACAATAATAAACAAAATAAGGAAATCAAAGCTAAGGAGTAAGTAGATATACAAGCAAAAATTAGTCATTTTAAAACATAAAAAAGTTATGTTTTTAAAATGTATGTTAAAAAAATGACAAGCAAACAAATTCAAGAGCTAGTTCTTAGAAGAAAACAATAAAATAGATATACCATTAGCAAATCTAATAAAGAAAAGAAGAAGAAAATATATTTAAAAATAAATACAAAATACCAAGTGATGATGAGGAAATAAAGAGATAATTCAAAGAATCACAATCATTTTAATTAATTTGATGTAAAGACTGGGATGAAATAGGTAATTTCCTAGAAAAGCATCACCAGGCTGACCCAGGAAAAGGCAAGATTCTACACACACTAATTTTAGAAGTAATTCAGAAAGTAATCAAAAAGCTAGACACCCAAACTGTAGAAGACTCAGATGATTTCACAAAGGAAAATTACCAAACCTTCCCAGGACAGATAACTACTACTATTTAAACTATTCAGAGTCTAGAAGAATATTTTCAGCTTCTTTTTACAAAACCAGAAAAACTTTGACACCAAAATCTGAAAAAGATAGCATAGGAAAAAAAAAAACAGAGCAAATCTCACTTATGAATAGTAATGCAAAAATCTTGAATAAAATATCAGCACTTAGAATCTGGCAGCACACTAAAAGAGTAATATACTAAGATTTAAAATGCAAAGATAGTTCAACATTAGGACTCACTACAGTCACATATCAACTTAGAAAAACAACATGATCATCTATACATTTTTCTCCCTAAACATTGCTGGTAAAGGTATTGAATAAAACACAATATTCAAAAATACAAAAATTAGCTAGGCATGGTGGTGGGCACCTGTAATCCCAGCTACTTGGGAGGCTGAGGTGGGAGAATCTCTTGAACCCAGGAAGCAAAAGTTGCAGTGACCCAAGATTGCACCACTGCACTCCAGCCTGGCCAGCAGAGCAAGACCTTGTCTCAAAACAAAACAAAACAAAACAAAACAAAACTCTGTATAAAGAAAAGTCATTATCATGTATAAAAGTGAATCATTAAAGTCTGGTATAAAATAAGATGATCACTGCCACTACTACTATTTAACATGGTTCTAAATGCTTTAGCAAGATACAAAAATGTGATAGCTATCACTGTTAAGGGGAAGAAAAAATCATTATTTGTATATTATGTGATTATATAACTATGAAACACAAGAGGATCAATGAAAAAGCTATTAGAAAAATAAAGAAAATGTAGTTAAGTGTATATTTAAATTTTATATACAGATAACAATATTTTTCTATATACAAATGATTCAATTAGATCACATAATGAAAGGAAAATCTCATTTGTAAGCAGGAGTTTAAAAAGATAAACTATCAATAGGAATAAACTTTAAAAGGTGCAGAATCCATAAAAAGAAAACTTTAAGGCACTAAAGAGGAACATGAAAGAAAACTCAAATGAATGGAAATACAACCCTGTTCTTGGAAGGAGAATTGTGCATTGTAAAGATGTCACTTCACTCTAAGTCAACCTATAAATTGTATATAATCTCAATAATGTATCAATAGAATATTTCTTGAATGAGTAAAGCTCATTCTAGAGAACTATAAAGCTACAGTAATTAAAATAATTTGGTCCAGGTGCATAAAACAGAAAAGAATAGCGAGCCTAGAAATGAATCTAAAGACATATGAAAATGTATTATGTGACAAAGGCAGCAGTTCAAACATTGGAAAAAAGATGGATTCTTTTCAGTAAAAGGTAGTATGACAACCACCTTGTCATGTGAGGAAAAAAATCCAGATGCCTAATTCAATTCTTACCCTAAAATAAATGTTGAATAGATGAAACATTAAACCAATCAAACATTTAAACATCAAAAATAAAGTTAAAACACTAGCAAAAAAAATCAGGTAATTTATTTCTTTAATTTTGGAATAGAAAAGACCACTCTAAGCATGATAGAAAGCCCAAAACCCACAAAAAAATTTTTCTAATTTGATTTCATAAAAATATAAAATGTCTGCACAATAAAATTATCACCATAAACAAAGTTTAAAAACTGGAAAAAGGATTTGTGACATATATGCAAAATGGCTAATGTTGCCTAAGAAATACTTAACAACTTAATGAGAAAAGTTCAATAATCCAATTAACACATGTACATGAAATATGAAATACACAATGTGGTTCACAGGGTAAATATATATAAAACTTTTAGGAATATGCAGAACACGACATATAATTATAGAAACGTAAATTAAACCATTAAAAAACACCATTATTTTCACCTGTCAGATTGACAAAAACAGAAATGCTGCCAGGGATATGGAGGGAACCTTCATCCTCAAATACTATCAATAAGTGTTTAAACTGATACAAACGCCATACAATTTTCCAAAAGTTTACATGCACATAACCTTGACCCAGCAATTGCACTCTAGAAACATATCCAAGAATTCATCCTAGAGATATATTCACACATATGCTCAAAGATACATACATAAAGATGTCTACTTAAGAATTCTTCCTTATAGCAAAAACTGGAAACAATCCAAATGTCTTACTATGGAATTTTTTTAAGGTAAAATATAGAACTACAGTGTAAGTAGCCTTTACAAAGAATGATATATTTCCCAGTATGCCGATATAGAACTATCTCCATGATATGTTGAATTTGAAAGAAAAAATAAAGCAAGGTGCAGAACAGTGTATATTCCCTATCCTCATCTGTTCATATATTTTTGAAAGGTATCACAATAAACTAGCACAGATGATGGATTCTGGGAAGGATAGAAGGCTGAAGATCAGGTACGGAGGGAATCTTATGTTCATTCTATATGCTATCATATTGTGTGAATTTTTTACTGCATGCCCACATAATTTTAAAAAACTAAACACTGTTTAAACAAATAAATAACAAAAGAAAGTCTCTTTGAGTGATCTGCAAAGCAAATTAAGAAAACAGTTCCATTTACTATGCCATCAAAAGAATAAAGTACCCGTGAATAAACTAGACTGAGGAGGCAAAAAACTTATGCAGTGAAAACTACAAAACATGCTGAAAAATTAAAGACCAAATAAATTGAAAGACATTCATCTTCATGGGTTGGAAGACTATTGTTATGTTGTCAGTACTACCCAAAACAATCTACAGAGTTAATGCAATTCCTGTCAAAAATCTTAATGATATTCTTTGCAGATACAGAAAAGTCCATTCTAAAATTATATAGGATCTCAAGGGACTCTGAAGCATCAACACAATTTTGAAAAAGAAGAACAAAATTGGAGATCTCATACTTCCTAATTTCAAAATTTATTACAAAACTACAGTAATCAAAATAGCATGGTACTGGCATAAAAACAGACATATAGACAAAGGGAATAAAATACAGGGCTGATAATTAAACTCTTGTATAAATGGTCAAATGTTTTTCAACAGAGGTCATTCAACAGGAAAAGGACAGTCTCTTCACAAATGATGTTGGGAACACTGGATATCTACATATAAAACAATGAAGCTAGATCTAAATTTTACATCATATGTCAAAATGAAGTCAAAATGGATCAAAGACCCAAACATAAGAACTAAAACTCTAAAACTCTTAGAAGAAAACATGGAAGAAAAGCTTTATGACATTGGATTTAGCAAGTATTTCCTGGATATGATACCAAAAGCACACAGGCAAAAAAAAAAAAGTAAAAATAGATAAATTGTACTACAAAAAAATATGAAATTTCTGTGCATCAAAGGATATAATCAAAAGAATGAAAGGGCAAACTATGGAATGAAGAAAAATATCTGCAAATCATATATCTGATAAGGGATTAGTATCCAGAATACACAAAGAACTGCTACAACTCAATGACAATAAAAAAGAAGCCAATTTAAAATTAGGCAATGTTATTTATGGGACCTAAAAATCAAAACAATTGAACTCATGGAGATACAGAGCAAAAGGATGGCTACCAGAGGCTGGGAAGGGTAGTGGGAGGGTCAGAAGAAAGTGGGGACAGTTAATGGGTACCACAAAAATAGTTAGAAAGAATGAGTATGACCTAGTATTTGATAGCACAATGGGGTGACTATAGTCAATAATAATTTAATTGTACATTATTAAATATCTAAAAAAGTGTAGTTGCATTGTTTGTAACACAAAGGATAAATACTTGAGAGATAGATACTCCATTTTACATGATGGGATTATTATGCATTGCATGCCTGTATCAAAACATCTCATGTACCCCATAAATATAGACACCTACAATATACCCACAAAAATGTTTTAAATAAAATAAAATAAAAATAGGCAAAGGATTTGATAGACATTATTCCAAAGATGATATCCAAATGACCAATAAGCTTATGAAAAGATGTTCAACATCACTAATCTTTAGGGAAATGCAAATCAAAACCACAGTGAGATATCACCTCGCACCCATTCGGATAGCTACTATTTTTTAAAAACCCACAGAAAATCACAACTCTTGGCAAAAATACGGAAAAAAATAGAACCTTGTTAGTAGAAACATACAATGGTGCAGCTGCTGTGGAAAACAACATGGTAGATCCTCAAAAAATTGTGGTCCCATAATTCCACTTCTGAAGATATATCCAAAAGAAGTGGAAGCAGAGTCTCAAAAATATCTGCACATAGATACTCATAGCAGTATTATTCACAATAAGCAAAAGGTAGAAGCAACCCAAATGTCCATGAACAGATGAATGAATAAACAAAGTGTGGTATAGCCATAAAATGGAATATTATTCAGCTTTAAAAAGGAAGGAAATGCTGACACATGCTACAACATGAAGGAAACTTGAAGTCGTTATGATAAATGAAATAAGCCCATCACCAAAAGACAAATGCTATATAATTCCACTCATATGAGGTACCTAGAGTAGTCAAATTCACTGAAACAGAAAGTAGAATGGTGGTTGTCAGGGGCTGGGGGTAGGAAGTTGTTGTTTAATGATAGTTTAATAAATAGAGTTTCAGTTTTGCAAGATGAAAACGTTCTGGAGATCTGTTGCACAGCAATATGAATATAGTTAACACTATTGAACTGCACATTTAGAAATGGTTAATATGTTAAATTTTATGTCGTGCATTTTTTTACCACAAAAAATATATGTTTTTAAGTAAGTCTCCAGATCCAAGGGTATTGTAAGTAATCTCCTTTCTTTCTAAGTCCAGCAAAATATCATCGTTGCCATCATCATCACCATCATTTCTTGAACACTTACTACATATGCATTACCTTATTTAATCCGTTTAACTGCCCCACAAAGTTATGTAGTTTTTTTTTATGGAAATAGAAGTTAGATGAGTTATGTAACTTGCCCCAAATCAACAATTAACAGTTTAGAGGTGGGCCCAGCTCTATCATTCCAAAACTTAATGCATCCATACAACCACTGCTCCTATTTGACCACTCCTCCTTCTCTGGTTCCCAGGAATTCGGATGTGGGGTGGAAATGACAGCAGGAAAGGCAGGCAGGAAATATCCAGTTGTTTTTGTTTTTCAGGAACTTCCATTTTCAATGGCCCCACTGCACCTTAACCCTGCCCATCCATGGGAGGTTTCAGGTGAATTAAATCAGACACGTGTGGCAGCCCTGGGGAATTAGATGAAGTTCTTATTGTATTAGTCATTTTTCCTGTCATCTTGAATTAGTGTCATGTTAGCTTAATGCAATACTAACAGGATACAGAAATGTTAGCATATTACAGACTACTCAGTGTGTCAAGTAAGAACTTTATTATATTACTCTGCCACTGATATTTCGAAGAAGGGAGAAAAACATGGCTGTGCCCGTAAAATAGAGTCAGTTAATGCCAAACCCAAGGAAAACCCCCACTTTAGAAGTTGAACTGGAGAAAGGGTGAGAGAATATATGAGGTTATCTGATTCTAAGACCTCTAATAGAATGCATATTAAGGGAATGCTAACATAAGTATCTTCTGATAATGCAACAAGGAGAATAAATTCCTTCTTCACTGATATTTTCAACTTGGTGCCCTCTTCCCTAAATCATTGACAAAGAGCAGTTCCCTTGAAGGATGCTGATGGGTAGCGAACCCCTACTTTGACCAAATAATGTTAGAGCTTCAGTTCTAATATGAAGTCTAAACCTCTGCTAGGTGGATAACACGTTACTGCTGGGTACATGGTAGGGGTTCTTTTCTTTTCTTTTCTTTTTTTTTTTTTTTTTTTTTTTTTTTTGAGACGGAGTCTTGCTCTGTCGCCCAGGCTGGAGTGCAGTGGCGCGGTCTCGGCTCACTGCAAGCTCCGCCTCCCAAGTTTACGCCATTCTCCTGCCTCAGCCTCCTGAGTAGCTGGGACTACAAGTGCCTGCCACCATGCCCTGCTAATTTTTTGTATTTTTTTTTCTTTGAGAGGGAGTTTCACTCTGTCACCCAAGCTGGAGTGCAGTGGCGCAATCTAAGCTCACTGCAACCTCCGCCTCCCGGGTTCACGCCATTCTCCTGCCTCAGCCTCCCAAGTAGCTGGGACTACAGGCGCCCGCCACCACGCCCGGCTAATTTTGTCTTTGTATTTTTAGTAGAGACAGGATTTCACCGTGTTAGCCAGGATGGTCTGGATCTCCTGACCTCATGATCCACCCGCCTCAGCCTCCCAAAGTGCTGGGATTACAGGCGTGAGCCACCGCACCCAGCCAATTTTTTGTATTTTTAGTAGAGACGGGGTTTCACCGTGTTAGCCAGGATGGTCTCCATATCCTGACCTCGTGATCTGCCTGCCTCCTGCAGGCGTGAGCCACCGCGCCCAGCCGGTTCTTATCTTAATAGATATTCCAGGTTCTACCATTGACTTTCAAGCGGTGATCAAATCCCCTGAATTTGTATGTAAAATTGTGTATGTCCAAATGGCTTTTTTTTTCTTGACAAAAGTCAAGATTCTTGAAGGTGAGCCCAGATAGTGAGGCCCCTCCGTATTAAAGGTGGATCAGGAAACATTAAGCTAAAGTGAGACAAGCAGTTATTCTAGAAGGCCTGGGTTCTAGTCCTAACTCTGCCATTGACTTCCTGGGTGACATTAAATCACATCTGCCTTGAAGACTTCGTCCAGGAAGTAGGAATAATCGTAAGTGGGTTATATACCTCACAAGGTTTTGGTGAGAATTAATGGGATATTGTATTGAGAGGAACTTCAAAAAGGACAAATAATCCCTTCTAGAAAGCAAACTATTAGGCCAGGCACAGTGGCTCGTGTCTGTAATCCTAGCACTTTGGGAGGCTAAGGCAGGCAGATCGCTTGAGTCCAGGAGTTCAAGACCAGCCAGGCCAACATGATGAAACCCCATCTCTACTAAAAATACAAAAACTTAGCCAGGCGTGGTGGCACATGCCTGTATGTGGTGGCACATGCCTATATGTGGTGGCACATGCCTGTAGTCCCAGCTACTAGGGAGGCTGAGGCAGGAAAATCACTCGAACTTGGGAGGCAGAGGTTGCAGTGAGCTGAGATTGTGCCGCTGCACTCCAGGCTGAGTAACAGAGCGAGATCCTGTCTCAAAAAAAAAAGTAAACTATTAAGACTGCCTTGAAAAATTATCATCAGCTTTCAAGAAGGAAATGTTCTCATGTACAGATCAAATAGATTTCTTGTTTGTTTTGTGTTTTGGTTTTCAGGGGTCTCTATTGACCAGGCTAGAGTACAGTGACATGATCCTAGCTCACTGCTGTGTCAAACTCCTGGGCTCATTCAATCCTCTCACCTCAGCCTCTCAAGTAGCTGGGACTACAGGCACGTGCTACCACACCTGAGTAAGTTTTTAATTTTTAGTAGAGATAGGGTCTCACTATGTTGCCCAGGCTGGTCTCAAACTCCTGGTCTCAAGTAATCCTCCTGCCTCGGCCTCCCAAAGTCCTGGATTACAGGTATGAGCCACTGCACCCAGCCTATCAAATAGATTTCTATAAGGGCCCTCTTGTTTTTCTCAAGGTAACAAGTCTTTGGTTCTTCTACCTGTGGGGACATAGACACTGCACTGAAACTAATTCCTGATGGAATAACCTAGTCTAAGATCCAAACAGAAAAAAACAATTATCAGCCACTTTGGCCAAGAGAGATCAAGGCAATTTTTCAAAGTGAGCCCAAGGCTCCACATGCAAGCCAGGGAAGGATATTGAACAGAAGGCAGTGTGGCACTACTATAAATGTGCGGTTCCCCTTAATTAAAAATCTATTAGCAAATTTCCTGATAGGCCGTTGGTATTTACAAATATAAACTAATAGCTATTTATTAGAATGTTTATTCTAAGGGCTTCAAATGAGTTTTTCCTTGTAGTGTGATAATTGTTCAGATGGCTTCCTGCTGATTTAATTACTTCAATTAGCGAGGATTCTCTGAGATGTGTTTCCCTTGGCTTTGGATCCTCTGTGTTGTTATCACAGGGGCCTCATTGATTGTAGCTTGAGGGCCAAGCTATATCTGTGCCACTCACCACCAAATATCAATGTTGAAAAAGTTAAGTCAGTAAGAAGAGAAAGAAAAAAGAAATCAGGCCTGCACGTTTGTTTCCCAGCACCTACTTCGGAGACAGAGGATGCTACGGATCCCACACCACTAGGCTGAGTCTCTTTTGGCTCGAAAAGTCTCTTTGAGCTCATTGGGCTCGTTGTGTTTAGTCGTCCATTTTTTTATCTCTTGCCACCTTGTCATCAATGCTGTACTTTAAAAGGTTAGAAGCCCAGTGGAGAAGTATTATGGCTGACCAAAAGAGCACTAGGCTTAGCTCCTGACAACCTGAATGTGGTGGTTCACATTCAGGTCCGCCAATTCTTCAACACACGAAGAGGTGGTATCTAATTGCCCTCCCCTTGAGTATGGGCTGTGCTTAGTGACTCTCTTCTAACAAATAAAATGTGGCAAATGTGACCTAATTCTTCTACCTTCAAATCCCAACTTATATTTAAAACAAACAAACAAAAAACAGGCCAGGCATGGTGGCTCACACATGTAATCTCCGCACTTTAGGAGGCTAAGGCGGGAGGATTGCTTGTGACTAGGAGATTGAGAGCAGCCTGGGCAACATAGCAAGACCCCATCTCTACAAAAAAAATAAATAATTAGCTGGGTGTGGTAGTATGTGCCTATAGTCCCAACTACTTGGGAGGCTGAAGCAGGAGTATTGCTTGAGCCTGGGAAGTCGAGGTTGCAGTGAGCCCTGATTGTGCCACTGCACTCAGCCTGGGCAACAGAGTGACACCCTGTCTCAAAAACAGAAAAAAAAAAAAAAGAAAGAAAGAAAGAAAAAATATTGCAGATGTGACAATGTATAACAAGATCATAAACAACATCACAGCTTTCCCCTCATACGCTCTCTCTCAGGTTACCTGTTCCAAGTGAAGTTAGCTTCAGTATCATGAGAAACTCTGGAGAGACTTGAAGCCTGCTGCCAATAGCCATGTAGCATGCCATCTTGGAAGTGCATCCTCCAGCCCTAGTCAAGCCTAAACCCTGACCAACAGCCTGACAACCACCCCATGAGAAACCTTGAGCCAGAACCGCCCTTCTGTTCATCAGCAAACATTTACTAAACTCTGGCTACGTGCTAGACAGTGTTTCAGGTTCTAGGAACACAGCAGGGACACCTCAAAGAAGGTGCCTGCTTTCATGGCAATAGCATTTTAATAGAGTAAACTAATAAACAGATAAAAGCAAATGGAGTAATTTTGGAGAGTGATGGCATTGGAAAAGAAATTAAATAAGATAATAGGATAGAACCTACATGGAGAGGCCAGCAGAAGTCTTTCCAAGGGTTGACTCCCCTATTGAGATTTGAAAACATGTAAGACCTAGAAAAGAGCATTCTGGATAGAGGGAACAGCAAGGCAAGGGCAAAATCCGTGAGGCAGAAAAGAGCTTGGGAGTTAGCACTGTGGTGAGCAAGGAGACAGTGCTATGTCATAAGGTCCAAGAAGGTGTTAGGGGGGAACAGAACCTGCGAGCCTTCATACGCCAACAGAAAGAGTGACTCTAGTTCCAGGGGAAATGGGAAGTCCATGGAGGGTCTTAAGCAGAAAGGTGGCAGAACCCAGTGTGCATCTTTAAAAGGTCGCTGTGCTGCTGTGTAGAGGTGTGTTGTAGGGTGGGTGTATTAGTCTACTCTTGTATTGCTATAAAGAAATACCTGAGACTGGGTAATTTATAAAGAGAAGAGGTTTAACTGGCCCATGGTTCTGCAGGCTCCATAGGAACTCCTGCCTCTCTTGAAGGTCCTGGGTACATTTCCACCTGGAGCAGGGGCAAGGGCTACATGACCTCTGGAGGACACTAGGTTTCCAAAGCTCTTCTGAAAACAAAAAATTCTTGCATTTCCTTTAATATCCTCCCTCCCTCTGCTTCCTTTATATTATGTTGCTTTTGAAAATGTTTGCTCTCGGACACTTTGAAGCTCCCAATAATTGGTGCCTTGGGTTTGGTCTGCACAGGGTCTGAGTTCTGGGGCCAGCTGCGAATGGTCTGTCCCTCCTGGACCTGCCTTTTTGTCCTCAGTTGTGTCTTTGATACCCATTAACTTCCCCACACAACACAAGTAGCTACCAGGCCTCACCTCCAACATTGGAGATGACATCTTGACATGAGATTTGGTGGAGAGACAGAGCCAATCCATATCAGAGGGCAAGAGTGAAGCTCTGAGATTGGTTTCACTCAGTGGTTCACTCAGGAGGTCAAAAGCCACAGCTAGCCTAGGGTGGAAGTAAGGAAGATGGGGATAAGAAACAGATTTGAGCTAAGTTTTTAATGTAAAATGGATATGACTGCTGAGGGATTGGACTCTGGGGATGAAAGAGAAGGAGGAATCAAAGACGGTTCTGATGTGAGACAGAAGCAACAGGAAGGAGAGTGGAACTAGTGCCTGAGATGTTGAAGATTCAGGTAGATACAGGTTTGACTCCTACCTGTACAAATTGGGCCTCAGCTGGTTCCAGCACCATGGTCAATGAGGCCAGGCTTATTCATCCCCAAGGACCAAAGAAGGTCAATATGCCATATAATGCTTTATAATTTGCAAAAAGTGCTGAAAAATACGTTACTTATTTGAAACCCACAACACTCCTATGGGTTAATCAGGCTAATGTTTATGTTTCCATTTCACAGATAAGGAAAACTGAGGTTCAGAGAAGTTATGTGGCTTGTGTAACATCACCAGCTACAAAGAAGCCATACAGGGATTCTTAAAGAGGGAGCTGCATGTTGTCTCCTGCATGTTCAATGTCCTTTGATCCTGTGCACTAAATAGCAGTGGAGACCCCCTCTCACTCATCCATCCACCCAATCATTTTGACAACCAGATGCATTTCCAAACTCCTCTGGGGGCGGGAGTGGTGGGAGGGAGAAAGGACAATAACACACACACACACATACACACACACAGTTTGAAAGAAAAAATAACCTATCCATCTGCTCCCTCCCTGAATTAATTTGTTCATGGAGCACTTCCTCTTGGCCGGGCACTTGCTTGATGTTGAGGATACAAAGAAGAATCAAACCCAGTGTCTAACCTCAAGGACCTCCTAGTCAGGTAAGGAGCTTGCAATCCCTGCAATATCTGGAGAAAAAATTTACAAAGATTTCCCAGGCCTGCTCTCATGCAAAAAACCTACAATGTGTCACATGAATTCCTTCCCGCTGATGATAAACAAATATCAGAAATCTGAATACACAAACACACCATACAGAAGAGATTTCTGGAACCTCGGGCAAAATATTATAATATTTTCATGGGCTGCCCAAATTCTAAGCATTAGATTTGATGAACAGCTTTATTGAATTTTGTGGATAAATATTTAAAGCCTTCAAGGGCTTGTGTAAATCACACCTAGGCAGACGCACTTGCTCACAGCACCATCTGCTGGTAGCTGCTTGTGTTGTGCAGGGAAGTTAATGGGTATCCAGGACTCAACTGGGGACAAAAAAGTAGGTCCAGGAGACAGGCCATCTGCAGCTGGCCCTGAAACCCAGACCGTGTACAGACCAACCCCAAGGCACCAATTTCCAGAAGCTTCAAAGCATCCGAGAGCAAAAATTTTCAGAAGCAACACGAGATGACGGAAGCAGAAGGAAGAGAATATAAAGGATATGCAAGGATTTCTTGTTTTCAGAAGTTTGGAAACCTAGTGCCCTCCAGAGGTCATATAGCCCTTGCCCGTGCTCCAGGTGGAAATGTACCTAGGACCCTTAAAAGAGGCAGGAGTTTGCAATCCCCCAGGGTCCAACCTCCCAGGGTCTTTTGTTACATGGCTTATAATTCTTTCCTGACACTTATCATATAGAGAAATATTGCACAGCTCTTTTAAAATTATGTCCTAAAAGCACATTTAATGGCATGGTCAGATTGTATAGTGGGAAAAAAAATTACAAAACAGAGTGTGTGTGTGTGTGTGTGTGTGTGTGTGTGTGCATGTCTATGTAACCAAAAGGGTATGCACCAAAGTATTCACAATGGTCATCTGTAATAGAATAAGGATGACTTTTTTTCTTCTTTGTGTTTGTCTGTATTTTCCAAATTTTCTCTAATAATGCCAGGCACAGTGACTCATGCCTGTAATCCCAGCCCTTTAGGAGGCTGAGATGGGAGGATTGCTTGAGTCCAGGAGATCAAGACCAGCCTGGGAAATATAGCAAGACCCATCTCTACTAAAAATTCAAAAATTAGCTGGGCATGGTGGTAAATGCCTGTAGTTCCAGCTACTCAGGAGGCTGAAGTGGGAGGATCACTTGAGCACAGGATGTTGAAGATACAGTGAGCCATGATCTCACCACTGCACTCCAGCCTAGGGGACAGAAATGTCTTATAAAATAAAAGTAAATAGCAACTGGAAAAAAAAACCCTAATAAGCATGTATCAGTTTGCTGAGAAGAAAAAGAAATTTTAAGGAAAAAATACTACCCCAAGAATAAATTATTTCTTTTCTTTCTCCAGCTGTATTGCAAGTTTATTTCCTTTGGTTGTATACTTGGGGTAACTAGGGTGATATTAATAGCAATGACAATAATAATAATAATAATAATAATAATAATAATAATAATAATAATAATGATACATGAAAAGAGCAGGGTCTCTGGTGAGGGCTCCACCCTTGGTCCTGTGCCCACAGATCTGAGTGAAAATAGGCACTCCTGTTTTTGCACCCAAACATTGCATTTTCCAAGACCGCTGTGGTCCACCACACCCCCCATCCTGTACCCATATAAACCAGAGACCTTAGCGGGCACACACACAAGTGGCTGAACATCAAGACCAGCAGACTAGCAGACCAGAAGCAGTGGAATGATGCAGCAGAGGAAGAGAGAAGAGGAGGAACGTCTGGACACCGAGGGGAGTTCAGCTAGGGGAGGTTGGAGAAGAGTCCAGCTGCTGGGCGGCCCGATTCCAGGGGAAGACCACCTTCCCACTTCCATCCCCCATCCAGCTCCCTATCTGTCTCACTAAGAGCCACCTCCACCCTTCAATAACATCTTGGACTCATCCTTCAAGCTCATGTGTGATCTGATTCTTTTGGGATACTGGGCAAGAGCTCAGGATTCTTTCAGGATACAGAAGGCTGTCACACTGGCCCTCTGCCCTTGTGTAAGGCAGAAGGTCCATTGAGCTGATTAACACACAAGCCATCTGTAGACAGCAAATCTGAAAGAGCTTTGTAACACACACCCAGTTGGGCTTTGGGAGTCACAGACACCCACCCCTAGAAGCTGCCATGTGGCCAGAGCCCAATAGTGCTCACCTCGGCCTCTGCACTTGCCCATCTGCATGCTCCCCCTAGGGGTTTGAGCTGCTGCGGGGTGATCAGGCAGGTGAGCCACACATCTGTCACACACCCTGCAAGGGGAATCAGGGTACTCTCCTGTTTCAATAACTCACAATGGAGCATTTATTAGTAAATGTAGTGGATATGAAGCTCCTAGCTCAGTGTCTGGCACATAGTAAAAACTAAGCTATTGTTATTATTACTACAATGTATCAATAGCCTTCCCTAAAGTATAGAGAACACTCACCTCAAAAAGCTCACAGTTTTAAGTGGAGAGAGAAAAATAATACATAGAAGTATCTAATAATTCAAGAAAAAAAGTGACATTTATTATTCAAACAGAAAGTAATGCCCCTCAAACCTCAATTCTAGGTGGACTCTTTTGGTTGCAAGAAAAAGATCCACTCAACCTAGCTCAACTGAGAAATCTCCTCCAAGGTATCTCAAGGAACACAAAGGTAAGACCCAAAGCAAAGGTAGGTCCCACAGGAACCAGAATTGGGAAGCCAGGAAGAATCAAGTTTCCCCTTTTTCCCAGCCTCAACTCTGTCTTTCCTCATCTCAACTTCTTTCAATGCATCTGCTACATCCTACTCTCTTACTAAACTGCATCCTCTTGCACAGAGCTCGTAGTTGCCACTCCCAAGCTGTCCCTACTACCCTCTCCCTGCGCACAAGAGCTAACCAGCTCAGTTTCTGTCTTCCCATTCTAAATTTTTGAGTGGAGAATGTAATTGACCTGGTTCATCACATTTCTGCACCAGAGGATCCAAACCACTTATTACTGGCTACCCCGTGGATGAATTATCCCTGGATCAGGTACTCAACTCTGGTGCAATTAACTTGGTAAAAGGAATTGGGTCACATGGTACGAAACATGCCACTGCAAGCATTCAGCTGGGGTTATGGGTGAGGGTATGGGCAGAGAAAGCAGTGGCATTTCTGGAACGACATTTCAAGAACAGCACTCATTGATTTCCATTTGTTTTTCAAGGTTTATTGCCTATCTGTCCTCATAGACCTGCTCTTCTGTGAATGTTTGATGCTTGATTAGCAATGAAGAAAAAGTCTTTTGTCACAGGTCGGGTTTCCCTGGCAGCAGAGTAATCTACTTAATTGGTTTTGTTTGTTTTTTGTTTTGTTTTGTTTTGTTTTGTTTTTGACATGGAATCTCGCCCTGTCTCCAGGCTGGAGTGCAGTGGCACAATCTTGGCTCATTGCAACCTCTGCCTCCCGGGTTCAAGCGATTCTCATGCCTCAGCCTCCCAAGTAGCTGGGACTACAGGTGCACGCCACCAGGCCCAGCTAATTTTTTTGTATTTTTAGTAAAGACAAGGTTTCACCATGTTAGCCAGGATGGTCTCAGTCTCCTGACCTCGTGATCTGCCCACCTCAAACTCCCAAAGTGCTGGGATTACAGGCACGAGCCACCGCTCCCGGCCTAATCTGCATAATTGTTAATCTGCTCTAGCAAAGGTACCAAGTCTGGTATAGTGGCTGCAATGAGAGCTACTGCATGGTTGAAGTGGCAGTAGTCCTCTGCCATCATCCAGAATCCATCTAATTTCTGCAAGGGCCAGATTTTGCAGAGTCTGGACTTTTGCATTCATGTAGATTGAAGATATGGCAGAGACCACCACCTCTGCCATCCTTCAGTAGCACTAATTTCTTCCATCTCCCTTGGGATGAGATATTATCTTTAATGGACTGGCTTTACAAGGGTTAGGAAGTGAGAAGCAGTTTCAGAGCATTCCACTTGCCTTTCCCCCACGATGATAACTCCTACCCTATAGGCCAAGGACCAAAAGTATGAGTTAAACAAGTACGAAGAATGTCTGTCCCAATTACACATTTGAGAACCTGGGACATGACTGGGTGAGTCCATGGACCTCATAGAACCATTGTAAGCTGAACTGTGGCCAGGACTTCATTTATCACCTGGTTTCCCCACTCTAACAGGGGGGTTATGATGGCACTTTGGGCCTCCAGGTGTCAATGTCAATTAGGTTCCTGTGTCCAGTAATCCTGGAAATAATTGGGCACACCCCGTTTCCCAGTATACAGCTACTCAAGTAAGTGGTAGTCAGTCCATGTGGGAAAAGCCTGGAGGAATCATTACTGTTTGTACTTGCTGTGATGTTGCAGGGTCTTTCCTCCTGAAGAACTGGCCTCTCACTGGGTTTCAGGTTTGAAAACTGGCCCACGTCTAGCAAACATGGGCAAGGGATTGATCCTTATTATTGGGCGTGACTGTTCTCAGCATCCTGATTATTCATCCTTGATTCCTTTTCATTGTACAGATTGAGCAGCACTCTTGTTGACTTGATGCCATTTTCCATAACCATTCAAAACTCTCCGCAGGAAGGGTCTTCCTGGTTCCTCCTCCATACTTCCCAATCATTACGGCAAATGTCTACCGGATGGTTAAACGTCACCATCTGGCCTCTAAAATCCCAGAGTGCTAACTGCCCCATTGCTATTGGTAAGCCCAGTTCTGTTATGGCCTTTCCTACATTTAGCCTTGGCCTGCCAAGGAGCCAACACTGGGCTTCTAAGTGATACTGATGTCCCTCTTGCCAGCATATTTAGTTTTTTATTTTAGTTTCAGAGGGTACATGTCCATGTTTGTTATATGGGTAGATGGTGTAATAGTGGGGATTGGGCTTCTAGTGTGCCAGTCATCCAAATATGGAACATTGTTTCCAATAGGTAATCTTCCAACCCCCACTCGCCTATCTCCCTCCACCATTTTGCATTTCCCAGTGTCTATTGTTTCCATCTTTACGTCCATGTGTACCCATTGTTTAGCTCCCACTTATAAGTGAGAACATGCAATATTTAATTTTCTGCTTCTGAGTTAGTTCACTTATAATAATGGCCTCCAGCTCTAACCATGTTGCTGCAAAAGACATGATTTCATTCTTTTTATAGCTGCATAGTATTCCATGGTGTATATGTACCACATGGTCTTTATCCAATCAACTGTTGATAGGCACGGGTTGTTTCCATGATTTAATAGTGTTGTGACAGACCTACAAGTGCAGGTGTCTTTTTTATACAATAATTTATTTTCCTTTGGGTAGATATTCAGTAATGGGATTGCTGAGTCAAATGGTAGCTCTATTTGCAGCTCCTTGAGATATCTGCATGGTGTTTCCCATAGATATTGAACCAGTCTACATTCCCACCACCAGTGTATAAGCATTCCCTTTTCTCCACATCCATGCCAACACCTGTTGTTTTTTAACTTTTTCATAATGGCCATTCTGACTTCACCAGCACATTTCTTATTTCCTTACTAAATAGTGTATCTTCCAAGCCTTTCCATGGCACATAATAATCTGCAAGACTTTCTGGCCTTAGTCAGAGCCTTTCAATCCTATTTCCACCATCTTGCACATAAATCCTGGCATTTCCACCTCACCTACCATGGGTCATCACTTTTTCCATGTCTCTAAAAATCATCCTAGTAGCAGTTCCACACCATCTCCTGGGTAACCTCATCATCTTCTGTTGCCTTCTCAACAATTCCATTGTCTGTATAATCATTTTTTGCATTAAATTCTCTCATTTTAAATACTTAGAAGTGTTTCTGCTTTCCTGGTTAGACCTAAGTGATTCTCCACTCAATATCTCCAGATGGAAACTCCCTGCGGGAAGGAACCATCTGTTCTCCATCTTTGAGGCATTTAACTAAGTACCCGACATTTAGTAAGTGCTTAGAAGAAGTTTGATTAATTTACTGGCCCGTATTAACATGGAGGATAATTTCTCTAGCTACAAATGTCTGCCACTTGTGTAGTGAAAGGTAACTTCTTTAACATAAAGATGGTAAAGCACTACCCCTTGAAAAAAAAATTAGAAATATCCCTGTTTTCAGTAGAAAGGAGCATTTTAGACTACTTTTAAAGATAATAAACTGGCAAATGCTCCTTCCATTACAGTTTTGTTTCTATGCCTGTTTTAGTCATTAGCAGAAAGTTTCTTGCCAAAACTCCTGAAAATTGATTACCAAAGTCACCCCACAATATAGGCACAATTTCCTCTTCTCTCCTATCCCTGTGACTATTTCACAATGTTTTTCTTTCCACCATTAAGTCTTGAACTACAGAAAACCTCAGCCATTGATTTCCAACCCTTTTATTTTATAAGTGAAGATACAAAAAGATGCAAGGAAGATAAATGATTTGTCCAAAGTCACAAAGTTAGGCAAAGCCAGGACTAAAACTTAGGTTTCCTGACTCCTAGCATGGTTTTCTTCCCACCACCCAGCCCGCCCACCTTCCTAGAATCACCAGAAAGCTGTTACAGTATTGCAGCTTAGTGAAACATCAAAGAAGACAATCTTTTCATCCAAGCCTCTGGAAGTCCAAGCTATGTCAGTAACACTTTGAGAAGTGTAGTTTTTATCTGTTCAATATATATTTATTGAATATTTCAATTACCACACATTGTGGTAATTCACTCTGGATACAGAGTGGTGAAATGGGGGCATTGTAAATAATAGTAGTAGTAAAAAGAAGAGAAAAATAAGAAAAGGAGAAGAAAATGGAGGATGAGGAGGAGTGGTAGAGGAAGAGGAAGAGAAGCAAATGTGGTTTCTGCTCTTGTGAAGCTTTGAGATTAGCGCTTATGTCTATAGAAGCATTTGGAAAGTAAAACTTACAAAAAAAGTCACACTAGAACACAGAAACTAAGGGTCAGTCTAATTCAGGGCTCAGCAGTCTATGTCCCACGGACCGAATCCAATTTGCAGCAGGTTTTGTACAGCCTACATGGTAAGAAGGTTTCTACATTTTTAAGGAATGTAAAGCACACACACACACACACACACACACACACAGAGAGAGAGAGAGAGAGAGAGAGGTGACACAGAACCTAGGTGGCCCACAAAGCCTAAAATACTTACTATTTTGCCCTTTTACTGACTCCTGGTCTAACGTCAAAGAAATACAGATTGAGCATTTCTAACCCAAAAATCTGAAATCCAAAATGCTCCTAAATCTGAATTTTTTTGAGCATTCACGTGAAATCACAAGTGGAAAACTTCACATCTGACCTCATGTGATGTATCACAGTCAAAACTTTGTTTCATGCACAAAATTACTGAAAATATTATATAAAATTATCTTCAAGCTATGTGTATAAAATGTATATAAAACGTATGTGAATTTCGTGTTTAGACTTGGGTTCCATCCCCAAGATACCTCATTATGTATATGTAAATATTCCAAAATCCAAAAAAATTCCAAAATCTGAAATACTTCTGGTCTCAAGCGTTTCAGATAAGGAATGCTCAACCTGTATTGAGCATTCGTTGGATTTGCCTTCCCAGCATGCTTCCCTCCCCCACTCTCAGACATATCTTCTAGATGGGGCTGGCCTCGCCTCTACCTCCAGTGTGAAGTATGATTCGTACTTAAGCAAATTCTCCTTCCCTGTTGTAATGTTCAGGAATAGGTACATGGCTCCACTCTGGCCAACGTACTTCTGAAATCCATAGAGGGAAAGAAGCTCTCTTTCTCTCTGGAATTGGAACCAGAAGGGTGTAAGCCTGAGCCACTGGGGTCCATAATGTGGAGACAGAAGGGCTGAAAAGAGGAAAGCAGACCAGTCCTGGTAACATTGTTTCACTTTTTTGCTTGTAGGTTCCTGTTACTTGCAACCTAAACAGTCTTCAGAAGGTCAAGGAGAAACCATGATAAATAATACCTATTCCGTCCCTTAATCAAGAAGGAATACTCAGAGTACTTTCCTAAATCTTGTATTATTCTGGAAATGTTACCAACCAATGGACCCACTGCATAGAAGCCAATACTATGGCACCAGCTTTTGAAAAAAGAAAAAGCTTTATTGCAAGTCGACTGGCAAGGAGACAGGAGGCAACGCTCAAGTCTGTCTCTCCCAGCTGGGATCTGGGAGCAGACTTTACAGGCAGAGCATAACTATGCAGGAGACAGGAAAATGCAACAAGGTGTGATCGGATGGGCCATGCAAAGAGGCAGTGTTGGGACCTTGGCCTGTAAGTCTATATTGAAACAACACAGGGCCCCCCTCGTTTCTTAATTTGGTCCCTGTTCCTCAATCTGAGCAGTTAGGCTCCACATGTGATAGACTTTTTTGTTGCTTCTAGTTCTGAAGTCACGAATTGGGCATGGTTTGTTCATCTGGCTTGCACACTTTATGTGACTTGCAACCTGGAGGTCCCCTGCACTTAAAAACTGTTCATCGCTTTGCTGCATTTCATTACTGACAAAGCTGAACAAGATTGAACTGGTTCTGCAGTTCCAGAAACTGCTAAGTCGCAAACCAATGGAACTACAAGGTCCAAGATTTCTTTCCTTTCTGTTACCTTTATACGCCTCATCATGGCACACCTCCAAAGCCTGCGGATACCTCAGAAGCTGCACCATTAAAAACACACATCAACCAACCCCTGGTTCCAGTGAGTTTTACTTGGATCCTCCCCAGTGCTTACGTAACATTTGCAAAGTTCTTTGAAATGGGAACAATTCTGAAGATTTTATTCAATTCTCCAAGGCTTATTTTGTAGTAGTAGCAGCATTTTCACGTCGTAGCAATGAAGCACTGTTTTCTCTCCTGGTAATTCGTCCTGTTATCTAGTGTTTTCACTGCCAGACACTTCCTCATTTGCAACAGGATTTTGCCTTTCTTAATTTCAGACAACTTTAGAAAATTCAAGCTGGAAAAGACTAGCAACCATCAACTCCTGTGTTTCCCAAAGTGTGGGACACATAACACTGGCGGGTGTCAAGTTAATTCTTGGCATTACGCAAACATAGACACGACATTAAATACTTCTGAAATGTCGTGTATCAAAGTTATATTCCCACCTCAATTTTCTTTCCCTCTGTTGATTATAAAGACAAGGAACATCTTAGCCTGGTGTTAATATATCTTTAGTGACTCTAGACTTATTAATCTCCCTTTTTCCCATATGGAGAGCCGACCTCAAACCTCACCTTCAGCAGGCCACAGTATCTCGCTAGAACTTCCTCATTTTGTTCCCATGTAATTATTTTCACACTTACATTCTATTTACAGAAAAATATACTGGTTTTCCATTTATAATCGTGATATAAAATTCTTTTTAAATAAAATGTTTGTGTTTTAAATGAGGCTATTTAAGGAATATATTAAGTACATTGCCCAGGTGTTTTACAAATATGACAAAAAATTAACATGAGTAATTTAGTTTTTGGAATCATTGATTTAATGCAAATCCTTTCTTTTTTTAGATTTTTTTATTTTTTAAATTGTTTGTGGGTACATAGTGGTTGTATATATTTATGGGGTACATGAGATGTTTTGATACAGGCATGCAATATGAAATGAACATATCATGGAGAAAGGGGCATCCATCCCCTCAAGCATTTATCCTTTGAGTTACAAATAATCCAATTACATTTTTTATTTTAGAATATACAATTAAGTTATTAATGACTGTAGTCACCCTCTTGTGCTATCAAATAGGTCTTATTCATTCTTTCTATGTTTTTGTACCCATTAATTATCCTCACCTTCCCTTCAACCCCACTATCCTTCCCAGCCTCTGGTCATCATCCTTCCACTCTCTATGACCATGAGTTCAATTGTTTTGATTTTTAGATCCCACAGATAAGTGAGAACTTGCAATGTTTGTCTTTCTGTTCCTGGCTTATTTCTCTTAACATCATGATCTCCAGTTCTATTCATGTTGTTGCAAATAACTGGATCTCACTCTTTTTTATGGCTTAATAATACTCCATTGTGTATATGTACCATATTTTCTTTATCCATTCATCTGTTAAAACACTTTATCATCAGAGGGTCATATAAATCCTTGTCTTGTTTCATTTCATTTTAGTATGTTTTGCCTGTCATCGTGATTCCTTCTCCCATTCCCTTCCACCTCATAATGGCACCCATTTTAATGTGTTTGGTAAATGTACTTATATTCGTATGTGCCTTTGGAAAAATAAATAGCTTTGTTTTATGTACATTTGTATGTACATACATGGAATTTTGCTATAGATCCAATTCCGGTGCTTACTTTTTTCTTTCAATGATGTTCTTATGAATTATTTACTTTCATTGCTTGTAACTGCAGCATAATATTCTACAGTGTGCATCTACCATTTTTTTAATCTAGTCCCCATTAATGAACATCTAAGTTGCTTCTAATTATTTCCTGCCCCCAGACAATGCTATAGTGAACATCCTCATGTATGTTTCCTTGCACACTTATATGCCAGTGTCTCTGAAGTTTTACCCAAGAATGAGATTGCTAGATAATACAATGCTTAATTTTACTAAATGCTACTGGTTTGTGCTAAGAACATCTGGATACGTTTAAACTATCAAAGAAGTACATACAATTTGCCGATTCTCAACATTCTTGCCAACATTTGTTATTCTTTAAATTTTTAATGTTTACAAATCTTATGGGCATAAGGTGGTGTCTCCTTGTTGTCTTAATCTGTATTTCTCTGATTGTAAGTGAGGTTGAGCATTAGTTCACGTACTTGTTATCAATCGAGATTTCCTCATCTGAAAATTACCTGATTATAATTTTTTACTTTTCATCTTTCATGTTTCTTGTTCATTAAAAAAATAGCTCCTTGTATATTCTAGATATTGACATTGTAAAAATTATCTGCCAACCGGTGTCCCTTGGATGGCTATGTATGTGATATACTTTGTTAAACAGAAATCCTTAATTTTGGTTTCTGCTTTCCTACCCTAAATTTACAAAGATGTTTTCATAGGTTTTCTTCAATTATCTTAATATTTCACCTTTCACATTCAGGTCTTTAATCCATCTGGAGTTAGGTCTTGTTTATGATGTGAGTTAGAAATCCAGTCTTATTTTTTTCCACATACAGAAGTCAGCAAGTTTCCCCAAAACACCTATTGACTGATCCATCTTTTACCATTTATTTGTGGTATTATCTCTGTCATATAAATTGTCCCATATATATGTATATACATATATAGCAATTATTCATAAGTCAGAAGAGAGTAAATGTAAAGTGTTTTAATGTCTTTGTATTATCCTAGAGAAGAACAAAATAATAATTTTCAGATTTTAATAAATTAAAAATTCATGATATAACGGCAACATATTGCACAAATACATATAAATTCCAAACTAATAGTAGGGGTAAAATAATGAACTACTGTATAGATCCAAAAGAATATAAGAAAGGAGATAAAAATACACATAGACCATATGGAACAAATGGAAGTCACATAGTAAGATTGTCAATCATTACATTAAATACAGATGGACTCATCATTCCAATTAAAGACCAAATCATTTCAACTGGATATGGTTTTAACTGATAAATAAAAATTGTATACATTTATAGTATACAGTATGGTATTTTGATATATGTATACATTATAGAATGCCTAAATCAAGCTAATTGACATATGCATTACCTCACATAACTTTTTGTGTGTTCAGAAGACTTAAAATCTGCTCTCATAGTAATTTTTAAGTGTACAATACATTGTTATTAACTATAGTCACCAGGTCATACAAGGAATCTCTTGACTTACTCCTCTGGTCTAATTGAAATTTTGTACTTCCTGACTAACATTTCACCAATCCTCTCCCATTTCACAGCCCCTGGTAACCACCATTCTACTCTCTCCTTCTATGAGTTCAACTTTGTTAGATTCCACATATAAATGAGATCACGTGGTATTTTTCTTCTGTGCCTGGCTTACTTCACTTAACGTGTGTCCTCCAGGTTTATCCATGTTGCTGCAAATGGCAGACTTTCCTTCGTTTGAGGCTGAATAGTGTTCCACTGTGTATACATACCATGCTTCCTCTATCAATTCATTTGCCAATTAACACTTAGGTTGATTTCATATCTTGGTTATCGTGAATAACACTACAACGAACATGGGAATGCAGATATCTCTCAGACATACAGACTTCATTTCTTGTAGATATATACCCAGTAGTGGGATTGATGAATCATATGATAATTCTACTTTTAATTTTTTGAGGAAACTCCATAGTGTTTTCCATAATGTCAATTGGATATTTTTAAATTAAGTTGTTTACAAAAGAGATATCTAAAACTAAGAATAAAGAAAGTTAACATGTTTTTCTGCCCTTTATTTTTAAAAGGGCAGAAAAAATACATCATACAATCATTAAATTTTAAAATACATTAGGATCAGACAAAGTAGACTTTAAGGCTAAAAGCCTTATTATAATAAAATTTTCAATTCTTCCCAGAGATATAGTAACTAGAAGTTTGTGTGCACCAATAACATAGCCTCAAAACATATAAAGCAAAATTTGACAAGATACAAAGGAGACAAGTACACACAGTGAGAGCTTACAGAACAAACAATTGAAAGAATAAGCTTTTAGTGATAGCTTACAGAGCAAACATATGAAGACCAGTAAAAATCTAGAATATTTGAACTACACAATCATAAAATTGACTTCATGGACTTCTATAGAACATTGAACCCAATAACTGCAAAAAGTGCATATTTGATATGGTTTGGCTTTGTTTCCACCCAAATTTCATCTTGAATTAGTTTCCATAATCCCCATGTGTGGCAGAAGGGGCCCAGTGGGAGGTAATTGAATCATGGTGGCAGTTTCACCCATGCTATTCTCATGATAGTAAGTTCTCACAAGCTCTTACGGTTTTACATGGGGCTTCCCCCTTTGCTCAGCTGTCATTCTTCTCTTTCCTGTTGCCATATGAAAAACGATGTGTTTGCTTCCTCTTCCATCATGATTGTAAGTTTCCTGAGGCCTCCCCAGCCATGCGGAACTGTGAGTCAATTAAACCTCTTTCCTTTATAAATAACCTAGTCTTGAGTATGTCCTTATAGCAGCGTGAGAATGAACTAATACTGTATTCTTTTCAATACTAATATATGTATGCTTTTTTGGAATATTTACAAATACTGATGGTCCATAAAACAAGTTTCAAAAAACTGTCTAAGACTTTAAATCATTATCATATGTTTTCTGTTCCTAATTCAGTCAGGTTATACATCAAATATAAGTGAAAAAAGAAAGGAAAATACATCTATTTGTAAATCTAAAAATACACGTTTATAAACATCTATAGGACAAAAATTACAACAAAAAGTTATACACATTTTAGCTGAATGACAAAATGATATTGTTATGAGCTTCAGATAGACTCATGCCTTAAGAAAAATTTATAGCTTTATTAGAAAAAGAGAAAGATGGAAAAAGAGCTAAGTATGTATGTCAATAAGATTCAAAAATAACAGAGGAAGTCTAAAAACATATAGAAATGGAAGTTAACTAAATAAAAATTAAACATCAACAAATAAAACCAACGAATCCAAAAATTAATTCTAGGAGAAGCTGCTAAAACTAATAAACCCATAGGAGACTCCAAGAAAAGTAGATAGAAGGCACAAATAAAGTCAGAAATTAAAAATCGGATGACACTACAGACCCTATTGAAGTTAGAAAGATCATAAAGGGATATTATGATTTTATGCCAATAAATTTAATTGATGCAAAACTATGGAACCAACCTAAATGCCCATCAACCAATGAATAGATAAAGAAAATGTGGTATATACATCATGGAATACTACTCAGCCATAAAAAGGAATAAAATAATGTGTTTTGCAGTAATTTGGATGGAGCTGGAGGCCAGCATTCTAAGTGAAGTAATTCAGGAATGTAAAATCGAATATCATATGTTCTCGCTTATAAGTGAGTGCTAAGCTATGAGGATGCAAAGGCATAACCATTATATAATGGACTTTGGAGACTTGGGCAGAAGGATGGGAAGGGATGAGAGATAAAAGACTACATATTGGGTACAATATACACTGCTCAGGTGACAGGTGCACCAAAATCCTAGAAATCACCACTAAAGAACTTATCCATGTAATGAAAAACCACCTCTGCCCCAAAAACTCTTGAAATAAAAAATAAAATTAAATTTTAAAAAATAGGCCGGGCGCGGTGGCTCACACCTGTAATCCCAGCACTTTGGGAGGCCGAGGTGGGCGGATCACGAGGTCAGGAGATCGAGACCATCCTGGTTAACACGGTGAAACCTCGTCTTTACTAAAAATACAAAAATTAGCCAGGCGTGATGGCAGGCGCTTGTAGTCCCAGCTACTCAGGAGGCTGAGGCAGGAAAATGGCATGAACCCAGGAGGCAGAGCTTGCAGTGAACCGAGATCGTGCCACTGCGCTCCAGCCTGGGTGACAGAGTGAGACACTGTCTCAGAAAAATAAATAAATAAATAATAAAATAAATAGAATAAATTTCATTGAAATGAACAAATTTCAGCAAAAACTAACATAAAAAGAGATGGAAATAGAAAATATGGATAGTCAAACATTCAATTACAGAAAATATTCATTTTCAAATGGAGCCTTTAGCCTAAATCATAGAGAAAAGACAAACTGGTGATCTCTGCGCTAACTCCTGTTATGGACATTTTTTATGACCCTAATTTTTTATTAGCTCTGAATGACTTTATACTAGCATATGTTCCTCACTTCACCACAGATTCCACCTTCTGTTTCACTGATTGAAGTTACCTTCTGATGCCCTTATATATTTAGGTTTGTAACCCCAGAAATAACTAAAAATCATTAAAATTGTTCTAATTTCAAATGGTTGCATAAAAAGAGATCTACCTAAGTAGGAGCTGAACGATAAGAATACATAGACACAGTGAGGGGAACATCACACACCAGGGCCTGTCAGGGGGTGCGGGGCTTAAAACCTAGATGATGGGTTGATAGGTGCAGCAAACCACCATGGCACATGTATACCTATGTAACAAACCTGCATGTTCTGCACATGTATCCCAGAACTTAAAGTAAAATAAAATTAAAATTTTTTAAAAAGAGAGATGTAGCTAATGCTGCTTTTTTAAACTTACCGAATTTAGACATTTACAAGTACCTCCAAGGGAATTTTCTCATTTGGGGGAAGTTTTGAGGTGTGACATAATTATTATATGTAACTGTACCCATTTGCATGTCAATAGACTCATTCCAGTTATGATACTTAGCCATAGTTAGCCAAACTGCAGTGATTAGAAGAAATAGTCTTCCAAGTTTTTTTTTGAGACGGAGTCTCGCTCTGTCACCCAGGCTGGAGTGCAGTGGCACTGTCTTGGCTCACTGCAAGCTCCACCTCTAGGGTTCATGCCATTCTCCTGCCTCAGCCTCCCGAGTAGCTGGGACTACAGGCACACACCACCACACCTGGCTAATTTTTTTTTTGTATTTTTAGTAGAGACAGGGTTTCACCATGTTAGCCAGGATGGTCTCGAACTCCTGACCTCGTGATCCCCCCCGCTCGGCCTCCCAAAGTGCTGAGATTACAGCTGTGAGCCACTGCGTGCAGCCTTCCCTTTATTTCTAACACCAACTATAAGTTTGGGAAATTCCAAAACTACCCTCAGTTTTTATAATTCCCCAGAAGGACTTAGAGAACTCATTGAAAGCTACTATATTCATGGTTATGGTTTACACGGAAAGGATACAAATTCAAAACAGCAAAATGAAGAGATACCTAAGGAAGAATCTGAGGGGGTTACAAACATGAAGTTTCCATTGTCAACTCCATGGAGTCAGGATGTGATACACTCCCAGTATTGATATGTGTCAATATGCAAGGAGTATTGCCAACCAGGGAAACATACCCAAGCCCCAGAGCTCAGAGTTTTTGTTGAAGCTTCATTACACAGGCATAATTGATCAACTGATTGCCCAAGTTGCTGAGTTCAGTCTCCATGTCAATTGATCCAAACCCCTACTATCAATCGTATGATTGGTCTTTCTGACATGGCCCACCCCTACCCTAACACTATGGGTATGGCTGGCCCTACTCTAAGATCTAGTGTGGCCACCTACCACTCTGAACAATTACACTCCTGTCAGGTATAACATAGAATACCTCCCAGAAGCTGAAGGCAAAGCCAGACCTCTCCTTAGTCAAGGCCAAATTCTTTACTACACAGTACTGACAAATAAATGATGGTCCTTAATTCAAACCCTCTGGAGTCAGATCTATCAACCCATTTATATATAGACAGGACCACTTGCAAAGGGGCCAGTTTCAACAAAGGGGCTATTAAAAAAAAAAAAAAGACAGAGAAACTAAAATGCAAAGTATTATCATCTTACTGTATTCGACAGGAGACCTTGCCTCATGATTCTTAATATTACATCCCTGAATAACTCACTTGAGATCCCAGCTGATTGGCTAAGGTAATGCCAACAAAACAAAAAGATTAAGACACACTGAAAACTCACTCTGCCTCTTCCTATTAACTGAAGTTTTAGTATTACTTTCCTTCCCCAGCAATGTATGTGGGGAACTGAAGAGATCTTCACTACAGAATAAGCAGCTTTATACCTTTGTTTTGTGTCTGACACCTTTCAGAAGAAAAAAATAATAATTTAACATGTCTCTTCTATTTAAGTTGCTTGACAACCAGACTACCCAACCACAAAGAGATCGTGGGCGTCATCGAAACAAGCCTTGGGGTTTTTTATTGTACTAGTCACATAATATCCTTCAATAAAGTGGTCATTTGCCTTTTAAACATCAAACTTAAAAATTCTTATTTGTCAGTGATTATATATTCTCTGGAAACACTATTATGAAATTCTCTGAACAGGAAGCACTCTTTGTGAATTTAAAATATGATTTACAAATGGGATTTTTAGGAGCATAACATAATACACAGTAAGATCCACCTTGCTGATTTGTTTAGCAGAATCTTTTTTTCATAAATGGTATAATGGTAACATTTAGCCCAGGCTGTGTTTGAATTATCACAGATTGTGAATTAATGGCATCTCTGTTTGGCATAGTATCTTATGCACAGCAAGTGCTAAATAAATATTTGTTGTATTGAATTGAATTTGTGCATGCTCTATTATACATTCATGTTAAAGCTCAAAGAACTTGAGATAAGAGGCTAATGGGCTGAAGGGTAAAATGAGTTCAATTGTTCAAATCCAGGAATCTACATGAAAAGATACTAATTCATCTGCCATGTGTTTTGTTGAGGAAAAGCACATTTGATCAGCACTGATAAGACAACAGAACAAATCACAGAGCCTGTGTCACTTTTTTTCCAAATCCACAGTAACATATATATTCATCTTGTCAGATTGCTATATAAATAGATGAGGTAAAACAACATGGCATTTGTTGTACTTCAATTACTTTCTTGTATAATGTCAAGAAGTAAAAGCTAACAAACCATAACTTTTCTTGACATTTCCTCCCTCAAGTGACCAATGATGGATTTGCCTTTAAAAAGCATTCATCATTTTAAAGAAGGGTAGAGACAGTAGATTTCTTTGTGTTATTTTTTTTTTCCATTTTTTAAGCCAGTGGTTAAATTGAAAAGCCCAGCTCTCCTGCAGACGGGAACCAAACCTGGTTGATAAGATTATATGTTTCTAATCCTGGGGGATGTTTGAAGTCATCCAAGTAGAGAGGGCATTTGCTGTCATAAATGGTCCAGAGATAGAACTGAATTCCCAGAGAGGCCAAGAGGCCACCGTCACCATCACAGCCCCCTCCTTCCCCCTGCCTTCAACCTACATTCCCATTAAACAGTGTACACTTTGCCAAGCAAACCTTTTTATGTGGCCAGATCTGACAGCCCAGCATGATTGTTAAGAACACTGGCATTTAAGTTTGAGGTGCATAGTTTCAAATACCATTTCTACCGTTTACCAGCTCTGTGACCTCGCTAAAATTACTTACGTTCTCTAAACCTGTTACGTCTTCTGTAAAATAGCGACAATAATATATTATTCACAGAATTATTGCAAATGATAAAATGAGATAGCATGTTTAAAGTGCTCACTGAAAAGGCTGCTCAAAAAAGAAAATGCCCCTATTAGCAAATACATTGTAAGCTTTATGAAGGCAGGAAAAATGCCAGGTCTAGTCACCATTTCTATCCTCAGAGCCTAGTACAGAATTTGGCCCATAGGTGCTCAGTATTTGCTGAATGGATGAATATATATATATTATTATAATGTTGATTTTTATCATTAGTGTCCTTGGATGCCAGGGATCGGTGTATTAAAATAATAATTACAGTTACCATTAACTGAGCGTTATTAAGTCTAGACACCTATGATTTCATATTTGTTAAATCATTTAATCATCACAACTACCCTAGGAGACAGGTGCTATTATTGTTACAATTATATAAATGAAGAAATTGAGGCACAGAGAGGTTACATAACTTGTCCAAGATTACAGAGTTAGTGTGAAGTGGAGCAGGGATGTAAGCCCAAGTGCAAAGCATTAAATTATACTCTGCTAGGAAGTAGAGTAAATCATTGTTCAAATAATAATGGTAATGTACTTCTTTTTGTGCATTAGAAGTGATAGTTATCTCAAGTTTTTCTTTTATTTAACATTCACAAAGACCCTGGGAGATAATCATAATTATCCTCATTTTCCACATAAGGAAAATGAGGCACAAGTTGGTTAAACAAACACCCAAGAGCTCAGGTTAGAATGTGGCCCTTCTAGGATTCAAACCCAGGCCTGTCTGATTACAAAGACATGCTTTTTGAACCCTGTGTTTTAGAACACAGTAGGATAGTTTGAGGATGAACCTTGAATTCCAGTTTTCTCAGATTTTCTATTGTGCTAGATATGGCTAAGATTGCCACCTGTTCACCAATATGTTTCCTTTTCTTCCTGGGCACACAGCTAGACTACATTTCCCAACATCCTTAGCAACTGAGTGTTGCCAGATGACTGATTTCTAGCCCATGAAACATGAGGGGAAGTGATGCATTTTGCTTCCAGGCTTGACCTCTAGATTCCTTCCACACTTGTTTCTCCTTGCTCCTTCCCTTTCTCTGCTGAATACAGAAGAGTATGACCAGGTTTTGGGGCAAGGGTCAGCAAACCATGTCCCAAGACCCAAATTCAACCTGTCACGTCTTTTTGTAAATTATGTTTTACTGGAACAAAGCTAGGCCATTAATTTATGTGTTGTCAATGACTGCTTTTATGGTACAATGGCAGCATTGAATAAAGGTGACAGAGACATTATAACCTGCAAAACCTACAGTAATTATGATCTGGTACTTTCTGCTGTAAAAAAAAAAAAAAAAAAAGTAACTTCAGCTCTAGGGGATGGCAGAGTCACAAGATGGAAGGAGCCTGGGTCCCTGAATAAACCTGCCAACATGAACCAGTCACTAAGTAAGAAATAAATTTCTATGATGAGTCATTATATTCCTGGGTCTCTTTATGAGAGCAGCTGTCCTACCATAACTTATTTGCAGGACATTCTAGTTACAGAAATAATTACTTCCTTCCACATTCAATAGGAATAACCTATTTGGTTTCCCAAAATGATCCAAATTGCTTCTCCATATCATGCAATTCTTATTTCTCACCACCACACTCAGTAATGCAGCCACTTTCCCCCTTTCAGAGAGTATAACACACAATCATCCCCATTGCACCCAGGAGAGACCTGCCAACAGCAACGTTCTATCTGGTATCCCAACTTATTGGGTTTTTTTGGTTTGTTTGGCTTTTTTTTTTAATTTGGGGTTTCAAAATTCCAAAGAGAAACAGAATCGCAGCACTTATCCAATAATTCTGTCTGTGTTGAGAAATAGGATTCTGGCAAGCATAGAAAAAAATATATTTTTATTAGTATGTCCAAATCTAGAATGCAATAAAATACAGACCTTTCAGAAGAGGAGGAAAAAAAAATCCTTAGTAAAGGGAAGGAAAGCCAAGAGCCGATTACTTACTGCTACAGAATCCAATATTGCAAAGCCCTTTTTTTCTTTTCCTATGCCACATTTTTAATGTCTCTGTGAGCTCAGTGTGCTGTGACTATCAATCACAGGAAACTACTGACATTGTGAAACTGCTTTTAAGATATACAGAGTTTTCAAAGCCAAAGTTGTCTGAAGAATAAAAATCTTCAGAGATCGTATATTTTCAAAAATATCTATTTGCACACCAAGCTGAGTAATGACCAGCTGTCCTTACTCTGCAACTGCTTGACAGAATGCATGAATATTGTTTTGTAGAAGACATTAAATACGGGAAACCAAAACTTTGTATGAGGATTGCCAGTTCTGCTATGGTCAATGCTATGGCCTGAATGTTTGTGCTCTCCCAAAATTTATATGTTGAAATCCTGACCACCAAGGCGATGGCATGAAGAGATGGGGTCTCTGGGAGGTAATTAGGTCATGAGGTCAGAGACCTCATCTATGGGATTAGAGCCCTTAAGAGAAGACACCCTGAGAGCTCATTCCCCGCTTCTGCCTGGTAAAGACACAGAGAGATGTTGGCCATCTGCAACCCAAAAGAAGGTTCTCACCAGAAATGACCATGCTGATATCCTGACCTTGGACTTCCAAGCTTCAGAACTGTGAGAAATACGTTTCTATTGTTTATAAATCGCCCAGTCTATGGTGATTTGTTATAGCAGCCCAAATGGACTAAGAAGTCAGTCTTTCTATCTGTGGGAAGCAGAGTCCATATTGATGCTGAGGCACTGAGAGTGGACAAATCAGAATCAAGTTAATTTGTGAGTAGACAGAGTCCTCCAAATTCTACTTGGATGCTCAGGAAATTTTGATGTTTGTCAGGCACATATGGACATAACTCCATATGTGGATATGATGCCAAGTCTGCTGATATGGACCAGAGCCTGTGGGAATTTGCATTCTCTTCTTGGTGGTCCAGGAAGACCACCTAGAAAAAATATATTCTGATCATCCAGGATTACCATCAATATTAATCATTGTTTCATTCAATAAATGTTGAGTTACTACTATATGCCAACCATCATTGTATACACTGGGAACATGATGGTGAATTAAACAGAATAAATTCTGTTCTTCACATGGATCACATTCCAGTCAGAAAATATAGAAAGTAAATAAATACATAGATAGATATATTATAGATACTGAAACAGAGTAATATTACACAGACCACAGCCTCTGACAACAATACAATAAAATTCAATAATGAAAAGAAAACCAGAGAAACTTTATCTGTTTGGAAATTTTGAATTTATAAATATTATAAATTCATGAATCCAGGAAGAAACTGCAAAGGAGAGTAGAAAACATTTAAAACTTATTGACAATGAAAAACACTACCTACCAGGACCTGCAGAGTGGGATTAAAGCAAATACATATATATATTATAATATAATGTGTATATATAATATACACACATATATATAAAATGTATAAAATTTAATGAACTAAGCATCCAACATACCCCAAAATGATATTAGGAATAAAAAGGAAGCCATAAATACAGATATAGCAACATTAGACATTAATAAGAATATGCTATAAAAATTAGGCCAATAAATTTGAAGATTTAAATGAAATGCGTAGGGCATGATGGCGCACACGTGGAATCCGAACACTTTGGGAAGTCGAGACAGGAGGATGGCTTAAAGCCAGGAGTTTGAGACCACCCTGAGCAACAAAGCGAGACTTTGTCTCTACAAAAACTTTAAATATTAGCCAGGTACAGTGGTGCACACCTGTAGTCTCAGCTATTCGGGAGGCTGAGGCAGGAGAATCACTTGAGCCCAAGATTTAGAGGCTGCAGTGAGCTATGATTGCACCATTGCACTATAGGCTCAGCAAGACAGTGAGATCCTGTCTCTAAAAAAGAAAAAAAGAAAAGAAAACTTAAATGGACAAACTGCTAGAAAAATATAACTTGCCAAAAGCAAGTCAAGAAGAAAAAAATAAAATCAAGTAGATTAATGACATTAAAGAAATTGAATAAGTAGCTAAAACATACCCACAGAAAGAAAAACGTTAGACGGTTTTGCAGATGAATGCTACCCAACTTCTGAAACTTATCATACCTTTCTTATATAAATTTTAGGGACTGCAATAATAGTAATAATAGCTAAAACTAAAAGGTTGGTTGCTATGTTATGAAGACTGTTCTAATTGTTTTACTTATTTTAACTGTTTAATCCTCAAAATATACGTTTGATGTTGGTATTTTCGTTTTCCTCATTTTCAAATTAAGAAACTGAGGCGGGGGAATTCATGTGGAGGTCAACGTGGAAGCAGGTGTGAGGGGGTCCAGCAGAAGAAAACATGGCTGCCAAAGTGTTTGAGTTCATCAGCAAGTTTGGCCTGGCCTTAGCTGTTGCAGGAGGCCTGGTGAAATGAACTCTGCCTTATAGAATGTGGATGCTGGGCACAGAGCTGTCATCTTTGACCTATTCCGTGGAGTACAGGACATTGTGGTAGGGGAAAGGACTCACTTTCTCATTCCATGGGTACAGAAACCAATTATCTTTGACTGCCCTTCTCGACCACGTAATGTGCCAGCCATCACTGGTAGCAAAGATTTACAGAATGTCAACATCACACTGCTCATCCTCTTCTGGCCTGTCACTAGCCAGTTTCCTTGCATCTTCACCAGCATCAGAGAGGACTATGATGAGCAGGTGCTGCCATCCGTCACGACCAAGATCCTCAAGTCCGTGGTGGCTAGCTTTGATGCTGGAGAACTAATCACCCAGAGAGAGCTGGTCTCCAGGTAGGTGAGCAATGACCTTACTTACAGAGCGAGCAGCCACCTTTGGGCTCATCCTGGATGACGTGTCCTTGACACATCTGACCTTCGGGAAGGAGTTCACAGAAGCGGTGGAAGCCAAACAGGTAGCTCAGCAGGAAGCAGAGGGCCAGATTTGTGGTGGAAAAGGCTGAGCAGCAGAAAAAGGTGGCCATCATCTCTGCTGAGGGCTACTCCAAGGCAGCTGAGCTGATTGCCAACTCACTGGCCACCGCAAGGGACCGCCTGATGGAGCTCTGCAAGCTGGAAGCTGCGGAGGACATCGCGTACCAGCTCTCACGCTCTCGGAACATCACCTATCCGCCGGCTGGGCAGTCCGTGCTCCTCCAGCTGCCCCAGTGAGGGCCCATCCTGCCTGCACCGCCGTGGGCTGACTGGGGCACAGCTCCGATGATTCTTAACACCGCCTTCCTTCCGCCCCCACCCCAGAAATCACGTGAAATTCCATGACTGGCTTAAAGTGAAGGAAATAAGGGTAAAATCACTTCAGATCGCTAATTAGTCTATCAAATGAAACTCATTCTTCTCACATCCATCTACTTTTTTACCCACCTCCCTACCAAAAATTGCCAAGTGCCCATGCAAACTGGCTTTATGTCCCAATTCGAGGCCTGCTGGAGCTCTGGCCTGGGCACCAGCGTTTAGCAGCATGCAGGCGGGGCAGTGTGTGATGGACTGGGCAGCACAGGTGTCCGCCTGGGTCCACGTGTGACCTCCGTCCTGCCGCTGATGGAAGATTTGCGGATGAGGACACATGCGGCTCAACTGAGAAGGCAGGCCTCCGTCTTCTCAGCTGTTCCTGCGCAGATGCAGCTGAAGAGAGGTGCCGGGGAGGGGCAGAGAGGACTTGGTCCGTCTCTTACCATAAGGCTGATTCTCTTTAACTGTGCGACCAACGGAAGCAGGTGTGTGTGAACTGGGCACAGATTGAAGAATCTGCCCCTGTTGAGGTGGGTGGGCCTGATTGTTGCCCCCAGGGTCCTAAAACTTGGATGGACTTGGATAGTGAGAGAGGAGGCCTGGATCCAGATATGAGTCCTGTGGAAGACTTCCTCTCTACCCCCTACCCTGGTCCCTCTCAAATACCCACTGGAATTCCAACTTGAAGGATTGCATCCTGCTGGGGCTGAACGTGCCTGCCAAAGATGTGTCCCACCTGAAGTTTCCCTGGTTCACAGACTGCCCTTCTTAAGGGCTCTGTGCCTGTGCTGGGAAGGAAACAACCATGGGAAGGAAACAAATGTGTATAAACTGCTGTCAATAAATGACACCCAGACCTCCTGGCTCAAAAAAAAAAAAAAAAAGAAAAAGAAAAAGCAAAGAAACTGAGGCAAAAGGTTTAGTTGCTATAAGTAGCTAAAATAGAAAAGAAAAAGAGAAAAAGCATCATTTCACAAGACTAGCAGTTAGAACTCTGACATGAAAACCAGACAAAGACAATACAAGAAAAGAAAATTATAGCTCAAACTCATTTACAAAAGCATTAAAATTCTTTTTTTTTTTTTTTTTTTGAGACAGTCTCACTCTGTCACCCAGACTGGAGTGCAGTGGCGCAATCTTGGCACACTGCAACCTCTGTCTCCCAGGTTCAAGCGAATCCTGTGCCTCAGCCACCCAAGTAGCTGGACCACAGGCACGTGCTACCATACCTGGCTAATTTTTGTATTTTTAGTAGAGCTGGGGTTTCACCATATTGGCCAGGCTGGTCTCAAACTCCTGGCCTCAAGTGATCTGCCTGCCTCAGCCTCCCAAAGTGCTGAGATTACAGGCGTGAGCCACCACATCCAGCCACAAAAATTCTAAATAAGACATTAAACCAAATCCAGAAATGCATAAAATATTTATTCATATTATGATCAAATAGGACTTATCCCAAGAATGCAAGTTTGGTTTAACATTTTAAAAATCCACTAGCATAATCCATCACATTAACAGACCAAAATATATGATAATCTCAATAAATGCAGAAAGGAAAGAACTTTTAGCAAACTTGAAATATTAAATAGAAAGAAAACTTCCTTAAATTGTAAGACATCTGTCAAAACCCTACAGTGAACATCATATCTAAGGCTAAGACATAATACACATATGGTCTCCTTAAAAGAAGCAACAAAGGTGGCTGTTATCCCCTTACACTTAGTATTGTACTGAAGGTCCTAGCCAGCATAATATAAAAGGGAAAAAATGTTTTTTTTTTAAATATAAGGAACAAGAGAATGGGAAGGCAAGCCACACACTGTGATAAAATATTTGCAAAAGCCATGTCTGATTTTTAAAAACGTCATGCAAAACATGCAAAGAGCCCTTGAAACTCAACATTAAGAAAATGAACCACCAATTAAAACATGGCAAAAGAGCTGTACAGACACCTTACCAAAGAAGATATACAGACGGCAAGTAAGCATATGAAGAGATGCTCCACATCATACGTCATTAGGGCAATGCAAATTAAAAGAACCATGTGATGCCACTATACACCAAAATCTAAAAGACTGACAACACCAAACACTGGCCAGGATGTGAAGCAACAGGAACTCTCATTCACTGCTGGTGGGAATGCATGATGATGCCACCACTTTAAGAGACAGCTTGGCAATTTTTTATAAAACTAAATATGCTGTTACCATATGATCCACCAATTGCACTCACTGGTATTTACACAAATGATTTGAAAATGTAAGTCCACACAAAAATCAACACACAGATGTTAATAGCACCTTTATTCATAATTGCCAAAACTTAGAAGCAACCAAGATGTCCTTCAGTCGGTGAATGGATAAATAAACTAGCATATCCAGATAAAGGAATATTATTCTATGCTCAGAAGAAATGAGCTATCAAGCCACAAAGAGACATAGAAGAACCTTGAATTATATTTCTAAGTCAAAGAAGTCAATGTGAAAAGCCACACACTGTATGAGTCCAACTATATAAAAGGCATAACTATGAAGACAGTAGAAAGATCAGTTGTTGCCAGGGGTTAGGGAGGAGGGAGGGATGAATAGGCACAGCACAGAGGATTTTTTAGGGCAGTGAAACTATTCAGTATGATACTATAATGGTGGATACATGTCATTAATCATGTATCTAAACCCATAGAGTGTCCACCACCAAGATTGAACAGTAATGTAAACTATATAGACTATGAGTGATAATGATGTGTCAGTGTTAAGTCCACAGATTGTAAGAAATGTACCCCTCTGGTGGGAGATGTTGATTAGTGAGTGATATAGTTTGGCTGTGTCCCCACCCAAATCTCATCTTGAATTGTAGTTCCCATAATGCTCACATGTGGGAAGAACCTAGTGGGATGTAATTTAATCATAGGGGCAGTTATCTTCATGCTGTTCTCGTGATAGTGAGTGAGTTCTTACAAGGTCTGATGGTTTATAAGGGGCTTTCCTGGTTTTTGCTCAGCATTTCTCCTTGCTACTGCCATGTGAAGAAGGATGTGTTTGCTTCCCCTTCTGCCATGATTGTAAGTTTCCTGAGGCCTCCCCAGCCATGCTGAACTTTGAGTCAATTAAACCTGTTTCTTTTATAGATTACCCAGTCTTTATTAGCAGTGTGAGAACAGACTAACACAGTGAGGGAGGCTGTGTGTGTGTGGGAGCAGGTGAAGTACAGGAATTCTGGACTTTCCACTTGGCTTATCTGTGAACCTAAAACTTCTCTAAAAAATAAGGTTCATTTAAAATATGTATATATATGTATGTATGTATATGAGATTAACAAACAAACTCATTGTTCATAGACAATATGATTATCAAGGTAAAAAATCCCAAGAGAATACACAAATTATTGGAACCGTTAAGAAAGTTCAATAAAAATATTTGATACAAGGTCAATATTCAAACATAAATAACATTCTTATTATAAGATACAAGAAATCTATGTAACCAATAAGTGATTAATATCAAGACTATTGACCAGGCGTGGTAGCTCACGCCTGTAATCCCAACACTTTGGGAGGCCGAGGCAGGCGGATCATTTGAGGTCAGGAATTTGAGACCAGCCTGGCCAACATGGTGAAACCCCATCTCTACTAAAAAATACAGAAATTAGCTGAGTGTAGAGTCAGGCGCCTGTAATCCTAGCTACTCAGGAGGCTGAGGCATGAGAATCACTTGAACCTGGGAGGCTGGGGTTGCAGTGAGCCAAGATCGTGCCACTGGCACTCCAGCCTGGACAACAGAGTGAGACTCAGTCTCAAAAATAAACAAAAAAAGACTATATATTGATTTATATAAAGACTATATAAATCAACAAGAATACAACCCAATAGAAATTGTCACAGTATATGAATAGGCAATTCAGAAAGAAACTTAAATGACCACGTCTCATTATTAATCAGGCAAATGAAAATTAAAAATAAAATGAAATATTTTCACATGCATCAGAATGAAAAAAATCTAATATCATATGTTGGCAAGGATATGCAGAACTAGAAAATCTCATGCAGGGAGTCGATTGATAGATTTTTGAAAGTAATAATTGTTAAAAACCAGAAATTTTGCATCGAGGTGTTTACCTTAGAGAAACTCTTGCACAGGTGCAAGGATATAGTTTACAGTATGTACTACAATTATTGCCTGACATATCAATCTTCTCTACATCATGATATGAAATGGATAACCCAGGCTTTCCTTGCCTTCCAAGAAAATGTTCTGTGTTTCAGTTGCTTCAATTATTAGTTTTCCTTGTAGTAGGATTAAATCTTTCCAAAATTGATGCCCGGGTTCTTTCTGCCTTCTCTCTTCCATAGGCCTTCTCCCTTTTCTGCAGGGCTGTTATTTGAAATTACCTAATACAAGCAACCAATATTGAGATGCTAAGTGCTAATTGGATAAGGTGTACTCATGTGCATACGGATAGAGGCTGTATTCAATACAGGGAGTTTCAACCCAGACTGCACATTAGAATATAAGTAGAGAGTTATAGATATTGTTGTTGTTGTTGTTTTTTAAGTAACACTGATGTTCAGGCCCCAGTACCAAGATTTTGATCTAGTTGGTCTAATTGGGATACTCTGGAGCTGGGGTATTTATATTTTTTTAAACTATCCAAGTGCTTTTAGTGCTCACCAGAGTTTAAAAACCACTTGCCTGGACTGCAAGGCCTGAGATGCAGATACAAAACAGTACAATGTTAGGAACAGGACCTGGGAGGGCCTAGGCAGATGCAAAGACTTATAAAATAGTGTGTCTTTTCCTCAGCAATAAGCAGCCTTGCCATCTGGCTTAGCAGAGAGTGAGCATAGCCACATGTTACCAAACATGAATTTAATACTTTTCAAAGAACTGGTATATATTTAACAGGAAAATACTACCGAACAATATTTAACCTTTGATCTAAAAATTCCTTTGAAGGATTTCACAAATCATCAGCCTTGGGGTATTAAAACAATCAGAGGTTATTAACAAAGATCAGTTTTAGTGCTTTCGTATCTACTGGATTTAAGAAATCCGTAAACCTGAGAGTGATTAGGATAGCCACTAACAAACTTGGTTTATAAAGTACTGAAATCCTACTTAGGAAAAGCACAGTTGTGCTTCTGGGAAGTTGTGTCCACTTGGGAAAAGCCCATCTTCCTATTCTGCAAAGGAATGTGAAGGTGTTTATGTTGAAATGATACCAACATTTATTTATTGAGATAGAAAAATCTTAATAATACTTTAAGTTTTTTTTTTAAAAAAAGCACATTACAATTACATGTGCACTATGATCTCATTTTTAAGAATATTTTATTGATGTTTGTATATTCATCAAAATTGAACAGTAGTTATTTTTTATTTTTTCATACAATAAGCAAACTTGTATTACTTATACTTTAAAAGATAATTTTCAAAAACAGGTAAATCAAGCTGTCATATAGATATAAAAATGAACCTGTGTTAAAGAGTTTATTTTACTCATACTGAGGGAAATAGAGAGATGTTACATCCAAAGAAAAGGTTAAAAAAAAAAAGGCACACATTTATGGAGAAAATAAATGTTCAAAAAAATGAGCAGATGGAGGAAAAACTGATTTTTCCATAATGGGAGAAGAAAACCAATTAAACCTACTAGATAGAACAGAATTTGCATGTGTGTCATTACCTACAACTTACAGATTTAGAAAATAGAGCTAAGATAATAAAAGATTAAAATCATATAATGACATATTTTTGTACGTGTAATAAATTATTTTTAAGAAAACAGTCACAAAAATAACAGCTTCAGGACAGGCTTAGATCCATGTTCCAAGGCTGCCACTTTCTAGTGGGTGAGTTCCTAAATTTTTCTTTGCTGTTGCCTCAGTTTCCTGATCTGTAAAATAGGGTAATAATCCCTACCATACAATCTTACTCTGAGGATTCAATGTAAAGTGCTTACTGGTCTGGCACACTGTGAGTTCTCAATATGCTGATGGTATAATCTAGTGAAGTACAATGCCTGGCACATAATGGGTCCTCCATCAAAACTGAATGGATGAATGAAGGAATGAAAATATGGATTCAGCTATTGCTTCCATGATGGCGCTGGAAGGCTTCAGTGCTGTCACCATCATGGCACCAGTCTCACCATGGCTTGAGTCCCAGACTGCACCACAGCCCCTCAGAAGACATGGGTCCCCAGATTATCTTTAGTGCCAGAGCTCTGGCCACAGGCAGCTCCCCAGTAGTGGAATAATAGAACCTCCATATGAACTCTTTATGGGAAACTTTGCTAATTTGTAGCAGCTGGACAGTATTCCTCATTAACATCTGTCTGTCAGCATACATGTCACATCATTTTACTATAGCGGCAGAAACTCAGCTTCAAATTCAATACAGAAAAAAACACCTGGATCTCAGTCTTTCAATGGCTTTAAGGCGACCAGAAGTGCCTGTTCCCGAGTAGACCTCTGGGCAGGATGTCCCTGCCCTTTGGGACATACACTGGGCTTTCAGCTATGATGATGACTTCAAGGATTCTACACCCATGACTCCTCCTCCATCGGACATGGGCAGCATCCTCTGGAAGTCAGTGATTCCAGATCACAAGTATCAGCACCTTACCAAGGTAGAGGACCCACCCATGACACTATCACCGGCCATTGACAGTACAGAGAAGGTCCTGCTAGTGAAAACTAAAGCTACCCATTCATCAGAAATTATTTGATCACAAAACAGACACAGAAGAGCACTTAACATTTTGAGCAATAGGCAGGGCTACATACCCTCCAAGAGACTTACCCTCAAGAAGACCAAGCACCTTTGAGTGACAGAAGCGCTTCATGAACTAAAGCTATGGAGTGGGGAGATAACAAAAGAAAAGAAGCTCAGTGTATCAGCCCAGTCCATCCAAGCAGCAATCCCCACTCATCCCCTAAGCAGAAGCCCAGAGGCCAGTCCACTGTGGTTCTTTCACATCTTTACCTGGCCCAGATCCAGCACCATGTATTCTGAAAGTGGAGGTGAGGACAGAAACAGATCATATAAATGCAGCATCCTTGGACCAAGATCCCCAGAAGTATGATCTGGGAGGTTTTGCCAGCCAGGGCTACAGAGGAGCCCAGAAGCCCCCTCTAATAGAACTGATCCATGTCCAGATCACCTAAATAGCTGAAGATTAAGAAACCTTCAAGCTACCCAAGATAAACATCTCAGTGATGGAAGAGAAGAAATAACCACCAAGGACCCATAACCTCAAACCCTCTGACTTGAGTATACTCACATCCACTGCTTTCTAGAGCTCTTTCTATTCAAGTAGTTCCAGATAGAGGGTGTCTTGTATTCCACCCCTTTTACCCTGGATCTGATGTAGAAAAGTTATATTTTTTTCTTAAAACCTCTTAAACTGAGGCTAAAGCTGGAGACATCACTAATTTTTTATAAACAGTACAAAGCTTGTCCTTATTGTGTGGAAGAATCATTTAAAAGACAAATGCATAAAAATAACTATAAATATGTTAATGGGTACACAATATTTGAAGGTATAATTTGGGACATTAATGGCATAAAAGGGTAGTAAAGCTATAAAGGAATAGAGTGCTTGTATGTGATTTAAGTTAAATTAGTAGTAGATTATCATAACTTTAGAATGTTATATAAGACATACAGAAAACAAATAGCAAAATGGCAAAAGTAAGTGTTTCCCTATCAGTAATTACTTCAAATGTAAATGAATTAAACTCCCCAGTCAAAAGACATAGATTGGAAGAAGAGGTGGGAAGTAGGATCCAACTGTATGCTGTCTATAAGAGATGCACTAAGGACAAAGATAGTTTGAAAGTGAAAGGCTGGAAAAAGATATTCCATAAAAATGGAGGTCAAAAGAGAGCAGGAGTAGCTATACTAATATCAGACAAAATATACTTTGAGTAAAAGCTGTTACAAGTGACAAATAAGAACTTTATATGATAATAAAATGGTCAATCCATAAGGAAGATACAACAATAAAAAACATATATGCACCAAACACCAGTGCTTCAAAATATATGAAGGTAACATTGACAAAATTGAAGGGAGAAATAGACAGCTCTACAATAATAGTAACAGATTTTAACATCCCACTTTCAAAAATGAATAAAGCAACCAGACAGAAGATCAATAAGAAAATGAAAGACTGAAACAACACTTTTGACCAAGTGGTCCTAATAGACATGTAGAGATCACTCCACCTAACAACAGCTGAATACACACTTTTTTAAATAAACATGGATCATTTTCAGAATACCGCATATATTAGCCTGCAACACAAGTCTTAATAAACTTCAGAAGATTGAAATTATACAAAGAATCTTCTGATCACAACAAAATGAAACTAGAAACCAACAGCAGAAGGAAAACTAGAAAAGTCACAAATATGTGGAAATTAAACAACACACTCTTAACCAATGAGTTAAAAAATAAAAAGAGAAATTAGAAAATACCTAAGATGAATGACAATGAAAACACAGCATAACAAAATTTATGGGATGCAGTGAGGGCAGTGCTAACAGGGTAAGTTACAGTTGTAAACACATTTAAAAAAAGAAGAACAATCTCAAATTAACAACCTAGGATGAGTGTGGTGGCTCACATCTGTAATCCTAGCACTTTGGGAGGCCAAGGTGGAAGGATCACATGAGGCCAGTAGTTTGATACCAGCCTGGGAAACATAGTGAGACCATATCTCCAGAAAAAATAAAAATAAAAAATTAGGTAGGCATGGTGGCATGCACCTGCAGTCCTAGCTACTCAGGTGACTGAGCAAGAGGATTGCTTGAATCAAGAAGTTCAAGGCTGCAGTGAGCTAGGGTCATGACACTGCACTCTAGCCTAGCAAGACCCTATTTCTAAATAAATAAATAAGAAAATGACCTAATTTACACTTTAAGAAACTAGAAAAAAAGGGAAAAAACACAAAGCTAGAAGAAAATAAATAATAAAGATTAGGCCAGACATGGTGGCTCACATCTGTCATCCCAGTACTTTGGGAGGCCAAGGCAGGCTGATTACCTGAGCTCAGAAGATCGAGATCAGCCTAGGTAACATGGCCAAACCCTGTCTCTACAAAAAAAAAATTATCCAGGTGTGGTGCCACATGCCTGTAGTTGCAGCTAATTGGGGGACTGAGGCAGGAGCATTGCTTGAACTCAGGAGGTAGGGATTGAAGTGAGCCAAGATTGTGCCACTGCACTCCAACTTGGGTGACAAAGTGAGACCCTGCCTCAAAAAAAAAAAAAAAAAGAAAGAAATAATAAAGATTAGAGCACAGATAAATAAGATAGAGAATAATAAAGCAACAGAGAAAATAAATAAAACCAAAAAATAGAATTTTGAAAAGATCAATAAAATTGACAAACCTATAGATAAATTGACTAAGAAAAAAGAGAGAAGACTCAAATAAATAAACAAAATGAGATATGCAAGAGGAGCCATTACTACCTATCTTAGAGAAATAAAAAGGAGTATAATAGTATTAAGAGCAATTTTACAACACCAATCTGGATAACATAAATGAAATGGACAAATTCCTGGAACACACAACCTACAAAGACTAAATCATGAAGAAATAGAAAATCTGGATACATCCATAATTAGTAAGGAAATTGAATCATTAGTCAAAAACCTCCCAATAAAGGAAAGCCTAGTACCCAGAAGGTGTCTTCACTGGTGAATTCTACCAAACATTTAAAAAAGAATTAACGCTAATCCTGCTCAAACTCTTCCAAAAATATGAGACGGAGGAACACTCTAACTCAATCTATGATGACAGCATTATCCTGATATCAAACCAGACTCTACAAGAAAACTATAAAACACTATCCCTTATAAATATTGATTCAGAAGTCTTCAATAAAATACTAGAAAGCCAAATTCAAGAGCATATTAAAAAGATTAAACACCATGACCAAATGGTTAGGCAAGGATGTTTCATCATATGAAAATCAATCAGTATAATACACCACATTGAGAGAATGAAGAGAAACAAACATATAATTATCTCAATTGATGTAGAAATAACACAAATTGACAAATTGTGTTGACAAATTCAACACGCTTTTATGATAAAATGCTCAACAAACTAGGATTAGAAGGAAACATCCTCAACATTATAAAGGTCAAATATGAAAAACTCACAAACAGCAATATACTCACTGGTGTAAGACTAACAGCTTTTCCTCTAAGATCAGGAACAAGACAAGGAGGCCCACTATCACAGCTTCTATTAAGCATAGTAGTGAAAATCCTAGCCAGAGGAATTAGGCAAAAAAGAAATAAAAAATATCCAAAATGAAAAGAAAGAAATAAAATTTTCTCTGTTTACAAACAACATGATCTTATATGTGGGAAACCCTAAAGTTTCCTTTTTTTAAAAAAAAAACTTCAAGTTCTGGGATATATGTGCAGAACGTACAGATTTGTTACATAGATATACATGTGCCATGGTGGTTTGCTGCACCTATCAACCCATCATCTAGGTTTTAAGCCCTGCATGCATTAGATATTTGTCCTAATGCTCTCCCTTCCCTTGTTCCCCAGCCCCCAACAGGTTCTGGTGTGTGATGTTCCTCTCCCATGTGTTCTCATTGTTCAAATCCCACTTATGAATGAGAACATGCGGTGTTTGGTTTTCCGTTTCTTGCTGGGAATAATGGCTTCTATCTTCATCCATGTCCCTGCAAAGGACATGAACTCATTCTTTTTTATGGCTGCATAGTATTCCATGGTGTATATGTGCCACATTTTCTTTATCCAGTCTATCATTGATGGGCATTTGGGTTGGTTCCAACTCTTTGCTATTGTAAATAGTGCTGCAATAAACATACGCGTGCATGCCTTTATAATAGAATGATTTATAATCCTTTGGGTATATACCTAGTAATGAGATTGCTGGGTCAAATGGTATTTCTGGTTCTAGATTCTTGAGGAATCGCCAAACTGTCTTTCACAATGGTTGAACTAATTTACACTCCCATCAACAGTGTAAAAGTGTTCTTATTTTTCCACAGCATCTGTAGTTCCCTGACTTTTTAATAATCGCCCTTCTAACTGGCGTGAGATGGTATCTCATAGTGGTTTTTATTTGCATTTCTCTAATGACCAGTGATGAGCTTTTTTTCATATGTTTGTTGGCTGAATAAATGTCTTATTTTGAGAAGTATCTGTTCATATCCTTCGCCCACTTAGTGAACAGGCAACCTACAGAATGGGAGAAAATTTTTGCAATCTACCCATCTGACAAAGGTCTAATATCCAGAATCTACAAGGAACTTAAACAAATTTAAAGTTTCCACTTAAAAAAAAAAAAAAGCCGGGTGTATTGGTTCATTCCAGCAACTCAGGAGGCTGAGGCACAAGGATAACTTAAGACCAGGAGTTCAAGACCAACCTGGGCAACATAGCAAGGCCAGGCACAGTGGCTCACGCCTGTAATCCCAGTATTCTGGGAGGCCAAGGACAGTGGATCACCTGAGGTCAGGAGTTTAAGACCAGCCTGGTCAACATGGTGAAACCCCATCTCTACAAAAAATACAAAAAGTAGTCAGGCGTGGTGGTGCATGCCTATAATCCCAGCTACTCAGGAGAATTGCTTGAACCCAGGAGGCAGAGGTTGTGGTGAGCTGGGGTCACGCCACTGCACTCAGCCTGGGCAACAGAGTGAGACTCCGTCAAAAAAAAAAAAAAATTCAGCAAAGTTCCAGAATACAAAATCAACGTGCAAAAAGCACTTATGTTTCTACACCACTAATAACGAGCAATCTGAAAAAGGAAACTAGTAAAACAATTCTATTTACAATAGGAGCAAAAAGAATAGAATAAGAAATAAACTTAGCTGAGGAGGCAAAAGACTTGAACGGTGCTGTAAAACATTTCTGAAGAAAGCTAAAGAAGGCACAAACATTTCTGTCTTTAACTTCTTTCAGCAATGTTTTGCCCAGAAATAAACTTTCATATATATGGTCAAATTATCTTCGACAGGGGTGCTAAGACCATTCAATGGGGAAAGAACAGTCTTTTCTTTTTTATATACAATTTTAACTTTTATTTTAGGTTCATGGGGTACACGTGCAGGTTTGTTACATGGGTATATTGTGTGACACTGAAGTTTGGGGTGCAAATGATCCCATCACCCAGGTAGTGAGCATAGTACCCAATAGGTCGTTTTTCAGCCCTTGTCCCCATGTTACAGTCCTTCTCTTATGATCCCCAGTGTCTCCTTCTCTTATAGTCCCCAATGTCTATTGTTCCCATCTTTATAGTCATGTGTGCCCAATGCTTAGCTCCTACTTATAAATGAGAACACACAGTATTTGGTTTTCCAGAACAGTCTTTTCAACAAATGATTTTGGAAACATCCACATGAAAAAAAAATGAAGTTAGACCCTGACTTTATACAATATACAAAAGTTACCTCAAAATGGATGAAAGCTCCAATTGTAAGAATTAAAGCTTTTAGAAGAAAACATAGGAAAAAGCTTCATTGCATTGGCATTGGCAAGTATTTCTCAGGTATGACACAAAAACTACAAGTAACAAAAGAAAAAAGAGAAAAGTTGGACTTCACTTAAATTAAAAACTTTGTGTGTCAAAGGGCACTATCAACAGAGTGCAAAGGCAATTCATAGAAGGGGAGAAAATATTTGCAAATCACATATCTGTAAGTGATTGATATCCAGAATATCTAAGAACACCTACAACTCAACAACAAAAAATCAACCCAATTAAAAAATGGGCAAAGTACTTGAATAAATATTTCTCCAAAGAAGATATACAAATAGCCAGCAAGCACATGAAAAGCTGCTCAACATCACAAGTCATTAGAGAAATGCAAATCAAAACCATAATAGGATACCATTTCAACTCATTGGATAGCTATCATAAAAAAAATTTTAATGGAAAATAATTAGTGTTGACAGGCATGTGGAAAAATGGAAGCCTTTGTGCATTGCTGGTGGAAAGCAAAATGGTGCAGCCACTGTGGAAAACAGCATGGTGGTTCCTCGAAAAAAGTAAACATAGAATTATCATATGATCCAGCAATCCCACTTCTAATATATAACCGAAAGAATTGAAACAGGGATATGAACAGATATTTGTATGCCCATGTTCATAGCAGCAGTATTTACTACAGCCAAAAGGTGAAAGCAACCCGAGAATTCATAGACAGATGAATGAATAAACAAAATGTGGTGTATACACACTACGAAATGTTACTCAGCCTTACAAAGGAAGAAAATTCTGACACATGCTACAACATGAACCTTGTTAAGTGAAATAAGCCAGTAACAAAAGGATAAAGATCGTAAATGTTTACTTATATGTGGTTCCTAGCGTAGTCAAATTCTTAAAGACAGAAAGTAGAATGGAGGTTGCCAGGGGCTGGAGAAAGGAAAGTAGAGTTATTGCTTCATGGTTACAGAGTTTCAGAAGGGAAGGATGAATTCTGGAGATAGATGGGGATGATGATTGCATAACATGGGATTGTACATGCCACAAAATGTCACAAAACTCTACATTTAAAATGGTGAAAATGATAAATTTTAGGTTATGTGTAATTTGCTACAATAAAAAAGTATTTATTGATTACATTCTTTTTTGAAACATTTTCAACATTGTACCCAGATTTTTACTTCCCGATCACAGTGACCATTCCCATATTTTGCTCACTGCATCTCCTCTTGAGTTAGATTCTGTTTAATTTGCACTCTATTGGTATTTCTTTTTTTATTTTTAATTTTTGTGGATACATAGTAGGTGTATATATTCATGGGGTATATGAGATATTTTGATACAGACATACAATGCATAATAATCACATCAAGGTAAATGGCATATCCGCCCCATCAAGCATTCACCCTTTGTGTTACAAACAATCCAATTGCACTCTTTTAGTTATTTTAAAATGTACAGTAAATTATTCTTGACTGTAGTCACCCTGTTGTGCTGTCAAATACTAGATCTCATTCATTCTATCTAACTATATTTTGTACCCACTAACCATCTCCCCAATCCCGAACCCAATACCCTTCCCAGCCTCTGTTAGCCATCCTTCTACTCTCTATCTCTGTGAATTCAAATGTTTTAAATTTTAGCCCCCACAAGTAAGTGAGAATATGTGAAATTTGTCTTTCTCTGCATGGCTTATTTCACTTAACATAATGACCTCTAGTTCCATCCATGTTGTCGCAAATGATACGATCTCATTCTTTTTGACAACTGAATAGTACTCTATTGTGTATATGTACCACATTTCTTTATCCATTCCTCTATTGATGGACACTTAGGTTGTTTCTAATTCTTGGCAATTGTGAATAGTGCTGCAAACATGGGAGTGCAGATATTCCTTTGATGTATGGATTTCCTTTCTTTTGGGTATATATTAGCAGTGGAATTGCTGGATCATATGGTAGTTCTATTTTTAGCTTTTTGGGAATCTCCAAACTGTTCTCTGCAGTGATTATACTAATTTACATTCCCACCAACAGTGTATGAGGGTTCCCTTTCCTCCACATCTTTGCCAGCATTTGTTATTGCCTGCCTTTTGGATAAAAGCCATTTCGACTGGGGTAAGATGATATCTCATTGTAGTTTTCATTTGCTTTTTTCTGATGATCAGTGATGTTGAGCACCTTTTCATATACCTGATTGCCATTTGTATGTCTTCTTTTGAGAAATGTCTGTTCAGATCTTTGGACCATTTTTAATGAGATTATTAGATTTGTTTATGGAATTGTTTAAAGCTCCTTGTATATTCTGGCTATTAATGTCCTGTTGAATGGATAGTTTCCAAATATTTTCTCCCACTCTGTGGGTCGTCTCTTCATTTTGTTGATTGTGTCCTTTGTTGTGCAGAATCTATGTAATAGATAAGTATTTCTTAAATAGAGGTCTATGGATTCCTGAAGGGGGCTGTAGATATACTCAGCCCTCACATATCCCTATGATATTTTAAGTTGTGTTTTATAAGTATTTGTAAATAGTAAGCATTTTACATCTGACTTACCTGGATATCCACTTTTGACCCAATTCTCCCCACAGAATTTCTGTGCCTGAGCTGATGTTTGGGCACTGTTAGTAGTGATCTATCAAAGAAAGAATAAAGGCAGACTGCTTCACTAAAAGACGCTTTCAACATGAAGGCCAGTGGGGACATGGCAAGCTGTGAGGTGAAAGTTCCACAGTAGTTAGGACGGAGACATGTTGTGTGGGAACCAAGTCATTACTCAGCCCCCACGAATGAAAGAACCCCAATCTGAAAAAAAAAACTAGAGCATGGCAGTGTGGCCCAGATTCATTCTGTATGTTACAGTGTGGTTTCTGCAAAACTATTTTCTATCATCTTAAATTAACATTGTTAATTACATGCCTTAATTCATAGCTTTTTTTAAATGTGAAAATCTATTTTGGGTTTATATGAATGAAAGCCATAAACTTAAGGAGTCTATAAAACAATGTAATATTTATATTTGTTTATACTTATCTAGGTAATGTTATAATAAAACCATTTTTAATTTTTTAAATGATGTAAAAGGACATATGAAGATTTTGCAACTTGCACAGAAACCAGTGGACAGTGAGTGATTCAGATACAATATTTATAATTGCATTATTAGATTTGAAACTCCTTTAAATTTGAAGAGTCTGGATTTAACTGACAAGGAAACATGTGAGAAGCAATGGAAATGGATTGTAAATGTCAGCATCATGTTTGATCATACCAAGGTGACCTTAAAATGCCATCTTATCCACTTTAATTTAACAAGGCTGATTTCCTAAAATATCAAATATTTGATATAACCAAGAATATATATTGAACTACTGGAACAAATAGCTAGAAGATATTTCAGTTGTCCCACTTGAAAAAAGCAAAATGTAGGCAAACTCTTCTCAACATTGGTGGTGGAGAAGGAGGTGGGGCAGTCCTCCTTAAGTGGGAAGTTTTATCTTTCCTCTTCATTGAAAGCAGGGAAAGCCAACCTTACCCAGACGCAAAGAATGTTTTCTTTTACAGGATTTAATCTAAGCAGCCCTGTTAGCCGCAAGTGCCTACCATCAGCATGTCATTCCTTTATTCAGACATCACAGCTCTTCCTTTTTTAAATGCAGTTTCCCTGGGAAGAACTAACACGTTAAATTCCCAAAATCTTAATGGAAAAGCACTAATCAAATTGCTTTCTTCCCTGAAAAGATAGGCTAGATATATAAAAGATAAAAGGAAGGAGCTAAAAATAAATAAATAAAAATTGTTTAATTGCCATTTATTAAAAGCTAATTCCTTACTAGACACTGTAGGGGCTTTATGTGCTATCTCTAATTCCTACAACTCTTTCAGGAAGGTTTTATTTGCCCATTTCACAAATGAGGAAACTAAAGTGGAGAATTAAAATAACTTGCCCAGTCATACAGCTACTAAGGGGAGGAGCCAGGATTTGAACCCATATCTGACTCCAAATCCTGCATTCTTTCCCCTACACCTTCAGCACTGAAGATAAATTCCTTCTGTATTATGGTTTTGCTGAGAAAGAAAATCCCAGTTGGGACACCAATCCTGATCACCTGGACTTCGTCCCAAAAAGTATGTCTGAAATGGACCTCAATGAGGAGAAAATAGTAAGCTCACCAATCCTGTATCCTTTGTATCTTTAAGGGTGACACTACCCTATCCTGTTGTTTATTGTTTTATTGTTTTTTGTTTACTATCTCAGCTGGCAGAGCTGGACAAAGGGAGCAGTTTTCACTTGGCCTTCCCCATACAATAGCTCCTACCCCACAGTTTAAGGACTCACCTACTGAGCATATCAGTCCTAATTATACATCTCGGGACCAGGAAAATAACCACTGCATGAGGGGCAGGGGTCTGCAGATGCAGTGGGCTCCACTTATTACCTGGTCATCATATACCCCCAGTCTAGAAGGAGGATCAAGGTGACACTATAGATCTCTGGGTGACAACATCCACTTGGACACTAAGGTCAACATTCCTCATAATGTTTGGGTCCCCTCTTTCCCCAATGTACAGTCACCCTAGTTAGTGGCTGTAGGCCCATTTGGAGAAGGAGTGGGAGAATCATTTGCATGTATACCTGCCATAGTGTTGCAGAGTCTTTTCTTGGAAACCTGACCTGTCCTTCAGTTAGTGCATTCTGAATCTAAAAACTGGCTCAGATCTGAAATCCTTATAATAATATAATAATAATAAGCAAGAAATCCTTATTGTTTTTTATTGAAGTCCTCCCTGAGCCTTCTTCTGGTCATCCATTCATGATTTCTTCTGGCGGTACAAGCTGAATAGTGCTTATGTTGGCTCCGTATCTGCTTTGCCTCCAGGGATGCCAGGTTTTATGAACAGTCTCCCTAACTCTCAGAGGTCCTATACTCCAACTCCTGCCAATACTTCAACCTGGTAGTCACAATGATCATTGCATTCACCCGACACTTAGCAATAGTCACCTAACTCCATTGTTCTCGTAGTTCTCCCTTTCTCCACTCTTCTCAAAAACCTGATGCATGACACTGAGTAATGCATTCCTTTCCACTCCATCCCACTTCTTCATTGGTAAGAGTTTTAATAACCAACCCTACCACCTTGTGCCACAGGCTGGCTGTGCTCCACCAACGACTAGTGATAAAATCCTCATTGCCAGCCAGATGGCAAGCGATCCAACTCCCATGCCCTATCTTATTGCCTGCCTTATCAAACCACTCCTAGCACCATCTGTCACAGGTTGGGTTCTCTGGAAGCAAATGCTGGAACAGAGTTTGACGTGCAGAAATAATTCATGCAGGATGAACCCCTGTGGAAAGGAGGAGGAGGAAGTAGAGTGGGGCACAGGGAGAAGTTGAATTGCAATGCAGGCTCATTAAAACTTGGCCAATATATAGCACTATGACCAGTAGAATTATATCGCAGGGGAACCAAAGTAGCCAGGCCTTTTTCCCCTGCCATGATCAGTCGCTGGATGTTGGCCACCTCAGGAAGGGTGTGTCATTGGGCAAGAAGGCTTTCTGCAGCTTAGGCAAACCCTGAAGAAGCTGGGAGCAGAAGGCTGTCTATAGACAGTATTCCCAGCACCTCCTGAAAAAAGTTCTTCCTTCAAAAATATTTGACTGATGTATCTTTGTGTGCATCACAAACATGCTACAAAGCAAAAGACAACTACTGCATGTAACATTATAGTCAAATATAATACTGAATAGAAGCAGCCAGACCGAAATGAATATATACCATAAGATTCCATAAGGTTCAGAACTCAGGCAAAACTGATTGAAATGTTGGAATTCAGAATAGCCTTCTCTTTCAAAAGGGCATGTGGACTGGAGGGAGTCCAAGGGAGCTTTCTGGGGTGTTGGTCCTGCTTCACTACTTAATCTCATACTGGTTGCATAGGTGTATTCACTTTGTAAAAATGCATCAAGCTCTCCAGATACAAGTTGTACCCTTTTTAAATATTCATATTGTATTTCAATAAAGTGTATTTATCAAGAAATAAAATGAAAGACTAAACATTATATTTCAAGGCATAGAAAAATATATAATAATTTCAAAACCATGATGTTTTTTATTGCCAAAGTATAAATGTTGGGTTTTTTTTAACATTTTAAGAAAATAATAGTATTGCTCATATGTGAATATTGCAAAAATATTTTTTTTAATTTATTAAATACTGAGATATTGCAAAAACCTTGACGGTGGTCCTTGAAAGACTGAAGTTGTTGGACAGACTTTAAGCAAAATGTAACATATTGCCTTTCCAGAATTCTCCTCTTAATGGTGTGGATGATTCCAACATGCAGCCATGCTCTGTTAAAAGCACTTCAGGTTAGAAGATGTGTGTCTGATTCCTAATTCTGTTTGTCACTTAAAACTGGATGTCATGTGATCTCAGATCATCTCTTTTGTGAAGGAAATACAAAGCAAAATATCAGGACTGTCAGATCAATCCATTGAACATTCTCTTCCTTTTATGGTTTTGATTTTTGCAAACCCCTCATAGCAAAACCGTTTCTTCCGAATCTTTATATCTGTTGGTCTCTCTGTCCATTTCTGAATGTCATGGGGAGATATGCAAAATGTGAAGAGAAAAATATTCACTTCAAACATCCTATTTTATTTTTACTGTTTCCGGGAAAAAGAGTGTTCAGAGGCTCCAAGAGAGAACACAGGGACCAACAGACTGTGCACTTTGGCTGAAGTCCCTAAGACACACACACACCCCTTATTCCCCAAGTCTTTGGTAATTGAATTTGACCAAGATAACTTCACCTAGGCTCGGCACAGTGGTTCACGCCTGTAATTCCAGCTGTTTGGAAGGCCAAGGTGAGAGGATCGCTTGAGATCAGGAGTTTCAGACCAGCCTGGGCAACATAGTGAGACCCTTTCTCTACCAAAAAAAATAAATTAGGCATGGTGGTGCATGCCTGTTGTCCCAGCCACTGGGGATGCTGAGGCAGGAGGATAACTTGAGCCCAGGAGTCCAAGGTTACAGTGAGTTACGATTGAGTGGCTGTGCTCCAGCCTGGGCAACAGAGTGAAACCCTGTCTCAAAAAACGAAGTAAAGACTCTCAAATCCGACAACTCTGGATCTGATCCCCAGCTCTGCCATTTACAAGCTGTATGGCTTTGAGCAAGATGTTCAAATTCCACACCTCAGTTTCCTCATCTATAAAAGTGAAACAATAACAATATCTACCTCAGAGGGTTGTTGTGAGATATAACAAAGATAATGCAGACAAAACGTTTAGTGAAGTACTTGCAAATAATGACTAACATGGTTTGAATCTGTGTCCCCACCAAATCTCATGTCGAATTGTAATCGCCAGTGTTGGAGGTGGGGCCCTGTGGGAGGTGATTGGATCATGGGGGCGGTTTCTTTTGAGTGGTTTAGCCCCATCCCCTTGGTGCTCTTCTCTTGTTAGTCAGTGAGGGAGTTCTCGTAAGATCTGGTTGTTTAAAAGTGCATGGCACCTCCCCCAACCTCTCTCTTTCTCCTGCTCTGGCCATGTGACGTGCCTGCTTCCACCTGGCCTTCTACCATAATTGTAAGTTTCCTGAGGCCTCCCCAGAAGCCAAGTAGATGCCAGCATCATGCTTCCTGTACAGCCTGCAGAACCGTGAGCCAATTAAACCTTTTGTTTTATTTTGTTTTGTTTTGTTTGTTTTGTTGAGAGAGTTTCATTCTTATTGCCCAGGCTGGAGTGCAGTGGCATGGTCTCGGCTCACTGCAAGCTCCACCTCCCAGGTTCAAGTGATTCTCCTGCCTCAGCCTCCCATAAACCTCTTTTCTTTATAATTACCCAGTCTCAGGTATTTCTTTAAAGCAGTACAAGAACAGATTCATACAATGGCATGCAATAAATATGTCTGAGCTCCCCAATATGTTCCAGGCACTTATGAACCACCAGGGATATGATAATGAGTGGTTATAATAAATGCAGTTCTTGCCCCCATGAGATGCATTTCTCATAACCTCTAATACAATAGGGAGTGCTGCATATGCAAAGTAAGAGAGAGACTGGCTGCAAGTCATTCAACATGCTGAACCATAATACAGGTGAAAGAGTAGCAGAAGATGAAGACAGAAGGCAGCGGCCAGATCCCAAGCAAGCTTGCAGATTATGCTAAGAGGCTTCTATCCTGCAGGCCAAAGAGAGTCATTGAAATGTTTTAGGGAAACTAATTAGATGGTTTTGAAAGTTTATTCTATGCTGTAGAGGATACGTTGAATGTGGTTAGAACCAGAGGTAGGGGTACCACTTATTATCTTGCAAGAAATGATAAAGACCTAGATCAGCAAGTGGCAGTGATGATTTAGGGAAAGAGAAAGATAATTAGATGGACATACAGGAAGAATGGGCAGGATTTGCAATAGCTTGAATGTGGGGCCGGGGGGCTTAAATAAAGGAGGTTCAATAATTAATCTTCCACCTCACACCCATTTGGATAGCCACTATCAAAAAACAGAAAATAACAAGTGTTAGTGAGGATGTGGAAAAATTGGAACACTTCTGCACTGCTAGTGGGAATATGACATGGTGGAGATTAAAGGAGATAAATTACCACCAACCTAGAATTTTATATACAGTGGGAAATACCTTCAAAAGTGAAGATGAGGCTGAGGCGGGAGGATCACTTGAGCCCAGGAGTTCATGTCCAGCCACGAACATGGTCTCTCACGTAATGAGACCCTATCTCTTACAAAAAAAGTGAAATCTATATTTTTATCTTGGTGGTCATTGCAGGGGTTTATTTATGAGTAAAATTTCATTAAGCTATATAATTAAGATTTACACAATTTATTATTTGTGCATTATATCTCAATAAAAAAGGTAAAAATAAAAAAGAAAAGTAAAATGGTGAAACTACTATAGAAGGCTGGGTGTGGGCTCATGTCTGTAAACGCACTTTGGGAGGCCAAAGTGGGAGGATCGCACGAGCCCAGGAGTTTGAGACCTGCCCAGGCAACAGCATAGTGAGATCCCATCTCTACTTAAAAAAAAAAAAAAAAACTGCTACAGAAAACAGTATAGAGCTTCCTCAAAAAATTAAGTATAGAATGACTATATGACCCAGCAATTTCACTTCCGGGTACATACCCAGAAAGTGTGAAGACAGGGATTCGAACAGATATTTGTTTACCCATGTTCATAGCAGCATTTCGCAATAGCCACAAGGTGGAATCAACCCCAGTGTCCATCAACAGATGAACAGATAAACCAAATGTGGTATATACAGACAATGGAATATTAACTGGCCTTTAAAAAGAGGACATTCTGACATATGCTACAAAATGTGCATATGAAGACATGTTAAGCTACATAAACCAGTCACAAAAGAACAAATATTATATGACTCCACTTATATGAGGTACCTAACATTGTCAAATTCATAGAGACAGAAAGTAGAATGGTGGTTGCTGGGGGCGGGGGAATTGGAAGTTATTGTCTAATGGGCACAGAGCATCTGTTAGAGAAGAGTTCTGGAGATGAATGGCAGTGATGGTTGCACAACGATATAAATGTACTAATACCACTAAACAATACACTTTAAAATGGTTAAGATGATCAATTTTATGTTATATTTATTTTATCACGATTACAAATTTTTAAAGAAATACTTATTTTAGGCCAGGCACGGTGGCTCATGCCAGTAATCCCAGTAATTTGGGAGGCCGAGGTGGGTGGATCACGAAGTCAGGAGTTTGAGACCAGCTTGGCCAACATGGTGAAACCCCGTCTCTACTAAAAATACAAAAATTAGCCGGGTATGGTGGTGCACGCCTGTAGTCCCAGCTACTCAGAAGGCTGAGGCAGGAGAATCACTTGAACCCAGGAGGTGGAGGTTGCAATGAGCCAAGATTGTGCCATTGCACTCCAGCCTGGGCAACAGAATGAGACTCCATCAAAAAAAAAAAAGAGAGAAAGAAAGAAAGAGAAAAAGAAAGAAAGAAAGAAAGAAAGAAAGAAAGAAAGAAAGAAAGAAAGAAAGAAAGAAAGAAAGAAAGAAAGAAAGAAAGAAAGGAAGGAGAGACAGAGAGAAGGAATGAAGGAAGGAAGGAAGGAAAGAAAGAAAGAAAGAAAGAAAGAAAGAAAGAAAGAAAGAAAGAAAGAAAGAGAAAAGAAATATATATTAAAAAAAAAAAAAAAAGAATCAGCCAGCTGGGCACAGTGGCTCATGCTTATAACCCCAGTGATTTGGGAGGCCCCAGAGGGAGGAATACTTGAGACCAGGAGTTCCAGCCCAGGACCAGCCTGGGCAACATAGCAAGGCCCTCTCTCTACAAAAAAAAGAAAAAAAAAATCAGTGAAAAAGGAATCGATCTCAGGTTACTGGATAGATCCTAGTTTTATTCTCCAAAATAGAAATCTGGAAAGAAGAACACATCTTTCACCTGGAAATTGGAGGAATCCCTGAGATGCTAAGTTCACATTTACACTTACCATGTGTCTGAGGTATCTGTGCAGCATCCAAGTGGAGAATCAGACAGAAAAAGCAGGGCAGAGGGGGCCATAATAAAAACCTATTCAGGCATTGAGGCCATGGTTGAGGTCATGAAAGTGGCTGAGATCATCCAAGGAAAGTGCCAAGAGTGAGAAGAGGATGAGAAAGAGCCCAGGGTTGGGCCTAGTGGCTCACACCTGTAATCCCAGCACTTTGGGAAGTTGATGTGGATGGATCGCTTGAGCCCAGGAGTTCAAGCTTGCTTCTACATTGCTGATTCTCTTGAGTATGGCCAATAAAAGAAGTTGATGAAATTGGTTTTGGGGACACCACTTTCTTCTGATTCCTTTCCGCTTGTGCCACTGGGTCCCTCTTTCTCTCCTCTCCCTTTAAGCCTCTGTGTGTCTTTAGGCTCCATCCCCCTCCTCCTCCTTTTTCTTCTTCCTCCTCTTCCTCTTCTTCCTCCTCTTCCTCTTCTTCCTCCTCTTCCTCCTCTTCCTACTCCTCCTTCTTCTTCTCCCTTCTTATTCCTCCTTCTTTCTATTTCTTCTTCCTCTTTCCTTATCCTCCTCCTCCTCCTGCTCTTCCTCATCCTGCTGCTGCTGCTGCTGCTTCTGCTTCTGCTTCCTCCTCCTTTTATGAGATAGGGTCTGGCTCTGTCCCCAAGGCTGGAATGCAGTCATGCAATCTCAGTGCCACTCCACCTCCTGGGCTCAAGAAATCCTCCCACAGCATTTCACTGTGTTGGCCAGGCTGGTCTCAAACACCTGAGCTCAAGCGATCTACCCGCCTCAGCCTCCCAAATTCTGGAATTATCTGTGTGAACCACTGTGCCAGCCTCTGCCTTTCTCATTAGGACATTTGTGACTACATTTAGGGCCCACTCTGATAATTCAGGATAATCTCCCCATGTTAAAATCCTTAGTTTTATCATATATTCAAAGCCTTTGCCATATAAGATAACACTTACAGGTTCCAGGGATTCAGATCTGATATCTCTGGGCCTGTTGAAGCCTACAGCAGTCTTTGACAAAAGTTTTTCAGGTTTCTATGAACCGATCTGATGTGGCCCTCAGTGTTCAGGACAGGACCTTATTTACTTACTCCTATTTCCCTTGAACTATCTAAGAAGTAAGTAAAAATTAGAAGTAACACAAAACTGAAAAAGAAACTTGCATATTATCCCAAAGCAACATTCATTACCTTGGAGGGACCCAGAGTTTATGATGCCCACAAAGTCTCTTTCCCTAAAATCTCTTTGCCCACAAAGTCTCTTTCCCTAAAGTAAATGTTTCCCCAACTCTAACATTCAGGCAACACTTTCAAATTATTGCCTAAATAGAATACCACCTATATTCTGCATAACACTATTATTATTTACATAATACTTTATTAAAGGTACTTTCTTTTTAACCTAAATAAACATGGTTTTAAAGAAAATTTTATTTCACTATTGAAAGGGGAACACGAATATCACCTATCATAAAATACAATAAAAACTAAATATCCAAAATTCAAGATAGATACTCTGGCCTGCGAAGTATCTGAGTCTGAGGCCTGCTCTCGTCAAATGGAAAATTTTGGCTGGATGCAGTGGCTTGCACCTGTAATCCAAGCACTTTGAGAGGCCAAAAAGGAGGATCACTTGAGACCAGGAATTTGAGACCAACCTGGGTGACATACCAGATCCCATTGCTACAAAATATACTTTGTTTTTAAAGGAGATTTTCTGTTGGGCACAGTGGCTCACACCTGTAATCCTGGCACTTTGGGAGGCCGAGTCAGTTGGATCACTTGAGGTCAGGAATTAAAAACCAGCCTGGCCAGCATGGCAAAACCCCATCTCTATTAAAAATACAAAAATTAGCCAGGTGTGGTAGTGCATGCCCGTAATCTCAGCTACTCGGGAGGCTGAGGCAGGAGAATCACTTGAACCCAAGAGGTGGAGGTTGCAGTGAACCAAGATCGCACCACGGCACTCCAGCCTGGGCAACAGAGCCAGATTCCATCTCAAAAAAAAGGAAGATTTTGCAGGTGGTTGATGTTAAACTAGCACCCCCTGAGACTTTCTCCTCAGTATAACCAAGAGTGAAAGGCAACTGAAAAAGGAATGACTCTCTCTCCATTTCAATATTATAAAACTCCCTGTCTGTCTACCACCTAAAATGTGCACCATTCATTCACCACTTAAAATGTTCACACTGTAGACTTTAGGAATCGTTGCTCCTAGCAAAAAGGGGGTTCTGCAATCTACCCAGCTCACCTCTACCTCACCTTGAGTTTCTATCCTATCCTTATCTCCCGTGTCTATCTCTGAGAAACAGACATTAAGAAGCAAATTAGTTATTCAGTTCCTACATCACCACCCTCTGAACCTCAGTTTCCTTGTCTGAAAAATGGGGTTAATAATAGTACCTTTCATAGAGTCGTGGTGATAATTAAATCAGTTAAATATATATGTATTATATAATATATTATTAATATAATTATTAATTATATATAATATAAATATAAAATATATAAAAAATATATATTATAATACATAATTACAATATATAATTATGTAATTATACATAATTATATTACATACAAATTATATAATTATAATAACATATATCATTGTATATAACACAACATTATATACTATGTTATATTTATTATATATAATATATAGTATATATTTTATATATGTAACATTTAGATTAATACCTGATATGTAGTAAATGCCTTGTGTCTGCTATATTAATAATAATAATTATTATTATTCCCATCAACTGGGCATAAAAATTTCTTTTTTTTTCCAAAAAAAATTTGTGTTTTGCCTTATGCTGAGCTCTGTGGGGACCAGAAGAGGAATAAGGCTTTATTCTTGCCTTTAATTAACTTATAATTTTATCAGCGGTAAGTGAATAACATGCCAAAAACTAAAAACAGTTCTATAGCAATTTTTTAAAAGCCTAGCTAGAAGCCAAAATCACATGAAGGACAGATCAACGCTGACCCGCGGGCTGTTCTCCTTTCCATCTGCCTCTGCAGATCCACCCTGTACCCCTGTCTCCCTGCTCTATGCCTCCAAAGATCTGACCCCTGTGGTCTGAGCACCCCAACCCCTTGTGCTCTTCCAGTTAGAGACAGCCAATGGGAGGCACCAGCAAGAGATGGGATGGTGAGAGGAGAGAAAAGTTAAGATATTTCCTCCCCATTTCTCCCTGCCATAGAGCTGTGCCTCCAACAGTGGCTGCTTCCTCTCCATGGCTGCAAGCCAGCCCAGCTCCAGTCCCTTTCTTCCTTCCCCTCACCTCTTCAGGATTCCAGCTGTTGCTGGTTTCTGGAGACTTCAGCATCCCTTATTGGTCCCTCAGCTCTGCCTACACCTCTGTAAATAGTTCCTTCGTTGAATCTCTTCAGTCAAATCTTTTGAAGGGAATTCTGCTTCCTGCCACGATCATGACTGATCCAAGAACTACAGGGCATCAGTAACCTGAGAATTATCTAATTACTCTAATGACTTGGAACACGGGTGCTAAGGAACATTAAGAGCTTGATGTGGAAGATGATAGAATAATTCAGACTTGCTCTATTGGTCAAATGATCCTGTAGTAATAATAGTGATGACTGCCACATTTTGAATATTCATTATGTGGCAGGCACTTTATCAAGTCCTTGCATCCTTGGCATGCCTCTTCTCATTTACCCTTCCCCAAAACCAATAAGTTTATTAACAACCCCCACTTTTTTTTTTGAGACAGGGTTTCATTCTGTCACCCAGGCTGGAGTGCAGCAGCGTGATCGTGGCTCACTGCAGCCTCGACCCCCACCCAGCTCCAGTGATCCTCCCACCTCATCCTCCTGAGTAGTTGGGACTTCAAGTATGCACCACCACACCCAGCTAATTTTTAAATTTTTTGTAGGGGTGAGGGTCTCACTACATTGCCCAGGCTGGTCTTGAACTCCTGGACTCAACTGATTCTCTCACCTCAGCCTCCCAAAGTAGAGGATTACCGGCATGAGCCTCCATGCCTGGTTTAGCTACTACCGGCATAAGCCTCCATGCCTGGGTTAATCTTAATTTTAAAATAAAGAAAAGGAGATAGAGAGAGTCAGGGTTGTGGGGAACAGGGTATGTGGCCTCCCTTCTGCTACGATGCCACTAGATGTGAGACATCGTAAATATCAGAGAACTAGGAGAAAGAAGTACCTTCACTGCCCTTTTTCCTGAAGCACATGATTGCCTGAAATTTTTTTAAGTATCTTGTCCCCAACAATGTATTGTTTTCCAAGATTCCTCAGATTTGCTCTCTCTTGGCTATTTTAGAATATTTGGGTTAAAACAAATGGGCAGGAGAAAAAAATGCATATATATTATATATACAACTTTATATATATTACTATATATATATATAACTATAATATTACTATATATTATATATATATTTATATATATAACTATAATATTACTATATATTATATATATTTATATATATAACTATAATATTACTATATATATTATATATATATTTATATATAACTTTATATATAATATATATAGTTATATATATAATATATATACATACACACATAGTTTGTGAAAACTGATTATATCATTTAAAATCATATTACTTGACTCAACTTGCTAATCTGATTACCCCATTACTTTCTAGGTAGCTTAACACTAGCATGCACTGGTGTAGCCCTCCTTTCCTGGCAGGGGTCTCTCTCTCTCTGTCTTTCTCTCTCTCTCTCTCTGTCTCTCTCTCCGTCTCTCTTGCCTTTTTCCCCACACCCACCCCATTCCCCTGGCTCTGGGCTTTATCCTCCAACTACCTCCTTTTCCCCTAAAGAACACTTTTTCTACCTATTTTTTCAACTATTATAACAAAAGCTTTCAAGTAAAGCAAACAATGCTGTTTTCCTCCCAAAGCCAGCTGTTCCCTGACACAAAGTAACAGTGATACTAAACACTGCTAGCAATTGTTATGAAAATGCATTTCCCTGTATCCTGTTGTCATGGCAGCTAAAGATCAAGACATGCCTGCTACAGACAGCAATTTATACTGATTTGAAAGACTGTTTGGGGAGAAACATTAAAATGTATAATCGAATGCATTTGAAACCATGGCCCGACAAAGTACAATATCAGTTATTCAAATAACATTTCTAAAGCAAAGTACATCATTTATTTCAATCAATGTTGTGTTCATTATCTATGCTCACGGAATTAACTTTAATTTCCAGCACACTGGCAATTTTATTATTTTTCTCCACATTCAGAATCCTCCCATTACCTTTGCTCAGGCACTGGGCAGCATAACACAGACAGCAACACCCAGTTGCATCGAGACCCAGAGCTGCTATAGCATTTTTTTTTCTCTATGGCTTCTTTGTTTGCTGGAATGGGGGCATCCCTTAGGTGAATTATTCCCTTGGACAGCAACTGCTTGAAATGTTGCAGCATGACCTATTCGCCTTCATGCAGATTGTAGTATCACTGCAAGATACTGTACCATATATATCACGTTTTTGCTTCTCCATGAGGGAGGGGAAGCAAAGTACAAGAATAAGAAAGATGGAGGTTGGACGATGCCAAACACAGACTATAAAGGGTTTAGATGCAAATAATTGAGTACAAAATACCACTTTTATTAACAATTTGGATGGTGGTTCTTGTCCCTAATCCTTCTTATTGGTTATCCCTCAAAATCACCCAGGGAGATGGCTGGCATTTGGCAGGCAGGGAAACAGAGGCATGGGCGGATTAAGGGACTATGGTCACAAAACAGATCAGTAGCCGAGCCAGAATGAGAACTCAGATTTCTGACATTCCTGAGCCATTGTTCAGCCAGTGGCCTCCTGAACATGGGTCTAAGGAATTGTATTGAGATTGTCTAAAGCTTAACTGACTGCCACCCCTCCAAAGATAATTAGTTACACTACTTTTCCCATAGCTGTGTAATGCACACTAACATTTTAGCCTTGACCTTATGAAATTGACTTTCATTTCACTTCAGGATGGTCACAGATTTCATCCTCGCTAATCCTGCCCCTTTAAAATTGGCATTTGCATGCCAGAAGCTGCTAGTAGCCTCCCATAAGGTCCAGCTTTCCCTCTTAAACTGTGCACTCAAGTCAAATGTGTACATCCACACTTAGCATGAGATACTGCATTCAGGTGAATCACCAATTTACTGTATCTCCCCTCTCATTCTTATCCCAGAATTCACAGGACCTTGTGAAACTGGTCACATACTTGAAAAAGGAAGCAGCAAAAAGTGTCATTTACAGACTACATCTGTGCATTGCACACTATTCCAAGTATTCGGCACATTATTTTATTTTATTTTTTGAGACAAGGTCTCACTGTCACCCAGGCTGGAGTGCAGTGTGGCACAATCACGGCTTACTGCAGCTTCAGACTCCTGGGCTCTAGAAATCTTCCCATCTTAGCCTCCCAAGTAGCTAGGACTACAAGAGTCTGTCACCACACCCAGCTATTTTTTTTTTTTTTAGAGATGAGGTCTTGCTATGTTGCCCAGGCAGGTCTTGAACTCTTGGCCTCGAGCAATCCTCCCACATCAGCCTGGGATTACAGGAGTGATCCACCATGCTCAGCCAATTATTTTATTTATTTATTTATTTATTTATTTATTTATTTATTTATTTATTATTTATTTTTTGAGACGAAGTTTCTCTCTTGTTGCCCAGGCTGGAGCGAAATGGTGTGATCTCGGCTCACTGCAACCTCTGCCTCCTGGATTCCAGTGATTCTCCTGCCTCAGCCCTTCGAGTAGCTGGGATTACAGGCGCCCACCACCATGCCTGGCGAATTTTTTATATTTTTAGTAGAGACAGGGTTTCACCATGTTGGCCAGGCTGGTCTCGAACTCCTGACCTCAGGTGATCCACCTGCCTCGGCCTTCCAAAGTGCTGGAATTGCAGGCGTGAGCCACTGTGCCTGGCCTTAGCTGATAATTTTAAATAACACACTAAACTAAGTTATTATTCAGTTCTACAGATGAGGAAACTGAGGTACCTGGAAGTTAAGTAATTCGCCCAGTGTAATACAGCTAGTAAGTGGCAAAGCCAAGATGTGAACACATTTGCTTGGCTACAGAATCTGTGTGCTCAGCCACTGTTGTAAGTTAAGCTGCCTGGGACAGAGTGATTAAGAGTTTAGGCTCTGGGACCCAACAAATCAAGGTCCATATCCCAGTTGCACACAAGACCTTGGATAAACAGCTTCACTCAGCTCCAGGTTGATAGGTTATAATAATTACGGCAAGATTTGCTAAATCAAATCATTAGCACTGTACCTGGCACATAGCAACTTTCTAAAAACATTAGCTGCCCGCCATTGTTAAGAAATGAACAAGTTGAGAGCAAATGAACCAGGAAGTCTGGCCCACAATAGAATCGTCCAAGGAGGAAAATCGACATCTGGAAAGAACACATTTCCCTACACACTCCACTAAAGGGTGGGCCAGAATAGAAGGGGAAAAATGAAAGAAGTGGGATGGTGTGACAGGGGAACAGAGAAGCTTTTTCAAGTAAGAGGAGGCTGGCTGTGTTTTGAACAAATTAAGATAAAGAAGGTGAGTCAACACAAGACTTGCTCTGGGGATGAAAGACACTCTAGTGAGCTAATTTGAGGCAATGGCTTCCCAGGGTGATTGAATTAAACACTCTCTTCAGCCAAACAACCAGTTCTAACTGATTTTTTATTTTTACCAATACGTTAGTTGCCTGAATTAAGCAACTAACTCCTTGGTGCAATACGATCATTTTTCCTCTCTATCTACTCAAAGACAGACGAGTTTAAATTTCTCTTTCAGGAAAGAAACATTCTCTCATCGGAAACCATAAAGCCAGAATAAAGCTCCAACTTCCATGTGGCCAACTTCCCAACATTAGGAGTCATGAAATCACTGATACTGAAAATTCTTCTAGGATATCTTCTAGGACAAAATGAGTATCTTACGATATCTCCATGATCTAGAAATTTTCCTGTGGTTCTAGTCTAATGCTAACCTTACTTTTTTCCTGAAGTCCTGTTCTGTCTCTCTCTCTCCCTCTCTCTGTCTCTCTCTCTTTCTCTCTCTCTCTCTCTTCTTTAAGGGACAGGCTCTCACTCTGTGTCCCAGGCTAGCATGCAGTGGTGCTATCATAGCTCACTATAGCCTCAACTTCCTGGGCTCAAGCAATCTTCCCGCCTCTGCCTCCTGAATAGCTAGGACTACAGGTGTACACCACCATGCCCTGATAATTTTTTAAAATTTTTGTAGAGACCAGGTCTCACTATGTTGCCCAGGCTGGTCTCAAACTCCTGGCCTCAAGTGACCCTTCCACCTGGACCTCCCGAAGCACTGGGGTTACAAGTGGAAGCCACCATACCTGGCCAGAGTCCTGCTCTTTAAAGAAATTAGAGAAAACATAGGTGGTGAAGTCTGATCTAATAGTCAAAGACATGAAGACTAAGACTCAAAGAACTGAGGTTGAGTCCAGGCTCTGCTACTCACTGAATGGCTGGTTTATGTCTGGTGTTCCATTTATAAAATGACCATTTGTCAGCTTTAGGATTCTATGATTTTTGTGAACTCATTCTATGAGAAAGATATTCTTTGATCAGTAGATACTATCTATCGCATGATTTATTATTGAGGGGGCATATTTTCATGGTTGGTAGTTTTATATGATAATCACCAGTCCCTAGGAACTTGGAATAATTTCACCATCAAAATTTTCCATTATAGTGGCATTATAGCTCTGTTTCAACAAGCTTGCTCAAGTAACTTTTCCATTGCAAATTCACATAATAGCATTATAAATGGCATCTCCAAAGACTTCAATTAAAATTGATTTGTCATTGTAATCTTAGCTAATAATGGTATGGTAATGGCATTATAATGAGGAGATCAAAGACTTACATTGAAATTATTTTGGCATTGTTATCCTATATTCTAAATGGCTTTGAATAGGCTGTTCTATACATAGATTTGAAACTGTTGTGTCACAGTGATATGAAAAGCTAAGAGACTAGGTAGTGGAATCATTCACTCTTTTTCCCCAAAGCCCAGCTTGGAATTCCTTCTAACCTTTTCATCTCCTGTAAAGGTGCACTTCAAACAAAGCTTCAGTCTAATTCCCCCTATCCAGCATCACAGGGCAAAAGAAAGAGATTGAGAGGATGCTAATGAGTGTCTAGAAATGTTGCTGTCAGCTGAGGCTGGAGCCAGCACAGCTCACCCTCCTTCAGTAGATGCTGGGGCCTGAGTGCTCCTCTGCTCTGGGCTAAGGCTGGGAAATACTGAACCAGAGGACAAAAACCAGACCTGAGCTAAGGGGTCCTGTTAGCAGAGACAACACTTGTGCTCCTTCACAAGTGGTCATGCCTGGAATCAAGATCCTGCAGCATCTCAAGTTTACTGTCTCTTGTTTCTCTCTTGCCTTGTGGCTTTGCAGTAGTGACCCTTTTTTTAAGTCATTTACTTTCCTTTTTCTTTTCTCTTTTTTTTTTTTTTTTTTTTTTTGAGACAGAGTCTCGCTGTGTCACCCAGGCTAGAGTGCAGTGGTGGGATCATTTGCTTTTCTTTCTTTCCAACTTTTATTTTAGGTTCAGGGGTACATGTGCAGGTTTGTTACATGAATGAATTGCGTGTCGTGGGGATTTGGTATACAGATTATTTTGTCACCCAGGTTAAGTAGAGCACCCAATAGGTAGTTTTCCGATCCTCACCCTCTTCCCACACTCTACCCTCAAGTAGGCCCTAGTGTCTATGGTGTCTTCTTTGTGTCCATGGGTACACAATGTTTAGCTCCCATTTATAAGTGAGAACATGTGGTATTTGGTTTTCTATTGCTGTGTTAATTTGCTAAGGATAATGATCTCTGGTTCCATGCATGTTGCTACTAAGGACATTTTATTGTTATGGTTGTATAGTATGTCATGGTGCAATGTACACGCGCATTTTCTTTTCTTTTCTTTTCTTTTCTTTTTTTTTTTTGGAGACAGAGTTTCACTCTTGTTGCCCAGGCTAGAGTACAATGGTGTGATCTCGGCTCACCACAATCTCTCCCTCCTGGGTTCAAGTGATTCTCCTGCCTCAGCCTCCCAAGTAGCTGGGATTACAGGCATGCACCAACACGCCCGGCTAATTTTGTATTTTTAGTAGAGACAGGGTTTCTCTATGTTGGTCAGGCTGGTCTCAAACTCCTGACCTCAGGTGATCCAACCACCTTGGCCTCCCAAAGTGCTGGGATTACAGGCGTGAGCTACCGCACCCAGCCACATGCACATTTTTTTATCCAGTCCACCACTGATGGACATTTAGGTAGATTCCATGTCTTTGCCATTGTGAATAGTGCTACAATGAACATATATGTGCATGTGTCTTTGTGGTAGAACAATTTATATTCCTTTGGGTATATACCCAGTAATTGGATTGCTAGATCAAATGGTACTTCTGGTTTTAAGTTCTTTGAGAAATCACCAAACTGCTTTCCACATGGCTGAACTAATTTACTTTCCCACCAGCACTGTATAAGCATTCCCTTTTCTCCACAACCTCACCAGTATCTGTCACTTTTTGACTTTTTAAGAATAGCCTTTTTGAGCTGTGTGAGATGGTATCTCATTGTGGTTTTGATTTGCATTGCTCTAATGATTAGTGATGTTGAACATTTTTTCATATGCTTGTTGGCCACATGTATGTCTTCTTTTGAGAAGTGTCTGTTCATGTCCTTTGCCCACCTTTTAATGGGATTGTTTGTCTTTTGCTTGTTAATTTGTTTAAGTTCCATATAGTTCCTGGATATTAGACCTTTGATGAACGCATAGTTTGTGAATGTTTTCTTGCATTCTGTAGGTTGATTCTTTACTCTGTTGATAGTTTATTTTGCTGTGCAGAAGCTCTTTAGTTTCATTAGGTTCTATTTGTCAATTTTCATTTTTGTTGCAGTTGCTTTTGGAGTCTTCATCATCCAATCTTTGCCATGGCCTATATCCAGAATGGTATTTCCTAGGTTTTCTTCCAGGATTTTTATAGTTTTAGGTTTCACATTTAAATCTTCAATCCATCTTCAGTTGATTTTTGAGTATGGTGAAAGGCAGCAGTCTCCAGTTTCAATCTTCTGTGTATGGCTAGCCAGTTACCCCAGCACCATTCATTGAATAAGGGGTCCTTCCCTCATTGCTTGTTTTTGTCAACTTTGTCAAAGATCAGATAGTTGTAGGTGTGCGGCTCTATTTCTGGGTTCTGTAACCTGTTCCATTGGTCTATGTGTCTGTTTTTGTACCAGTACCATGCTGTTTGGGTTACTGTAGCCTTATAGTATAGTTTGAAGTTGAGTAGTGTAATGCCTCCAGCTTTATTCTTTTTGCTTAGGATGCTTAGGCTAGTCAGGCTGTTTTTTGGTTCCATGTGAATTTTAGAATACTTTTTCCTAATTCTGTAAAAAAGTCATTGGTAGTTTGATAGGAATAGCATTGAATCTGTAAGTTGCTTTGGGCAGTATGGCCATTTTAGCATTATTGATTCTTCCTATCCATGAGCATGAAGCATTTTTCCATTTGTTTGTATCATCTCTGGTATCTTTGTTTTTTGTTTTGATTTGTTTTGTTTTGTTTTTGAAACAGAGTTTCACTCTTGTTGCCCAGGCTGGAGTGCGATGGCATGATCTTGGCTCACTGCAACCTCCACCTCCTGGGTTCAAGTGATTCTCCAGCCTCACCCACTCAAGTAGCTAAGACTAGAGGCATGCACCACTACACCTGGCTAATTTTTTTGTATTTTTTAGTAGAGATGGGGTTTCACCATTTTGGCCAGGCTGGTCTCAAACTCCTAATCTCAGGTGATCCACCCGCCTCAGCCTCCCAAAGTGATGAGATTACAGGGGTGAGCCACTGGTCCTGGCCATCGGTGGTATCTTTCAGCAGTGTAGAGATCTATCACCTCCCTGGTTAGCAGTATTCCTGCACTGGTTTTTTTAGGGGCAGGGAGTCAGGTGGATATTGTGAACAGTATTGCGTTCCTGATTTGGCTCTCAGCTTGGATATTGTTGGTGTATATGAATGCTACTGATTTTTGTACATTGATTTTGTATCCTGAAACATTGCTGAAGTTGTTTATCAGCTAGGAGATTTTGGGCAAAGACTCTGGGGTTTTCTAGGTATAATATCATATTGCCTACAAACAGAAATAGTTTGACTTCCTCTCACCCTATTTAGATGCTTTTTATTTCTTTCTCTTGCCTGATTGTTCTGGCTAGGACTTCCAGAGCTATGTTGAATAGGAGTGGTGAAAGTAGGCATCCTTGTCTAGTTCCAGCTCTCAAGAGGGATGCTTCCAGCCTCTGCCTGTTTAGTGTGATGTTGGCCATGGGTTTGTCATCAATGGCTCTTATTTTGATCTAGCTATGACCCTTGAGGGCATTGAGTTGGGTTGAATCCTTTGGCTCTTGGCTGTCTGGCTATGAAACCAGCCGTGTGTATGGTTGTTTTTGTGTTTACTTGTTTACTTTGACAGGGACATAAATGAAATAGCATGAAATATAGGCTCAGTTCATATTTACTTTGCAGAATATTCTATGATTTTAATATTATTCTAGTTTAGAGAATATTATTATTTTGGGTGACACTATAACCAATAATCAAGTAGTTCTTAACTACATGACAGAAGCTATCCTAAACACTTTAAATAGAGTTGATTCTCCTTATTCAAGGTAGTTATGTTCTATAAAGTCACCACAAACACTGAATTAATGAATACTGAATCATTGCTCCTAGGGGAAATACAGAGTTAAGTTCCTGTGAGTCTCCAATCAAAACGTTTTTGATAGCTCATCAATACACAACCTTGTTTCATGGGTGTTTCCATTTAAAGACACCTTATTTAGTGGATATTGTTAATTCATCCACAATGAACTCATGACCAGCAGCACTACAACTCATAACAGAATGAAGCTTATCTAATAAATGTATTTTCTACATAAGAAACACAACAGCCTCCTGGTGCATAGAAACAATAGACAGCACTTGAGCATTATGCTTCAGGGCTATTTTCAACAGCAAAATCTTTTTTTTCAAGTTTATAAATGCATTTAATGAAATAACTCAGAACAGTAAAACATGGAGCAGACAATGATGCTTTGCAGCAAATTTGCACCTGTTTGGACAACAGATTGAGGTCAAGACCCCATTGAGTTCAGGGAATCTCAGCTTCTCAAAGTTCTAGCTAACCAGTGCTGGGGAGGAAGCTACCACGATTGATGATAGGAGCTGAATAATAAAATAAAAATAAGGACACTCAAGATGTATTACCCTTTAAGACAGGTATTCATAAAGCATAGTTCTTTAATTTCACTTTGTAGCTCTGTCCGTATTTAGTCAACTTCCACCCTACCTGGCACTTAAAAATGGCTATCTAGATTATTTTAAAAGGTAAAAGTGGAAGCAAAATTGATTTAAAAGTATTCTTTTTTATTATTATTATACTTAAGTTCTGGGATACATGTGTGGAACGTGCAGATTTGTCACATAGGTATGCGTGTACCTATTTCAGAACGTGTTATTGGTCTATTCAGAGATTCAACTTCTTCCTGGTTTAGTCTTGGGAGGGTGTATGTGTCCAGGAATTTGTCTGTTTCTTCTGGATTTTCTAGTTTATTTGCGTAGAGGTGTTCATAGTATTCTCTGATGGTAGTTTGTATTTCTGTGGGACCAGTGGTGACATCCCTTTATCATTTTTTATTGTGTCTGTTTGATTCTTCTCTCTTTTCTTCTTTATTAGTCTGGCTAGCAATCTATCTATATTGCTAATCTTTTCAAAAAACCAACTCCTGGATTCATTGATCTTTTGAAGGGTTTTTTGTGTCTGTATCTCCTTCAGTTCTGATCTGATCTTAGTTATTTCTTGTCTTCTGCTAGCTTTTGAATTGATTTGCTCTTGCTCCTCTAGTTCTTTTAATTGTGATGTTAGGGTGTCGATTTTAGTTCTTTCCTGCTTTCTCCTGTGGGAATTTAGTGCTATAAATTTCCCTCTAAATACTGCATTATATGTGTCCCAGAGATTCTGGTACATTGTGTTTTGTTCTCATTGGTTTCAAAGAACTTACTTATTTCTGCCTTAATTTCGTCATTTACCCAGTAGCCATTCAGGAGCAGATTGTTCAGCTTCCCTATAGTTGTGCAGTTTTCAGTGTGTTTCTTAATCCTGAGTTCTAATTTGATTGCACCGTGGTCTAAGAGACTTATTATTTCCATTCTTTTGCATTTGCTGAGGAGTATTTTACTTCCAATTATGTGGTCAATTTTAGAATAAGTGCTATGTGGTGCTGAGAAGAATGTATATTCTGTTGATTTGGGGTGGAGAATTCTGTAGATGTCTATTAGGTCTGCTTCGTCCAGAGCTGAGTTCAAGTCCTGAATATCCTTGTTAATTTTCTGTCTTGTTAATCTGTCTAATATTGACAGTGGGATGTTAAAGTCTCCCACTATTATCGGGTGGGAGTCTAAGTCTCTTCATAGGTCTCTAAAAACTTCCTTGATGAATTTGAATCTGGGTGCTCCTGTATTGGGTGCATATATATTCAGGATAGTTAGCTCTTCTTGTTGCATTGATCCCTTTACTATTATGTAATGCCCTTCTTTGACTTTTTTGATCTTTGTTGGTTTAAAGTGTTTTATCAGAGACTAGGATTGCAACCTCTGCTTTTTTTTTTTTTTTTTTTTTTTTTTTGCTTTCCATTTGCTTGGTAAATCTTCCTCCATTCCTTTATTTTGAGCCTATGTGTGTCTTTGCATGTGAAATGGGTCTCCTAAATATGGCACACTGATGGGTCTTGGCTCTATCCAATTTGCCAGTCTATGTCTTTTAATTGGGGCATTTTGCCTGTTTCCATTTAAGGTTAATATTGTTATGTATGAATTTGATCCTGTCATTATAATGCTAGCTGGTTATTTTACCCATCAGTTGATGCAGTTTTTTCATAGTGTCGATGGTCTTTACATTTTTGTATGTTTTTGCAGTGGCTGGTACTGGTTTTTCCTTTCCATATTTAGTGCTTCCTTCAGGAGCTCTTGTAGAGCAGGCCTGGTGGTGACAAAATCCCTCAGCATTCGCTTGTCTTTAAAGAATTTTGTTTCTCCTTCACTTATGAAGCTTAATGTGGCCGGATATGAAATTCTGGGTTGAAAATTATTTTCTTTAAGAATGTTGAATGTTGGCACCCACCCTCTTCTGGCTTGTAGGGTTTCTTCAGAGAGATCTGCTGTTAGTCTGATGGGCTTCCCTTTGCGGGTAACCTGACCTTTCTCTCTGGCTGCCCTTAATATTTTTTCCTTCATTTCAACCTTGGTGAATCGGATGATTATGTGTCTTGGGGTTGCTCTCTTTGTGGTGTTCTCTGTATTTCCTGAATTTGAATGTTGGCTTGTCTTGCTAGGTTGGGAAAGTTCTCTTGATAACATCCTGAAGTGTGTTTCCCAACTTGTTTCCTTTCTCCCCGTCGTTTTCAGGTACACCAATCAGACATAGATTTGGTCTCTTCACACAGACCCATATTTTTTAAGGCTTTGTTCATTTCTTTTCATTCTTTTTTCTCTAGTCTTGTCTTCACACTTTATTTCATTAAGTTGATCTTCAATCTCTGATATCCTTTCTTCTGCTTGATTGATTCAGCTCTTGATACTTGTGTGTGCTTCACGAAGTTCTTTTGCTGTGTTTTTCAGCTCCATCAGGTCATTTATGTTCTTCTCTAAACTAGTTATTCTAGTTAGCAATTCATCTAACCTTTATTCAAGGTTCTTAGCTTCCTTGTATTGGGTTAGAATATGCTCCTTTAGCTCAGGAAGAGCTTGTTATTACCCACCTTCAGAAGCCTACTTCTGTCAATTCATCAAACTCATTCTCCATCCAGTTTTGTTCCCTTCCTGGTGAGGAGTTGTGATCTTTTGGAGGAGAAGCAGCATTCTGGTTTTTGGAATTTTCAGCCTCTTTGTGTTGGTTTTTCTTCATCTTCGTGGATTTGTCTACCTTTGGTCTTTGATGTTGGTGACCTTTGGATGGGGTTTTTGAGTGGTTGGTTTTTTTTATGATGTTGATGCTATTGCTTCCTGTTCATTAGTTTTCTTTCTAACAGGCCCCTCTTCTGCAGATCTGCTGGAGTTTGCTGGAGGTCCACTCCGGACCCTGTTTGCCTGCGTATTACCAGCGGAGGCTGCAGAACAGCAAAGATTACTGCCTTCTCCTTCCTCTGTAAGCTTCGTCCCAGAGGGGCACCTGCCAGATGCCAGCCTGAGCTCTCCTGTATGAGGTGTCTGTCGACCTCTGCTGGGAGGTGTCTCCTGTCAGGAGGCACAGAGGTCAGGGACCCACTTGAGGAGGCAGTGTGTCCCTTAACAGAGCTGGAGCTCTGTGCTGGGAGGTCTGCTGCTCTCTTCAGAGCCAGCAAGGAGGAACATTTAAGTCTGCTGAAGCTGCGCCCACAGTCGCCCCTTCCCACAGGTGTTCTGTCCCAGGGAGATGGGAGTTTTATCTATAAGCCTCTGACTGGGGCTGCTGCCTTTTTTTTCAGAGATGCCCTGCCTAGAGAAGAGGAATCTAGGGAGGCAGTCTGGCTACAGCAGCTTTGAGTCACTGTGGTGGGTTCCAACCAGTCCGAACTTCCCAGGGGCTTTGTTTACACTGTGAGGGGAAAACCACCTACTCAAGCCTCAGTAATGGCGGGCACCCCTTCCCACACCAAGCTCAAGCCTCCTAGGTCGACTTCAAACTGATGTGCTGGCAGCAAGAATTTCAAGCCAGGGGATCTTAGCTTGCTGGGCCATGTGGAGGTGGGATCTGCTGAGCAAGAGCACTCAGCTCCCTGGCTTCTGCCCCATTTCCAGGGGAGTGAACGGTTCTCTCTCACTGGCATTCCAGGCGCCACTGGAATATGAAAAGAAACTCCTGCAGCTAGCTCGGTGTCTGCCCAAATGGCCACCCAGCTTTGTGTTTGAAACCCAGGGCCCTGGTTGTGTAGACACCCAAGAGAATCTCCTCCTAGTCTCTGGGTTGTGAAGACTGTGGGAAAAGCATAGCATCTGGGCTGGAATGCACGGTTCCTCAAGGCATAGTCCCTCACGGCTTCCATTGGTTAGGGGAGGGAGTTCCCTGACCCCTTGCGCTTCCCGGGTGAAGTGACACCCCACCCTGCTTCGACTCGCCCTCTGTGGGCTGCACCCCCTGTCTAACCAGTCCCAATGAGATGAGCCAGGTACCTCCGTTGGAAATGCAGAAATCACCCGCCTTCTGCGTTGATCTCTTAGGGAGCCACAGACCCGAGCTGTTCCTATTCAGCCATCTTGCCCGGGAATCAACAGCAAGATCTTTAACAAAAGCACTAAAATGCAGAAGAAAAAAGGGGGGCACTAAATAGACATGAAAAGAACCTGTGTTTACAGTATGAGAGCTAAAACAAGAAGATAGAATGTTGTCTTGTTCAACTTTACCTGGGAACATGCATGTACATTGAGCAACTCAGCTTTTTCACTTCTCTGCAAATGTCCATGAGTGACCACAAAATTGCCAGAGGTATTCATTTAAGGGCTACTGATAAATTTTAGCGAGTAGGAGAATTCTTGAATGCAGAACCCATAAATAATGAAAATTGACTGTATAATAATGTATTTAATCTTTACACCAACCCTATAACTTAAGTATTACTATTATCCTCATTTCATAGATAAGTAAACTGAGGCACAGAGAGACTAAGCAATGTGCTCTGTGTGCAGTTTTAATTCAAATTCACTGACCTGGTTTTGTTTCTTTTTAAAACTAGATAAGTCACTGCTTGGTATTTAGTGTAGGGGCTTTTTTGTTTGTTTGCTTAAGAGATCAATTCAAAAAAAAAATAGCATGGCCCTAAGTTTTGGTTGGGAAGAAGGATCTGGGGACCTCAAATTTTTCAGGCCTTTTAATCAGGGCAGGTTGGAGAACAAACAAGCAGAAGATATAACAGACACTATCAGTGCTAACCCAAGTCCATCCCTATATGCTCCCTCCTGGCTGTAAGAGGGCAAAGCCTCTGTGTGACTCTGTGCTGAGGTTAATGCCTCCTCCTCCATGCCAGGGGATGAATCTCAATTAATATAGGCAGATCTGAACACTTCCATTTCCCTAACCAAACTAGTTTAGGCAAGAGCATGTGTTGCAATTCTAGCCAATGATAAGCAAAGGAAAATACACTGCAGGACTTCAGGGAAAGGGTTTCCCTTCTAGAAGAGATACCTGAGAAGAAGCAGTTTCTTCTCCTGCCTCTGGATGTCACTGTATGAGAACATGATGCTGGGAACCACTGTAGCCATCTCATGACCATGAGGAGACAAGCTAGAATGGCAGAGCTGAAAGATGTATCCTAGAATATGTCAATGGAGTATAGAATTAAACAATCCTAAAGACAGTCTGCCTCCAGCCCTTTGGCCATCTGATATAATGAACTCCTACCTGTTTAAGCTGCTTTTAGTTGGATTTTGATTCATAGAAACTTTAGGTGTCCTAATGGATGCATAAATTTTGCTTGGAGCCAGGCGTGGTAGCTCACATCTATTAATCCCAGCACTTTGGGAGGCCGAGGCGGGAGGATCACCTGAGGTTAGGAGTTCAAGACCAGCCTGGCCAACATGGTGAAACCCCGTCTCTATAAAAATACAAAAAAAGTTAGCCAGGCATGGTGGCAGGTGCCTGTAATCCCAGCTACTCTGGAGGCTGAGGCAGGAGAATCACTGGAACCTGGGAGGCAGAGGTTGCAGTGAGCCAAGATCATGCCATTGCACTCCAGCCTGGGCGACAAGAGAGAGACTTGCTTGGAAAAAAAAAATTGCTTGGAAATTCATTAGAATGGAGAACTGGATGTCATTAAGTCACAGAAATTGTATAGACAGAAACACAAAGAGATTGAACCCTATTTAAGAAGAGCAATGTACTGATTGCTAAGAGCTGCTGAGAGGACATAAATGGCCAAGGAAACTTTCCCTACTCAGAAACAGTTTATAATCTAGTTTGCTGAGAAAACCAAACACAGCCATTTCAAGAATTTATGTACAGAGAAATAGTAACTTCCGTTTAATTCCACCAGTGTTAATTCATGCAATACATGTGGTAGGGGGTGTGTTGATGAATTAAACATACTCTCTATCCTCAACAATCTTTTGGAGAAAATTAGACTGACAGGTAATTATAATTCAAGAAAAATTGTGGAAAGATGTTCTGGGAGAAAGATAAGTGAGAGAGTAATTTCTTTTGACAGAACCAGGAAAGCCTCATGTCTCTCCACTTAAAATTCTTCAGTGGTTTCCAATTGCTCTTCATTCATTCAGCTAATATTTCTTCAGCAATTACTCTAGGGAAGCCCTGGTCTAGGTGCTGGGGACACACCAATGTGCAAACAAAGTCCCTGTTCTCATGAGCTTACATTTTAACAGGAGGGAGATATACACTTAACAAATGAGTCAATATCTATTATGTCAAGGTGGTAAGTGTTACTGAGAAAAAGTAGGGTACAAAGAGTGGGGTGCTAGGTTTTAGGGTGCTATTTTGTTTAATTTTTATTTTTAGTTCCGGGGTCCATGTGCAGGATGTGCAGATTTGCTACATAGGTAAACGTGTGCCTTCGTAACTATTTTTCCTACTGCTCTCTCTCCCCCCGCCCCACCCACAACAGGCCCCAGTGTGTGTTGTTCCCCTCCATAAGTCCATGTGTTCTCATTATTCAGCTCCTACTTATAAGTGAGAACATGCAGTGTTTGTTTTCTGGTCCTGTGTTAGTTTGCTGAGGATAATGGCTTACAGCTTCATCCATGACCCTGCAAAGAACATGATCTCATTCATTTTTATGGCTACATAGTATTCCATGGTGTATATGTACCGCGTTTTCTTTATCCAGTCTATTGTTGGTGGGCATTTGAGTTGATTCTATGTCTTTGCTATTGTGAATAGTGCTGCAGTGAACATACGTATGCATGTGTCTTTGTAATAGAATGATTTATATTCCCTTGGATATATACCCAGTAATGAGATTGCTAGATCAAATGGTATTTCTGGTTCTAGATCTTTGAGGAATCACCACACTGTCTTCCATAATGGTTGAACTAATTTGTATGCCCACCAACAGCATAAAAGCATTCCTGTTTCTCCACAACCTCACCAGCATCTGTTTAATAACTGTCATTCTGACTGGCATGAGATGGTATCTCATTGTGGTTTTGATTTGCATTTCTCTAATGATCGGTGATGTTGAGATTTTTTTCATATGTTTGTTGGCTTCGTGGATGTCTTCTTTTGAGAAGTGTCTGTTCATTGCCTTTGCTCACTTTTTAATGGGGTGGTTTGTTGTTGCTTTTTTCTAGTAAATTTGTTTGAGTTCCTTGTAGATTCTGGATATTAGACCTTTGCCAGATGGATAGATTAAAAAAATTTTCTCCCACTCTCTAGGTTGCCTGTTCACTCTGATGATAGTTTATTTTTCTGTGCAGAAGCTCCTGAGTTTAGTTAGATCCCATTTGTCAATTTTTGCTTTTGTTGCAATTGCTTTTGGCAATTTTAAACATGATGGTGAGAAGCTGCCATTTGAGCAGACAGCTGAAGGAACTCAAAAGTGAGCCATGTGTGGATATCTGGGGAAAGTGTTCCAGGCAGGAGGAACAGTAAGTGCTAAGGCCCTGAGGCAGACAATTCCTGGCATACTACAGGAACAGAAGCAGGTCTGTTCATGGAACAGCATGAAGGATGGGAAACTGTGGGGGATGAGATCAGAAAAGCAGTCACGGGCAGAGCCAAATTTACCATGAGGTTAATGAAGCTGTGACAATGTGCTCTGAAAGTCATAATCTGCTATAATCTGCAAAAGTAAGATATTTATTTTCAGCCTCACAAAGTGGCTCACACCAGTAATCCCAACACTTTGGGAGGCTGAGGCAGGAGAATTGCTCAAGGTCTGGAGTTCAAGACTAGCCTGGGCAACATAGTGAGACCCCCATCTCTACCAAAAATGTAAAAATTAGCTGGGTGTAGTGGTGCACACCTGTAGTCCCAGCTACTCAGGAGGCTGAGATGGGAGCATCCCTTGAGCCTAGGAGGTTGAGACTGCAGTGAGCCATGTTCATGCCACTGCACTCCAGCCTGAGCCACAGAGCAAGACCTTGTCTCAAAAAAAAAAAAAGATATTTTAGCCACAATCAGTTAAAAAATGCTATTTCTTTCCACTCTGCCTTCCCCATCATATTTCCCTCCATGCTGTGTCTTTAGAGAAGCTGCACGTATTTGGGAAACCAGGCTAAGAGGAAATTCTATTGGTGATATATCTGGTCTGGGTTCAGGGGTATATGATATATTTATGTGGATCATGGTCACTTCCATGACTAGCTGTCTTTCTATAGGAGTAGCTCCCAGGATAACTTCTGTAGCTCAGCACCCAGAAGAGTGACCCAAAGATGCAGGGCCAGATGTCCAGTGGGGATAAAAATTCATTCTACAGAGCCCTGGGCTGGAATTCTGTGAGGAGTAGAGAGTGGAGAAGCAACGTGGTATTAAATCCACAGAACCGGAAGTCATCTTTAGAAAATTTTCCCAACATCTGATGTGCAAACTCGTAAGTAGAAGTTTCACTTCTCATTGAAACTTAATCAAAATGGAAGTTCTCTCCCATTGGGAATATGCCCAAGACTGCTGAGACTACAATGATAAATGCACCTCTGTTGATGGAATCTCAAGAAATAGAGTTTATCAGGCAAAGGCACAAACCAGAGACAGTGCTACAAACAGCAAGTCTATCTGTATGCAAAGCCACCTACCATCAATAATAAAAAACAAATTTCAAACAATCATCCTAGAGGAAAAACTGAATTATCTTGCTATTCTCTCTATTGAACATGATGTTATAATATCATTGTCCTATGGAGAGGCAATCAGACAAAGAATGTATGCAGACAAAGAATGTAGGGGGAATGTAACAGAGGGGGTTCTCAGGCAGTTCATTAATAAAAAACGTTGCATTCTTTTTCTGGATTTTGTGAGGTTTCTGGTATTTGTCAGCTTTTCAGCTTTGTAATGTGTGGCAAGTTCTTTCCTCATGTAAAAATACATTCACTTTCAAGTATTATTTTGTACTTTTAATTTTGTACAAAATTCAAAGATAAATTCAAAACTCAAGCTTTATTTATTTATCTATTTATTTATTTTTTTGAGATGGAGTCTCACTGTGTCGCCCAGGCTGGATTGCAGTGGTGCGATCTCGGTTCATTGCAACCTCTGCCTCCTGGGTTCAAGTGATTGTCCAGCCCTGGCCTCCAGAGTAGCTGGGATTATAGGAGTGTGCCACCATGCCCAGCTAATTTTTGTATTTTTTAGTAGAGATGGGGTTTCGCCATTTTGGCCATGCTGGTCTTGAACTCCTGACCTCAGGTGATCCACCCACCTCGGCCTCCCAGAGTGCCGGGATTACAGGCATGAGCCACTGCACCTTATTTATCTTAAAGAAGGCCCCCAAATTGTTTCAGCTTCAGGTCTCAGAAAGCCTGGGTCTTCCCTGAGTCAGAACCATTTTGAAGGCTTATGAAGCATGATGCCAGAAGCCCTGGGACAGTTCAGTGGTGATTCCTAGATCTGGGGATTTCATAGACCAGTAACATTTCCAAAAAATAAAACAATTTTTGTTTTTGTTTTTGTTTGAGACGGAGTTTCACTCTGTTGCCCAGGCTAGAGTGCGGTGGCATGATCTCAGCTCACTGCAACCTCTGCCTCCCAGGTTCAAGTGATTCCCCTGCTTCAGCCTCCAGAGTAGGTGGGATTACAGGCACGCACCACCACACTAATTTTTGTATTTTTAGTAGAGACAGGGTTTCACCATGTTGGCCACGCTGGTCTCGAATTCCTGACCTCAGGTAATCCGCATGCCTCAGCCTCCCAAAGTGCTGAGATTACAGGTGTGAGCCACTATGCCCAGCCTCCAAAAAAATTTGTTTTGAAGGGACCAATATTTGATTGCTAAATGTAAAAGTAAAAAGCCACATAAATGAACACTTAAACCAACCATGTCTATAGTGTTGATGGTTTTTTTTTTAAATAGTTCTTACATAGAAATATACTGAAATATTTACGGATAAAATTATACAATGTCGGAGCTAAGTACAGTGTCTCATGCCTGTAATACCAGCACTTTGGGAAGCCGAGGTGGAAGGATCACTTGAGTCCAAGAGTTCTAGACTAGCTTGAGCAACATAGCAAGACCCTATCTCTACAAAAAGCAAAAATAAATTTGAGCACGGTGACACATATCTGTAGTCCCAGCTACTCAGGAAGCTGAGGAGGGAGGATCACTTGGGGCCAAGAGTTAAGGCTGTAGTGAGCCATGATTACACTACTGCACTCCAGCCCAGGTGATAGAGCAAGGCCTTGTCCCTAAAAAAAATAAAATTAAAAACTAATGTGTACACTTTGTTTTAAACTAATCTAACAGGGGAAGAGGGGATGGGAAGGAGGTTACATGAAACAAGATGTGTCATCTGTTGATAATTGTGGATATTGTGTGCTAGGTTCATGGGAGTTCATTACACTACTCTACTTTTGTAAATGTTACCTTTCATAATGAACGGTAAAAATTAGCCTGATCTAACATACCCATAATTTCATAAAAGACATATGAGCACTCTAAACATCGGGAGGCCATAAAGTACCATCCATTATAGTGAATAAGTTTAACCTGGTGAAGCACTATAGTGTGCTTATTTTTGTTTTGCTATTTCACTGTCATTCCACAGAAATTCTGATCTGTTCAGGAATAATCTATGTGGGCATGGGGTCAAATAGTCAGCTTACTCTCAAATGATTCAGAAAAAAAAGTTATATGAATGGTACTTCCAATTCATTGTAAGTTTATGGTGTGTGTGTGTGTGTGTGTGTGTGTGTGTGTGTGTGTGTGTAGCAGATCTGGGGTTGAATCTTGTGCTTTTCGTATATACATTCACATTACTGTGTATGTCACATAACCTGCCTGCATCCTCAGTTTCTTTACCTGAAAAGTAGGTTTAATAATATATACTTCGGCCAAGGGTGGTGGCTCATGCCTGTAATCTCAGTACTTTGGGAGGCCAAGGCAAGAGGATCACTTAAGGCCAGGAGTTCAAGACCAGCCTGGACAACATAGCAAGACTCCCATCACATCAAAAAAAAATTGTAATTAGTTGGGTGTGGTGGCACACACCAGTATTTCCTAGTTACTTGGGAGGCTGAGGCAGGAGGATCACTTGAGCCCAGGAGTTTGAGGCTACAGTGAGCTATGATCACGTCACTGTACTCCAGCCTGGGTGACAGAGAGAGATCCTGTCTCTAAAAAAAATAATAAAATAATAATATGTACTTCATACAGTTTAAGAATTAAGTAAAACAAGAACTCCTTTTGCACAATGTGTACATCCTATATATTGCTCTGTTGCCCAGGCTGAAGTGCACTAGTGTGATCAAAGCTCACTGCAGCCTCATTCCGAGCTCAAGTGATCCTCCCACCTCAGCCTCCCAAAGTGCTGGGATTACCAGCGTGCATCACTATGTCAGGCCATTGTCTTTTTTTAAAAGCTTAAGTTTTGGCCAGGTGCAGTGGCTCATGCCTGTAATCCCGGCACTCTGGGAGGCCGAGGTGGGTGGATCACCTGAGGTCAGGAGTTCAAGACCAGCATGGCCAACATGGCGAAACCCCATCTCTACTAAAAAATACAAAAATTAGCTGGGCATGGTGGCACACTCCTATAATCCCAGCTACTCTGGAGGCCAGGGCTGGACAATCACTTGAACCCAGGAGGCAGAGGTTGCAATGAACCGAGATCGCACCACTGCAATCCAGCCTGGGCAACAGAGTGAGACTCCATCTGAAAAAAATAAATAAATAGATAAATAAATAAAGCTTGAGTTTTGAATGCATTTCCTGCACAATTGATGGTAGAAGCATGAATTGGTATGACCCCTACAAAGGACAGTTTTGCAGTACCTTCCCAAATTATACACACCTTTGCCTATGGCCCAACAATCCCAGTTCCAGAAATTTATTCTATAACAATCTTGCATACATGTGAAATGACAAATGCACAAGATATTCATTGTAGTATCTCGCTTTTAATTACAAACACTGGAAATACCTTTAATGTTCATCTATAGACTAATTAAATTACGCTATCTTCATACAGTGCAGCTGTGAAAAAGAATCAGGAAATTGTGCACTAGTATGAAAAGATCCCACTGGGCAGAGTGGCTCACGCCTGCAATCCCAGCACTTTGGGAGGCCGAGGCAGGCAGATCACCTGAGGTCGGGAGTTTGAGACCAGCCTGACCAACACGGAGAAATCTGGTCTCTACTAAAAGTACAGAAATTAGCCGGGCATGGTGGTGCATGCCTGTAATCCTAGCTACTCGGGAGGCTGAGGCAGGAGAATCACTTGAACCCGGGAAGCGAGGTTGCGGGGAGCCGAGATCACACCATTGCACTCCAGCCTGGGCAATAAGAGCGAGACTCCGTCTCAAAAAAAAAAAAGAAAAGAAAAGACCCCTAATATAAACTGTTTAGTGAAATACATAGGATGTACAACATGTATACAATTTGCTAATTTAGGGTCACAAAAAGGAAGGAAAAATAAGAATATATATTTGTTTAAATAAAATGTAAGAACATGTAATAAACTAATAAAAGAGGTTCTTGTTTCTGTTTTTTTGATTTTAAGAAATGGGAACTTGGAAGATGATGACTAAGGTTGAGACATTTTGCTATATAGTTATTTATGTTTTTATTTTAAATTGTATAAATGCATTCAAAACTTAAGCTTAAAAAAAAAAAAACGGCCTAGCATGGTGACTCACACCTGTAATCCCAGCACTTTGGGAGGCTGAAGTGGGAGAGTCCCTGGAGCCCAGGAATGAGGCTGCAGTGAGCTATGATCATGCTACTGCACTTCAGCCTGGGCAACACAGAAAGACCCTATCTCAAAAAAAAAAAAATGTGTGTAAAAAGAGCATTCATGGCACATGGTACAAAAATAAATGGAAGTCATTATGATACTTACTCTTACTGCCATCATCTTAATAGCATTATCCTGTAGACCTGTACTGTCCAATACAGGGGCCACCCAGCCAGATGTCACTATTCAGCATCTGAAATGCGGCCAGTCCAAATAAAGATGTGCTGTCAGGGAAAAACACATCCCCAGTATTGAATACTTGGATGAAAAAACGTAAAATATCACAGAAGCCATTTTTACATTGATTACATGTTTAACTGAAAATATTTTTGGTAGGTTGTGTTAACTACGATATTATTACAATTAATTTCACCTGTTTCTTTTTACTTTTTTTAATGTGCCTACTAGAAAATGCTAAATTGCCTGTGAGGCTCACTATGTGGCTTGTACTATATTTCTATTAGAGAGTACTGCCTTATTCCATCACGTACTGGAACTCATACATGACAGACACTTCATCTATATTTGTTAAGGCAGTGAGTGAATAAATATCCTGTAACAATCTTACAGTGTTTGATAAGAACACAGAGGAGAAAATTTAGTGCTGTTCAGATTGCTTCTTTTTTTTTTTTTTTTTTTTTTTTTTTTAGATGGAATCTCACTCTGTCGCCCAGGCTGGAGTGCAGTGTCCCAATCTCAGCTCACTGAAACCTCCGCCTCCCTGGCTCAAGCAATTCTCCTGCCTCAGCCCCCTACCCCCCACCTGGAGTAGCTGGGACCACAAGCGCCCACAACCACGCCTGGCTAATTTTTGTATTTTTAGTAGAGACAGGGTTTCACTGTGTTGGCCAGGCTGGTCTTGAACTCCTGGTGTCATGTGATCCGCCCACCTTGGCCTCCCAAAGTGCTGGGATTACAGGCGTGAGCCACCATGCTCGGTACAGATTGCTTCTTTACATTACCCATGAAACCAGAAGCAAACTCCCCTCTTTCTCAGAGCCACCTAGTTGCTATCATCACAGGTATACACATGGAACTTTAACAAATTTCAACATTCTCTCAATTACAATCAGCAATTACCCAGTATGAAGCTTACGTGTTCACTTCTTTCACACTGGATTGCTTGGAGTTGTTGAAACACAGCTGCCAGTAGAAAATGCTCACCTTCCTCTAGAGGTTTGTGAAAGCAGAAAGCACTTGCAGAATCCCATCCAGAAAAATATTTTATTGTTCAGTTCAGAAAATGAATCCATCTTATAAAACTCACAGTCATCACACACATTACAGCACTGCAGAGTCACATGGTGTAGAAGAAAGAATACCAGCTTTGGAGTCAGATCTGAATTCAAATTTGGGCTCTGTATTAGTTTGCTAGGGCTGCTGGAACAAAGTACCACAAATTCAGTGGCTTAGACAACAAAAATATATTGTCTCCCAGTACTGGAGGTTAGAAGCTCAGAATCACTGGGTACAGTGGCTCACACTTATAATCCCAACAGTTTGGGAGGACCAGGCAGGAGGCCCACCCAAGGCCAAGAGTTCAAGATCAGCCTAGGCAACATAGCAAGACCTCATATCTACAAAAAAAGATTTTTTTTTAATTAGCCAGGCATGATGGTGTGCACCTGCAGTCCCAGCTACTTGAGAGGTTGAGGTGAAAGGATCACTTGAACTCAAAAGTTTGAGATTACCATGAGCTATGATCACACCACTACACCCCAGCCTGGGTGACAGAGAGAGGCCCTATCTCTAAAAAAAATTTAAATAAAATTTAAAACTTAAAAAGAAGTTCAAAATCAAGATGTTGGTGCGTTGGTTCCTTCTGAGGGCTATGAGGGAAGATTCTGTTCTAGGCCTTTCTCCTTAGCTCACCAATGACCATCTTCTTCCTGTGTCTCTCCACATCATCTTCCCCCATGCATGTCTGTTTCCAAATTTCCCCTCTTTATGAAGACACCAGTAACATTAGATTAGAACTCACATTTAATGACTTCATTTTAACTTGATTACGTCTGTAAAGACCCTGTCTCCACATAAGGTCACACTCTGAGGTCCTGGGGGTTAGAACTTCAACACATGAATTGGGAAACACCATTCAGCCTATAGTAGTCTCCATCCTTACCAGCTGGGTGACCTTCACTAAACTTCTCTGAGCCTCAGTTTCTTCCTCTGTAGAATGAGGATAATAATAGCTTCCTGCTAAACTTGCATTGATAATGGGAGATTATATATGTAAAGCGGATAACCCTAGGACTGCTGGTGTCATCTTCACCACCACTTGGAGACTTCCTGTTTGAAAATGAAGCCAACTGCACTCCAACCTGGGCAATAGAGAGAGACCCCGTCTCAAAAAAAAAAAAAAAGAGAGAGAATTTGGCCAGGCGTGGTGGCTCATGCCTATAATCCCAGCACTTTGGGAGGCCAAGGCGGGTGGATCATGAGGTCAGGAGATCGAGACCAACCTGGCTAACACGGTGAAACCCCGTCTCTACTAAAAAATACCAAAAAATTAGCCGGGCGTGTTGGCAGGCACCTGTAGTCCCAGGTACTTGGAAGGCTGAGGCAGGAGAATGGCATGAACCCGGGAGGTGGAGCTTGCAGTAAGCCAAGATTGTGCCACTGCACTCCAGCCTGGGCGACAGAGAGAGACTCCGTCTAAAAAAAAAAATAAAATAGAGAGAGAACCTACAAAGTAGCTATTATACCCATTTCACAGATATAGGAGCAGCCTAGATTACTTAGTAGAAAAGCAAGGATTTTATATCATCATACCTTTCTGACTACAAAGAGCATCTTGCCCCATTATTAAACCCTGCTGATCTCAGGGCATGGTGGCAGCTTCCTGAAACAGAGGCTTTGTTGTGAGTATCCAAAGCATTCTGAAAACACCCTGAAAGATACAAAATGCTCTACAAATGCAAGACACCGTATAAAACCAAAAATGGACTTCTCAGATCATTATGTAGCACCCCTATTGGAACTGGTGACCCTTAAATTCTCTCACAGGCCTGAAATTCTATTATTCTATAGGCATAAAGTATATAACTCTAAAGAAAAATCCTGTAACCTATTAAATCCTGCTTCTCCCAGGATACTTTCACTTGTAAGCAACAATGATTTCAACAATAGAAGCAATTTATCAGCTCCTATAATGAAAAGATCTAAAAGTAGATTGCAGCCAGGCATGGTGGCTCACATTTGTAATCCTAGGACTTTGTGGGGACAAAGCAGAAGGACTGCTTGTGCTCAGCAGTTCAAGACCAGCCTGGGCAACATGGCAAGACCCTGCCTCTACAAAAAAAAAAATGAAAAATGAGCTGAGTGTGGTGGCATGTACCTGTGGTCCCAGCTACTTGGAAGGCTGAGGCAGGAGGATCACCTGAGCCCAAGAGGTTGTGGCAACAGTGAGCTGTGATCACGCCACTGCACTCCAGCCTGGGTGACAGAGCGAGACGCTGTCTCAGAAACAAATTAATTAATTAATTAAAAGTAAATTGCCACCAAGATCCAGTTTCCTTCTGTCTCTCAGTTCTGCTTTCTACAGTTCAATTTCATCCTAAGACTAGCTTTCCTTGTCTGTTTGCAGGCTGCAAACCTGCCTCTTCATACACAACCAACATTTTTTAAAAAGTCTTTTCCCAGAATCCCCTGAAAGCACGCTGAGATTCATTCTGATTGGACAGTGTTAGGTAACATGCTCACCTCTGTACCAATCACTATGAAATGAAAATCAGGATGAAATATAGTGGTTGGCTTAGTGGGTCATGTACTATACCAGGGGAACCTAGCAAGGAGCCTTTGACCTCAAAATTGCCAAGTAGAAATTAGGGGCTGTTAGAAAGAGGGAAGGAAAAGATGCTCGAAAAGCATTCAACATGTGTCTACTGTGTCTCTTTGTGTCCCTATGTGTCCACTATGAAGCCTTTAGGTTTTAGCCCTTCCTATCCCACATATCTGATTTGCAACTGGTTTGGAGCTTCCAGAACACCCTGATCCAGCCCCTAATTAGCTCGACTGCACCATATTTTACCATCTAGATTTCTGTTCACTGAGCATATCAATCCTCCACTTACTCATTTATGATTCAAATTAGTAAGACCCTTTCAATAGCTTAAATCTCTCCACTGAACAAGCTTGTCTGTTATCTGGAAATACATGGTCACATGAACTTATTCAAAACACAACATTTTCTCATTATAATGAGACATGATTATTAATGGCAGAGTGCCCATCAGAAATGAAACTAATCCTTCATTTTGTTCAAAATAAATGTGCTCAAAAAGGTACAGAGATGGTAAAATTAATTTCAGAGTAATCAATTCCTGCATTCTAAATGAACATAATTACGTAATCATTAAATTATTTAATGGGCTTCATTAAGCTTATTTCTGGCTTGGGTGTCACATTTTTTATCCCAATTAGCTCAAGTGCTAAAATTAATTCTTTATTACTGGTAAGAGCACTAATCCAAGTCAGGATGAACATAGCTGGGGTCTGCTCAGCTCAACCTGGAGACCAAGATAGGTCACCCTTACCCTAACAATGGGGTTCACAGTGTCAGTACAAATATAGCCAACCAAGGTTCAAAGAAATAGCACAGGCAGGTCCATGGCAAATGTCTGATCTGTTTCCAATCAAACAGGACACTGTTGGATTCAACTGGGTGTCCCATAGAAAGCCTATTAAAAAAAAAAGACTCTCCCAGAGGAAACCTACATGGAAGCCACATCAGTGCTGTCACCAAGAATGGGCCTAAGCATTATTTAGAACAGGAGAAATCTGGGTGTCTCACAAACCTGTGTTCAAATCTCAGTTTTGCTAGTAGTAAACTATGGGATCCAAAGCAATTTATGCAACCTCTCTGAGCCTCTGTTTCCTCATCTGTAAATGGGGATGATGAAGTAAGTAATTATTTCTGAGTTGTTTGCAAGGATTAGCAATAATGTGAGACCAATGGAATAGAATAGAGAACCCAGAAATAAGGCCACACACATACAACCGTCTGATCTTTGACAAAGCTCACCAAAGAATGCAATGGGGAAAGGACTCCCTATTCAATAAATGGTGCTGGGATAACTGGCTAGCCATATGCAGAAGACAGACACTGCACCCCTTCCTGACATCAGATACAAAAATTAACTCAAGATGGATTAAAGACTTAAATAGTCTTATAGTTTTAAGACTATTTAAAACTATTAAAGATTTAAATAGTTTTATAGTTTTAGTAAAAGCTAAAACTATAAAGCCCTGGAAGACAAAACCATTCTGGACATAGGAAATGGCAAAGATTTAATGGTAAAGATTTAATGATAAAGACACCAAAAGCAATCGCAAAAAAGCAAAATTTGACCAATGGGATCTAATTAAACTTAAGAGCTTCTGCACAGCAAAAGAAACTATCAACAGAGTAAACAGACAATTTAGAGAATGAGAGAAAAATTTTGCAAACTATGCATCTGACAAAGGTCTGATATCCAGCATCTATAAGAAACTTAAACAAATTTACAGGAGGAAAACAAACAACCCCATTAAAAATGGGCAAAGGACATAAACAGACACTTCTCAAAAAGAGACATACATGCAGCCAACAAGCGTATTAAGAAAAGCTCAATATCACTGATTATTAGAGAAATGCAAATGAAAACCACAGTGAGATACCATCTCACACCAGTCAGAATGGCTATTACTAAAAAGCCAAAAAATAGATACTGGTGAGGTTGCAGAGAAAAGGGAATGCTTCTACACTGTTGATGGCAGTGTAAATTCATTCAACCATTGTGGAAAGTAGTGTGGTGGTCCTTCAAAAAGCTGAAAACAGAACCACCATTCAACCCAGCATACCCTTTGGGTATATACCCAAAGGAATATAAGGCATTCTGCCATAAAGACACATGCACACAAATGTTCATTGGAGCAGTATTCACAATAGCATACGCATGGAATCAACCTAAATGCCCATCAATGGAAGATCACATAAGGAAAATGTGGTACAGCTATAAGTATTCATTGGAATACTATGCGGCCATAAAAAATGAGATTATGTCCTTTGCAGGAACATGAATGGAGCTGGAGGCCATTATCCTTAGCAAACTAATGCATGAACAGAAAACCAAATACTGCATGTTCTCACTTGTAAGTGGGAGCTAAATGATGAGAACACATGGACACAAAGAAGGGAACAACAGATAGTGGAGCCTACTTGAGGGTGGAGAGTGGGAGGAGAGAAAGGATCAGAAAAAATAACTATTGGGTATTAGGCTTAGTACCTGGGTGACAAAATAATCTGTGCAACAAAGCCCTGTGACACAAGTTGACTATAGAACAAACCTGCACATGTGCCCCTGAACCTAAAATAAAAGTTTAAAAAATAAAAAAGCTTTTGAAAGGATTAGCAATAATGTGTAGGGTGTCTGGCATATAGTAGACACTCAATAAGTGATAGTTGTTATTATTCTTGTAATCACAATCAGACATCCACAGATTTAATCTTCACAGATGCTAAGATTAAGACACAGACTAACCTTTTTCAGTATGAATGTTAGTGATAAACACCATAAATAGCAAGGGAGTCTAAGTGGCAGTGTTGTAAAAGAAGAGATATTCTCCCCGCAAAAAAAGAAATTCTCTTAAAAAGACATTATAGGCCAGGCACAGTGGCTCACACCTGTAACCCCAACACTTTGGGAGGCCCAGGCAGGATAGGATCACTTGAGCCCAGAAATTTGAGATCATCCTGGGCAACACAGGGAGACCCCTGTCTCTACGAAAATTGTTTTTAAAAAATTAGCTGGACGTGGTCGTACAAGCCTGTAGTCCCAGCTACCTGGGAGGCTGAGGTGGGAGGATCACTTGAGCCCAAGGGGTAGAAGCTGCAGTGAGCTATGATCACACCACTGCACTCCAGCCTGAGCAGCAGAGTGAGACCCAGTCTCAAAAAAAAAAAAAAGAGAGAGAGAAGAAGACATTATATAACAGAGATTTTATAACTTCAAAAGGAGAGAAACTGTAGAGCTTGAACATGGGGTGTACAACAACCAATGAGCGGATAAAGAAAATGTTTTACATATAACACCATGGAATACTATTCAGCCATAAAAAAGAATGACATAATGCTTTTGCAGCAACTTGGGTGGAGCTGGAGGCCATTATTCTAAGTGAAGTCACCCAGGAATAGAAAAACCAAATACTACATGTTCTCACTTATAAGTGGGAGCTAAGCTATGGGTACACAAAGGCATACAGAGTGGTATAATGAACACTGGAGACTCAGAATGGGGAGGGTGAGAGGGGATTGAGGGATGAAAAACTAGATATTGAGTACAATGTGCACTACTCGGGTGACAGGGGCACTAAAATCTTAGACTTCACCACTATACAATTCATCCGTGTAACCAGAACTACTCGTACTCTCAAAAGCTATTGAAATTTTTAAAATTAAAAAAAATCAAATACAACGTGTTCTCACTTTAAGTGGGACCTAAACACTGAGTACATATGGACAAACAGATGGCAACAGTAGACACCAGGGACTGCAAAAGGGAGGAGGGTGGGAGGTGCGAGCATTGAAAGATTATCCATCAGGCGATATGGTGAAACCATCTCTACTAAAAATATAAAAATTGGCTGGCCATGGTGGCAGGCGCCTGTAATCCCAGCTACTCGGGAGGCTGAGGCAGGAGAATTGCTTGAACCCAGGAGGTGGAGGTTGCAGTGAGCCAAGATCATGCCACTAAACTCCAGCCTGGGCAACAGAGCGAGACTCCATCTCAAAAAAAAACAAAAAAAGAAAGAAAAGAAAGAAAGAAGGAAGGAAGGAGAGAGAGAGAGAGAGAAAGAAAGAAAAAGAAAGAAAGAAAGAAAGAAAGAAAGAAAGAAAGAAAGAAAGAAAGAAAGAAAGAAAGAAAGAAAGAAAAGAAAGAAAGAAAGAGAGAAAAAGAAAGAGAGAGAGAGAGAAAGAAAGAAAGAAGGAAAGAAAGAAAGAAAGATTACCCATCAGACACAATGTTCACTATCTGGGCAATGGGTACACAAGAAGCCCAGTCCCCACCAGTGCGCAATATACCCATGTAACTAACAAACATGCAATGTACCCCTAATTTTAAAATAAAACAAGTTAAAAAAAAAAGAATGTGGGGTCTAGAGGCAAACTGCCTGTATTCAAATAAAACAACCAATTTCTAGCCACGCGACTTGGGACAAGAAAATTTCTCAAAGCCTTGATTATCTCATCTAAAATTGAGAATGATAATAGAACTGAGTTGTGATTATTAAATTATATAATATATAGAAGAGCAATTTACAGTAAACAATACATGTTCTCCATTACAATTACTGTTAATTACTAATAGCATTAGTAACAAAATGCAGGACACTATCAGATATGTTTCCTAGACTTTAAGAAAATAGAGATTTTAAAATTCAGACAGAAAGATATATTTGATTCATTAATGTAAGCCCTAAAACAAGCTTTTTCATTCATTGAACAAACATTTTTTGGCACCCATTATGTGTCAGACACGGAATTTACATGTGTCACAGGAGAAATATTGCAGAATTTTTCAAGCTTATTACACTAAATGGCCTTTTATACCAACCAAGTTAGAAAATGTTTCCTAACATGCTCTCAGGAAGTGGTGACAGAAAAAGGTCATGGGGACACCTTCTGGGTGAGAAGCTACCTTCCCTATTCATACATCAGATCAGCCCCCGGCTCACAGTTAGAAATGCAAATGCGGGGCTCAGTGTCACAGCCAGCATGGCCTTTCAGTAACTTGACATAGCCACACCAGGGACCAAGCACCTCTGTGTTCCAGAACAGGTTTTGTTTGTCTTTCCATATTACATCCATTATGGATGTCTAACATTGAAGGGATCCTTCAAAATTAAAATCGCACATAGAAGCTTAAAAAGCAGTAGTTGACCTCTTCTTTCTCTCTCTTTCTTTATTTTTCTTTTTCTTATTCTTTTTTTACTATTTTTTGTTTGTATGTTTTTCTTTTTTTTAGACCGTCTGGCTCTGTCGCCCAGGCTGGAGTGCAGTGGTGCAATCTCAGCTCACTGCAACCTCTGCCTCCCAGGTTCAAGTGATTCTCCTGCCTCAGCCTCCTGAGTAGTTGGGACTACAGGTGCACACCACCACACCCAGCTAATTTTTGTATTTGTAGTAGAGACAGGATTTCACCATATTGGCCAGGCTGATCTCAAACTCCTGACCTCAGGTGATCCACCCACCTCAGCCTCCCAAAGTGCTTGGATTACAGGCGTGACCCACTGTCCCCCAGCCCTTTTTTTAATGTTTTAAGAGCCGGAGCTGCTGTTGGAACTCAAATGAGATTCCCTGAATTAAATCAGATGTAGATCTTAGATGGCCTGGTCCATCCTCATTCATCCTCATACTTGGGAGAGGAGCAAGGGCGAGACAGACCTTACCTCACACAGGCTAACCCCTCCACTAACGCCTCTGAGTTCTGAAAGAAAGCCCTTGGCCTGGGTTGCCAACAGTCACAGCTACCAACATTAATTAAACAAACATTCTTTAGCAAAGCAGGCACTAAGCACTTCATCCAATGCATTCTGGGTCTTGATGAAGTCCCAGCTTTCTGACCTTTCAGGTGCTCTAATCTTTCCCTGTATGAAAGTTTATTCAAAGCAGATTAGAGCAAGATTTTACAAATTGTTGGTTAGAATCATTATGATCAGAAACCTCTTAGACCAGTGGCTGGACACAAGACTGATGAGGGATCCAGTTCCGGTTCAGGTGCCATCCCTAAAGGCGCAAGCTACAAACCTCGCCAAGTTCATGCAAAAGAGAGGAATGACTCTGAGCTACATATTTTAGCCCAAACTGCATATCTGAAGCTCAGATTGAACATTCAGCAAACTACTTAACAGTCACTAGATTTGCCAATAAAAATCCATTTTTGATACCATGTGCTAATTAGCAAATCTTTTACTGGTGATCTAGAAAAGCCAAAAGAAATATTGCAGCAGCCACCTCTGTCTGGAGTCTGGTTCCATGTGATAGAGTGGTAGCCATTCACTGCAGAGTGTACATGCTGCTCGTGTGTCACCTGACCACCAAGTACACTAACTGACACATGCCTTCTCTCCCACTAATCATGCTAAGGTATTGTGAGGCCCAGCGCAGTGGCTCATGCCTGTAATCCCATCACTGTGGGAGCCCGAGGCAGGCGGATCACTTGAGGCCAGGAGATCGAGACCATCCTGGCCAACAAGGTGAAACCCCAACTCTACTAAAAATACAAAAATTAGCCAGGCGTGGTGGCATGTGCCTGTAGTCCCAGCTACTCAGGAGACTGAGGCAGGAGAATCACCTGAGCCCAGGAGGTGGAGGTTGCAGTAAGCCAAGATCACGCCACTGCACTACAGTCTGAGCGACAGAGCGAGACTGTCTCAAAAAAAAAAGAGAGAACAAATGAACGCCCTCCCTCAAGCCCTTTTTAAGGGTCCTAATTCCATGCATGAGGGAATCACCCTCAATGACATCATCACCTCCGAAAGGCCTCACCACTTAATACTATCACAGTGGCAATTGTTTCAAGGCATGAATTTGGGGTGACACATTCAGACCTTAGCACTGGATCACTCAGAATTAGAATACTGTGGTTTTTTCTCCTTTTCCATTTTTGTATGTAAATACTCTGGCTACTGGGTGCAGTGGCTCACGCCTGTAATCCCAGCACTTTGGGAGGCCGAAGCAGGCGGATCACGAGGTCTGGAGTTTGAGACCAGACTCGCCAACATGGTGAAACCCCATCTCTACTAAAAATACAAAAATTAGCCAGGCATAGTGGCAGGTGCCTGTAATCCTAGCTAATCGAGAGGCTGAGGCAGGAGAATCGCTTGAAACCGGAAGGCAGAGGTTGCAGTTAGCCGAGATTGAGCCACTGCACACCAGCCTGGGCAACAAGAGCGAAACTCTGTCCTAAAAAAAAAAATATATATATATATATATATATATATATATATATATATATATATATATATTCTGGCTTATTTTAGACCTGTTCTTATTTGTGCATTTTTTGGTTTTCAGTAAAAAAAAAAAAAATCTCCATTGGAGATACTGGCATGTGCCTTTAATTTAAAAATTACATAGATTGCCACTTTTCAAAGTATGGCTGGACATGGTGGCTCACACCTGTAATTCCAACACTTAGAGAGGCTGAGGCAGGAGAATCACTTGAGCCCAGCAGTTCAAAACCAACCTGGGCAACAAAAGTGAGACCCATCTCTACAAATAAATAAATAAATAAATAAATAAAAATTAATTAGCCAAGTATGGTGACATGTACCTGTTGTCCCAGCCACTTGGGAGGCTGAGGCAGGAGGATCATTTGAGCCCAGATGGTCAAGGCTGCAGTGAGCCATGATTGTGCCGCTGCACTCCAACATGGGTGACAGAGTGAGACCCAGTCTCAAAAAAGAATAATAATACAATAAAGTATGAGAATCTGACAAATTACATGTGACACTAAAACTCTCACTAACATTTCACTTAACAATTAGCAAATTTTTAATGATGCTGTTAGTATAGATTTGGTGAGACCAAGACTCCAACAGAGCTTAATATAAAGCAATATAAATTTTTTGGAAGGTACTTTAGAAATACTTATCAACAGCCTTTGGCAAAAAAAGTTTATATCCTTTGATTCAGTAAATTCACACCTTTGAATCTATCTCAGAAAACGTTTAGAAATGTAAGTAAAGATTGGTCTATGGACATGTTCATCACATTCATTGATAATCATAACAAATTAGAAATATTTCAAATATCCAGTAATAGGGAATTTGGTAAAAAAAAAAAAAAAAATACATGGCACATAATAGAGTCATGTGCACTCATTAAAATCATGTGATTTTTTTGGCTGGACACAGTGGCTCACACCTGTAATCCCAGCACTTGGGAGGCGGAGGCAGGTGGATCACCTAAGGTCAGGAGTTTGAGACTAGCCTGGCCAACATGGTGAAACCCCGTTTCCACTAAAAAAAAAAAAATACAAAAAAAATTAGCCTGGCATGGTGGCACACGCCTGTAATCCCAGCTACTCGGGAGGCTGAAGCAGGAGAATCACTTGAACCCAGGAGGTGAAGGTTGCAGTGAGCCGAGATCATGCCACTGCACTCCAATCTGGGCAACAGAGCAAGACTCTGTCTCAAAAAAAAAAAAATTCCTGGTGTTTTGTTTTGTTTGTTCTGTTTTTGTTTTGAGACGGAGTCTCGCTCTGTCATCCAGGCTGGAGTGCAGTGGCACAATCTCGGCTTACTGCAAGTTCCACCTCCCAGTTTCACGCCATTCTCCTGCCTCAGCCTCCTGAGTAGCTGGGACTACAGGCGCCTGCCACCACGCCCTGCTAATTTTTTTTTGTATTTTTAGTAGAGACGGGGTTTCACCGTGTTAGCCAGGATGGTCTCGATCTCCTGACCTTGTGATCTGCCTGCCTCGGCCTCCCAAAGTGCTGTGATTACAGGCGTGAGCCACCGTGCCAAGCCAAAAACATCCTGTTTTTTAAAAAATTTATGACACAAGAAAAATGGTCATGAGATTTTTATATGAAAAAATCAACACATAAAACTACAAACATGGCATGATTCCCATTTTGTACTAATAATTTGCATATACATTGTTTACATAATTTTTTTGAATATCGATAGAAAATATACCAAAACATTAACAGTGACCAATCTGGAATTATTGGTGAACTCTATTTTCTTCTTATGCTACTCTGTATTTTCCAAATTGTCTCCCATGGCCATGCATTCTATCATTTTATATATATTATGTTTGTACGTGTGTACGCATGTGTATGTATCCTATCATCCTTAAATGTTCATCTCCTTTGATGAAATAATTCTAGGTCAAAAAACGCATCCTAAAAAAAATAAATAAGAGATACAGACAAAACTTTATGCTTCCCAAAACCTTATATTGTGTTATTATGAACAAATAATATTGTGCTGTGGATAAATTGCACAGACATTTTTACTAATAGAGGACTCTGGTTAAATAGAAAACCAGATGATAGAGAATAAGTGATTTCTTCATGAGACTACTGAATTTGCTGAAACATATAAAAATTACACACCTTAGAACTCACTGAGGCCCCAGAGATCATCTACTCCAGTGGTTTCAAATATTTTTTAACCACAGAATCCTTCCTTTAAATGAAATCTTAGGAGAATCTTCAGTACATAAAACTGACATCACAGTGGCTGCTCTGATTGAAGTGAGAGAGGCAGATCTGGGACTCCACCCATTAGATCTCTGCTCCAAGGAACCAAGGAGATCTGTGGAATACTGTTGAAAACTTTCAAAGACTGGGCAACATAGTGAGATCTCTTCTCTGCAAACAAAAAATGAAAATTAGCTTGGCACAATGGCTTGTGCCTGTAGTCTCAGCTGCCAGAGAGGCTGAGCCAGAAGGATCACCTGAGCCCAGAAGTTCAAGGCTGCAGTGCGCTGTGATTGCACCACTGCACTCCAGCCTGGGTGACAAAGTGAGATCCTGTCTCAAAAAGAAAAAAGAAAACCATTTGAGGCAAGATAATTTATTGATCCACTCAACTGAATTTATATTGTTTAATTTTTTTTTCTGTTTGACTATTTCAAGCAGATAGGCAGAAACTTGCTTCAGGAGGAGTTGATGTTGGAAAGCACAAAGCTGAAGTTGCCTGAAAAATGCTTTTCCCCCTGGACTTTGTAAAAAGCCCCTTGATGAGGTTGCACCAAGTGTAGCAAGAAGAAAGTACCAGGCCTTAAGCTGATAAGCAACTTCAGCAAAGTCTCAGGATACAAAATCAATGTGCAAAAATCACAAGCATTCTTGTACACCAGTAACAGACAAACAGAGAGCCAAATCATAAGTGAACTCCCATTCACAATTGCTTCAAAGAGAATAAAATACCTAGGACTCCAACTTACAAGGGATATGAAGGACCTCTTCAAGGAGAACTACAAACCACTGCTCAGCGAAAAGAGGACACAAACAAATGGAAGAACATTCCATGCTCATGGGGATAGGAAGAATAAATATCGTGAAAATGGCCATACTGCCCAAGGTAAATTATAGATTCAATGCCATTCCCATCAAGCTACCAATGACTTTCTTCACAGAATTGGAAAAAACTACTTTAAAGTTCATATGGAACCAAAAAAGAGCCCGCATTGTCAAGTCAATCCTAAGCCAAAAGAACAAAGCTGGAGGCATCACGCTACCTGACTTCAAACTATACTACAAGCCTACAGTAACCAAAACAGCATGGTACTGGTACCAAAACAGAGATATAGATCAATGGAACAGAACAGAGCCTTCAGAAATAATACCACACATCTACAACCATCTGATCTTTGACAAACCTGACAGAAACAAGAAATGGGGAAATAATTCCTTATTTAATAAATGGTGCTGGGAAAACTGGCTAGCCATGTGTAGAAAGCTGAAACCGGATCCCTTCCTTACACCTTATACAAAAATTAATTCAAGATGGATTAAAGACTTAAATGTTAGACCTAAAACCATAAAAACCCTAGAAGAAAACCTAGGCAATACCATTCAAGACATAGGCATGGGCAAAGGCTTCATGTGTAAAACACCAAAAGCAATGGCAACAAAAGCCAAAATTGACAAATGGGATCTAATTAAACTAAAGAGCTTCTGCACAGCTAAAGAAACTACCATCAGAGTGAACAGGCAATCTACAGAATGGGAGAAAATTTTTGCAATCTACTCATCTGACAAAGGGCTAATATCCAGAATCTACAATGAACTCAAACAAATTTACAAGAAAAAAAAAACCGACCCCATCAAAAAGTGGGCAAAGTATATGAACAGACACTTCTCGAAAGAAGACATTTATGCAGCCAACAGACACAAGAAAAAATGCTCATCATCACTGGCCATCAGAGAAATGCAAATCAAAACCACAATGAGATACCATCTCGCACCAGTTAGAATGGCAATCATTAAAAAGTCAGGAAACAACAGGTGCTGGAGAGGATGTGGAGAAATAGGAACACTTTTATACTGTTGGTGGGACTGTAAAATGGTTCAACCATTGTGGAAGACAGTGTGGCGATTCCTCAAGGATCTAGAACTAGAAATACCATTAGACCCAACCATCCCATTACTGGGTATATACCCAAAGGATTATAAATCATGCTGCTATAAAGACACATGCACACGTATGTTTATTGCATCACTATTCACAATAGCAAAGACTTGGAACCAACCCAAATGTCCAACAATGATAGACTGGATTAAGAAAATGTGGCACATATACACCATGGAATACTATGCAGCCATAAAAAAGGATGAGTTCGTGTCCTTTGCAGGGACATGGATGAAGCTGGAAACCATCATTCTCAGCAAACTATCGCAAGGACAAAAAACCAAACACCGCATGTTCTCACTCATAGGTGGGAATTGAACAGTGAAAACACTTGGACACAGGAAGGGGAACATCACACACCGGGGTCTGTCATGGGGTGGGGGTTGGGGGGAGGGATAGCATTAGGAGATACGCCTAATGTAAATGACGAGTTAATGGGTGCAGCACACCAATATGGCACATGTATACATATATAACAAACCTGCATGTTGTGCACATGTACCCTAGAACTTAAAGTATAATAATAAAAAAAAAGAAAACAAACAAACAAAAAAGAAGTTAAAGGGAAGCCAGATTATACTTACCTACTCTTTCATTCATTCATTCACTCATTCATTTATTCATCCATTCACCATTTGTTTTCTGTTCATTTACTTATTTAATAAAAAATGTGTTTTGCATATCCTAAAAAAAAAAAAGTTTCCTCCAGACTGGGGACAGGAGGGAAGTCAGTGGGTCCAGGGCCTCAGCCTCTGATTCCTGAGGTCGTTAAGCCTCAAGGAGGAAGGGCGATGAGGTGCACCCAGGGTGCTGGGGCACTAGGCAGGAGCGTCATCAAAGCCAACAAAGTCCCCTAGCTACACACATGGCACCTAAAGGGGACCATATGGGCTGGGACAGAGACCAGTGGTGTGAAAACCTGAGCAGCCCACCCGATGTGTGTGCATTCTGGGAAGCCACAAGCTTGGAACCACGGGGAATAAGGAATGCTCCAACAAGCAGAGCAAATTTCCCCCCAGCAAGCAAGGCAGGGGCTCAGGGGCTCAGCAGCATCAGAATCAGATCAAGTTCTCAGATCAATTAAAAGAAAATCAAGGAAATGGTGTTTTTGCACACATGAAGTTAAGTACGGCATGATGAGTCCAACCTCTTGTGTTACAGACGTGGGGGTTATTTCTTACCCAAGGTTCCATGCAGGGCAAGTCGGAGGGAGTGTCAGGCCTGGAACCATGCTCCCCTGATGCTCCACACTGGCTCAAGGAAGCTCATGAACAGGACAAGCATTTTTTAAAGGAAGGAAGGAGGAAAAATATGTGGTAGGCAGAACAAAGCACCCTCCCCCCACCGCCAGTAGCCATGTCCTGATCCTAAAACCTGTGACTCTTCTACCTTCTATAGCAAAAGAGACTTCGCAGCAATTCAATCAAGGGTTTTGCGATGGAGAGATTATCCTGGATTATCTGGGTGAGCCCTATGTAAACACAGTGGTCCTTATGTGAGAAAGAGGGTGGCAGGAGCATCAGAGAAGTCAAAGTGATGGGAAGGGGATCCTGAGCCAAGGAATGGAGGTAGCCTCTAGAAGCTGGGAATGGCAAGGAGAAAAATTCTCCCCTAGAACCTCCAGAATGGAACAAGTTCCTGCAGACACCTTGGCTGTTTTAGTCCAGTGAGAGTTCCCACCTACAGTACTGTAAGACAATAAATTTGTTTAGTTATAAGCCAGGAAGTTGGTGAGCGTTTGTTACAGCAGCAAGAGAAACCTGATACAGAAGGGAAGAGAAGGGGAGGGGAAGAAATATGGGAGGGGAGGAAAATGAGGAAGAGGAATAGTCAATCACCTCTCTCTGGGGTTCAGCAAATATGAGCCTCTCCAAGGTGAGGATTGCACATTCCTAGCCCCCAGCCTGGAGCCTGTGCTCAGTTCATAGTAACCATTGGGTCCTTTGAATCGAGTGTTAGCAAACATCTACACAGCCCTCCTGACTTTACCATATACTGTCCTAAGGGCTTTAATTACATTAACCAGTTTAGTCCTCACAACAATACTATGAGGTAGGTGCTATTATTATTCCTATGTTGCCGGTGAGGAAACTGAGGCAGTGAGATTCTCAGAAGCTTGTCTGAGATTTTGCAGTTATTAGGTGGCAAAGCCATGTTCAAACCCAAGCAATTTGTATAATGTATTGCTGTAACCTCTGAACCAAGAACAGAAGAAGGAAATGAGGGAAAGGGGGAAAGGACAAAGTATTTTTTCCTCCAGTGTTTCCCAGTGTCTGCCTGGTTTCAAGGGAAGTCTCCATACTGGTCCTGATTCATCCAACAGGGCATGGAGTACACAGGGTAGACCTCTTAATTCCAAGGTCTCTACCACCACACCAGCCAGCATAGGCTGCTTCGTCCAGCTGCTTGCCAGAGACCAAAGAGACCCCAGCATCCAGCACTAATGAGCATGTAGAAATGAATGGGTCACATATAAACCAATTACAGCTGGCAGCCAAGTTTGGGGAAATCACTTTCCCTGGAACCAATTGGGAGCCCGTTTTGGAGATAAAAGGGATAGCACGTTAGTCTCTGGTCAGAAGCAGCTTTCATGCATTTCACGGAGCAAAGGGAATCTGAAATGTTTTGAAATGGGAAAATGGGGTACAGCCAAATTGCTCAGTCAAGGCATTTAAAGGGTCTTTAGTGTGACAGTCCATGCAGGACCTAGTAGCTTATTCAAGCACACGGGTAGAAACTAACATCTGTCTGTCTAGAACGTATGTGTGTTATCTTTCCTGCATGCTTCCACATGTATTTAATACTTTCATCATTAAAACATCCCATCATGTACCTATGGAAGTGAGGGGTATGGAAAACCTGAACTACTAAAATTTCCAAATAAACTGAAATCTCATTATTTGCAATTAGTTAAATATCTCCTTTTCCAAGTAAGCCTTTTAACCAGCATCCATTTCAGGAAGTTAAATACTAGGATCTTGGGAAAAAGTCTGTCACAAATCACGGAATCAGAAAATCCTATACTTGGAAGAAGTTTAGAGGTCACTGAATCTAACCTAAAGGTATAGCTAGACTAAAGTGTTTTGGGGAAGCTTCAGGGAAAATCTGGTTCAGGACAAAATTTGGGGGTTTTTTGTCTAGGAACACAATGCCTGCAAGAAGTGGTCAAATGGCCTCCACTGGAATGCAACCAGTAACAGGGAGCTCACTACTAAAGATGATTTAATTCAATTCTGTGTTTCTCTAACCCAAAGAAGAAAAAAAAGGCCTGTCTTATATTAGACCCACTTCTACCACCTTGAATATCTCTAATGAAGTCCTGACTCCATGAAGACTGATTGGCTTTGAGAGGTTGTCTCCAAGATGTGCCTTTAGTGACTCAGCAGACTCAAGGACAGCAGTGCAGCCATCAAAACACACAGGCGGCAACGCACAGTGGTTTGTGCCTATAGTCCCTGCTGCTTGGGAGATTGAGACGGGGGATCACTGGAGCCCAGGAGTTCAAGGCTACAGTGAGCTATGATTGTGCCTCTTCTACACTCCAACCCGGGTAATAGAGCAAAACCCCATCTCTAAAAATTAAAATTTTAAAAAGAATACACAGAGACACATGCATACTCACTCACATAATCTAGTTACTGGCCTGACATCTCTGCAAACAACCAGCTCCATTGTAATATCAAAAGAAGAGAAAGAGATGAAAAAAAGGAGAAAGAATAGAAAGAGGAGGGAAGAGAAGAAAGTGGGAAAGGAAGAAAAAGAAGAGTGAGGAGGAAGAAGAAAAAAAGAAAAAGGAGAAGGAGAAGGAAAAAGAGGTGGAATGGTGAGATGTAGTTTCATGGAACTGTGTGGGCTCTAGCTGTTTTGCCCTCTAGAAGGGGAAAGTTGTGTCTCAAAGTGCTGTCACTGTCCATAGACATTCAACTGAATACCTTTCAATCTTTTTTAAAAAAATCATTGTAGAAGGGTAAATGTTGAAAATATTTACAATATACTGCCAAGTGAAAGGAGGCTACAAAATATGTAGGACATGATTTCATTTCTCATGATGTTATTCCTATCTATAGACAAAATAGTATTTATCAATAAAGGTAGATTCATCTATATGTGTAGTGGCTGTCTCTGGGTGTATAACACAAAGATCTGAGTTATACACACAGACACACAATCATGCCCCACACAAGGACATTTCAGTCAACAACAGACTGCATATGCAATGGTGATCCCCTAAGATTTTTTTTTTTTACTGTACCTTTTCTTTTATTTATTTTTTTTAATTATTGAGATGGAGTCTTGCTCTGTCACCCAGGCTGAAGTGCAGTGGCATGATCTCGGCTCACTGCCAAACTCTGCCACCTGGGTTCAAGCAATTCTCGTGCCTCAGCCTCCCGAGTAGCTGGGATTACAGGCGCTCGCCACCATGCTTGGCTAACTTTTTTGTATTTTTAGTACAGACGGGATTTCGCCATGCTGGCCAGGTTGTTCTCAGACTCCTGACCTCAGGTGATTCGCCCACCTCAGCCTCCCAAAGTGCTAGGATTACAGGTGTGAGCCACCGCACCTGGTCTACTGTACCTTTTCCATGCTTAGATACACAAATACTATTGTGTTACAATTGCCGACAGTATTCAGTACAATAACATGCTGTACAGTTTGTAGCCTAGGAGCAATAGACTATACCACATAGCCTAGGTATATAGTGGGCTCTACCATCTAGGTTTGTGTAAGTGCACTCTGTGATGTTCACACAATGATGAACTCACCTAATCACATTTCTCAGAATGTATCCCCATCATTAAGCAACATGGGACTGTATAAGCATGTGTGTGTTTAGTATTACTGTTCTTTGTTTTCCATATTTTCTGCATTGATTAGTATTACTTTTATAAACAACTTTTTTAAAACTAATTTAAAAATTGAGGCTGGGTACAGTAGCTCAGGCCTATAATCCCCAAAGAAAAAAAGAAAAAGGAGAAGGAGAAGGAAAAAGAGCTGGAATGGTGATGCAGTTTCATGGAACTGTGTGGGCTCCAGCTGTTTTGCCCTCTAGAAGGGGGCTTTGAGAGGCCTAGGCAGGAGGATCACTTGAAGCCAGGAGTTCAAAAACAGCCTGAGCAACACAGTGAGACCACAACTCCACACACACACACGCACACACACACACACACACACACACACACACAAATTTTAATTGGCCAGATTTAGTGGCATGCACCCATAGTTCTTGCTACTCAGGAGGCTGAGGTGGGAGGATTTCTTGAGCCCTCTTTTGAGGTTTCAATGAGCTATCATTGTACAACTGCACTCCAACTTGAGCGACAGAGGGAGACCCTATCTCTAAATAAAATACAATAACAATAAAAAAGTATACTTAATACCTATCCAGTCTTGAGATTAAAACATTCTACACTTCCAGTCTATTTTCTAAGATTCTTTTGAAATGGAAAAGTGGAGTATGGATGGTTGGTGTCATTTCTAGATAACTGTAGGATTTTAATGGTGCAAAAAGACCTCATGATGATCTAATTTCTCTCTTTCTTTAGAAACATTGGGAAATTGAGTCCCAAAAAGATAAAGAACTGGCTGGGCATGGTGGCTCATGCCTATAATCCCAGCACTTTGGGAGGCCTAAGCGGGCAGATCACCTGAGGTCGGGAGTTCAAGACCAGCCTGACCAACATGGAGAAACCCCATCTCTACTAAAAATACAAAATTATCACAGCGTGGTGGTGCATGCCTGTAATCCCAGCTACTCGGGAGGCTGAGTCAGGATAATTGCTTGAACTCGGGAGGCAGAGGTTGCAATGAGCCAAGATCATGCCATTGCACTCCAGCCTGGACAACAAGAGCAAAATTCCATCTCAAAAAAAAAAAAAAAAAGATAAATAACTTTAACCAAACTCACACAGCTACAGTGACTGGTGAGTCTCCCTGTGAAGGCTGTAAGTACACAAAGCCAAAATAATTCTTCCAAGAAATTTGTCAAAAATTGAAATAATTAGGTATGTAGAAGAGATCGTCAGAGCACATCTTCCAGCTAGAGATAATGCCTAAAGTTTACAAATCTGCATGCATCATTTGAACAAGAAAGCCAAAGCTGTGATGACCACATCTAAGCCCTCAGACCAGTGGTTGGTGTCATGGGATTTAGCCCCGGCCTGTTGAAAAGAGGCCATCTCACTGTAGCTAACATTGAAGCACCCCCCATGACATCCATGTTGTTAGACTGCTCAGCAGCCCCTTAGTGATGTAAGAACTTTTTGTAGGCAGCCAACAACAGGGATAGATCCAATATAATCACTACCCTCCAGAAACTACCCTGAAGTTTGCCCCTTGAGCATCAAAGGAGAGACATCAAAGACAGGGGCTCCTAGCATGCTGACTTCCCCTAAAAAGCTGCAAGCCAAATCTACAGCACATGTATACACAGGTGAAACTGATTCATTTCAAAAATTGCTTTCTGATCAACAGCAACAATAAAACCATAGTGATAGCATGCCAGAACTGGAAAGGATCTTGAAAACCATCCAGCCCAAGTCTCCTGTTTTACAGATAAGGAAATTAAGGGTCTTTCAGTTCTTAGAGTACATGTTCCTAACCCTGCTCAATCCTGTCCCCACAGAAGGATCAAAATCTGCTCTCTTCCTAGGCTATAAATGCCAAAAGACAGGGCCCATGTCTCTGTTGTTTGTCATAATGGATGGATGGATGGATGGATGGATGGATGGATGGATGGATGGATGGATGGGTGGGTGGATGAATGGGCTTTCCCAAGATTACAGAGCATGTTAACATCACAGCTCAGACTAGAATTCAAACCCTCTAATTACCATCCCGGTTATTCCCAATATTTCATAGTTTAACTTCATTTATGCTCAGGAACAGTGTGAAAAATATTGATAATTCCCTGTATCAACATATTGGCTTAAAAGAACTATTGGCTATTTCCAAAAATGAAATCTACCCTTAAAGGATAAAGATTTGCCACTCACTGGATTTTCAAAAGAAATATACATTTATGCATTCATTTGACAGATACTTTCTGAGCACCTATTATATGCCAAGTTCTGTGCTAGGCACTTGCTACATTTTGTTGGGATATTAGGATTATACATGATGTTATTTTCATTTTTCTGTTTTCTAAACATTCAGTAATATAATATATTGCACTTCTAAATGAAAAATCTTCGAAAGAGCACTTCGTATGCTCTGGAATTTTAAACTTTTTGGAATAATAACAATATCTTGGGAGTATTAAGACTTCCAAGTAACTACTTTGGAAGGTAAAATTTATATTGATCTGTAAATACTGGTTTGAGTATAGAAAATGGGTCTCATTATTTTAAACATATTTGCAATGTTTTGAGTGCAGAGTGCAGCAGCAAAACCCATTTCTTGCACTTGAAACCAGCCCTTCCTCACTCCACAGAAAGTGCCTCTATCACAAGGTGCCTGCTTGAAGCCAGCACAGAAGTGTTAGTGAGCATCACCAGGAACAGCAACTGTTGCCACTGGGGGGCCCCAAGCCATGGACAGAGTCATTCTTGTTCACAGAGATTCTGATAGCAGGAAAGAGCGTTCTTCAGTCAATGACTTGAGTAATAGATGAATAAATGTATAAATGAACAAGTGAATTTCAAGAAAATCAAAAGTGATTGAAGGATGCCAGACAGGTCTCCTAACCCAATGAACTCCCCTAATCTCCTAAAAAATAATCTCTCCTTGAAACTCTTCCTTGGCACCTGACATTCCACCATTATAGCCTCGTTACTTTAGGGATTAGCAAACTACAGCCCACGGGCCAAATTCATCCCAATTTCTGCTTTGCAAATAAAGTTTTATCAAAACATAGCCACACCATTTATTTATTGTTTATGTCTATGGCTGTTTTCATGTTAAAAAGCAGAGTTGAGTACTCATGCCAGAGATCCTGTGGCCTACAAAGCTGAAAATATTTTCAGCTTTACCAAAAAAGTTTGCCAATCCCCTGCTTTATGTTTTTCCTTTTTTTTCCAGCTCCATTGAGGTATAATTGACAAATAAAAATTGTCTGTATTTAAAGTGTTTAGTGTAGAGTTTTGATATATGTATACTTTTTATATTGATTAGCACAATCAAACTAATTACCATATTTATCACCTCACATAGTTATCGTGTGTGTGTGTATGTGTGTGTATGGAATACTTAAGATCTACCCTCTTTGCAAATTTTGAGTATACAATACATTATTATACTGTGAGCTTTTGCACAGCAAAAGGAACAGTCAGCAGAGTAAACAGACAACCCACAGAGTGGGAGAAAATCCTCACAATCTATACATCTGACAGACTAATATCCAAAATCTACAATGAACTCAAAGAAATCAGTGAGAAAAAAACAAGCAATCCCATCAAAAAGTGGGCTAAAGACATGAATAGACAATTCTCAAAAGAAGATATTCAAATTGCCAACAAACATGAAAAAATGCTCAACATCACTAATGATCGGGGAAATGCAAATCAAAACTACAATGTAATACCACCTTACTCCTGCAAGAATGACTGTAATCAAAAAATCAAAAAACAGTAGACATTGGCGTGGATGTTGTGATCAGGGAACACTTCTACACTGCTGGTGGGAATGTAAACTGGAAGAGCCACTATGAAAAACAGTGTGGAGATTCCTTAAAGGACTAGAAGTATAACTACCATTTGATCCAGGAATCCCACCATTGGGTATCTACCCAGAGGAAAAGAAGTCATTATATGGAAAAGATATTGCACACACATGTTTATAGCAGCACAATTCACCATTGCAAAATTGTGGAACCAACCCAAATGCCCATCAATCAACGAGTGAATAAAGAAACTGTGGTATATTTATACGATGGAATACTACTCAACCATAAAAAAGAATGAATTAATGCATTCACAGCAACCTGGATGAGATTGGAGACTATTATTCAAAGTGAGGTAACTTAGGAATGGAAAACCAAACATCGTATGTTCTCATTGATATGTGAGAGCTAAGCTCTGAGGACACAAAGGCATAAGAATGATACAATGGAAATGGACTTTGAGGACTTGGGGGAAGAGTGAGAGGGGGACAAGGGATAAAAGGCTACAAATATGGTGCAGTGTATACTGCTTGGGTGATATGTGCACGAAAATCTCACAAATCACCACTAAAGAATGTACTCATGTAACCCAACACCACCTGTACCTCAATAACTTGTGGAAAAATTATATATACATAAAAGTGGGGTATTGAACTCCCCTACTATTATTGTGTTGCTACTTCTCCCTTCAGATTAATTAATATTTGCTTTCTATATGTAGGAGCTCCAGTGTTGGGTGCATGTATATTTACAATTGTTACATCCTCTTAATGCATTGACTGCTTTACAGTTATATATAAGTCATTATATAAAGACTTTTGTTGTCTCCTTTTACAGTTTTTGGCTTAGTCATTTTGTCTGACATGAGTATAGCTATCCCTACTCCCTTTTGGTTTCCAATTGCATGGAGTATCTTTTTCCATTCCTTCACTTTCAGTCTATATGTGTCCTTGAAGCTCAAATGAGTCTCTTGTAGGCAGCATATTCGGTCTTGTTGCTTTAATCCCCTCAGATACTCTATGTCTTTTTATTGGAGAATTTAATTCATTTACATTCAAGGTAATTATTGAGAGGTGAGGACTTACTATTACCATTTGTTCATTGTTTTCTGGCTGTCTTGTTGATTCTTTGCTCCTTTCTTCCTCTCTTGCTATCTTCCTTTGTGATTTGATGATTTTCCATAGTGAGATGTTTTGATTCCTTTCTCTTTATCTTTCATGTATCTACTATAGGTTTTTGCTTTGTGGTTACTGTGAAGCTTACATTAAACAACTATAGTTATAACAGTCTATTGTAAGCTGATAACAACTTAACTTTGATTGCATACAAAAACTCTACACCTTTACCCCCCACACACATTTAATGTTTATAATGTCACAATTTACATCTTATTATATCATGTATCCATTAAAAAGTCTTGGAGCTGTAGTTATTTTTAATAGCTTTGTCTTTTTAACCTTTATACTGGAGTTAAGTATTCTGAATTTGAATGTATTAAGTATTCTGAATTTGACTGTACACTTATTTTTAATGGTGAGTTTCATACTTTTATGTTTTCATGTTACTAATTAGCATCCATTCATCTCAGCTTGAAGAACTCCCTTCAGCATTTCTTGTAGGCAGGTATAGTAGTGATGAATTCCCTCAGCTTTTGTTTGTCTGGGAAACTCTTTAGCTCTCCTTCATTTCTGAAAGACAGCTCTGCCAGCTAAAGTATTTTGGTTGGCAGTTTTTCCTTTCAGCACTTTAAATATATCATTCCATTACCTCCTGGGCTACAAAGTTTCTGCTGAGAAACCCACTGACAGCTTTCTATGGCTGTCATATAAGGAGTCTCCTTATATGCACCTCTTTCCTCTTACTGCTTTCAAACTTCTCTGTCTTTGATTCTTCCCTGATATTAAGTGATTATTTTAAATGCATGCCACGTTGTACAGAAATCAACACTCTCTCCCATAATTCTGTGCATCTGGGACTATAGAAATATCACTGTCCCTGTCCCACATATTCAAATTACATTCTCAGGTCACAATAATAAGTCTTCCCAAAGGGGACCTTCCAGAAAAGCAAGCTATTTCCTCAGCTCATATTTTCCTGTAATGTAGCATGCACCAACAATCTATGCAAGAAGTGTACATTGGGCAATAAGGAAAGGATCCACCAGCAAGCCTTCGGCTGTTGACAGACATAAAATTAGGGACAAACACAAGAGATTAGCTCAACATACTGGCAAAAGTTTCTGTAACAACTTGGGAATCATTCTTTATTTCATTCATGGTGGAAACCCCACTGTTAAGTATATAGATATTGATGAGGTAAGCCAGTGAGTTACAGAGCCACAAGGAAATGATGTCGCCTTGGAGCTGAGGCACAAGACCCATGAGAAATCCTAGGATGCCCTCTCCCTGATAGATGGTTGCTATGGAGTCACAAAGTCTGCAGTACTTGGGTTCCCTGCCAATGAATTGTACCTCGGTGATAATATGGAAGGGATTTGTGATGAGGACAGCAGCAAAATGAGTGATTATCTCTCAAATTGCCTTATTGATAACTTGGTCAAAGGAAGATGAGACTTCTTTCTGTACATTACCAGGTCCTAACTCCTCAATCTTGTCACATTCCTGATAATGCTGTAAAACTTTACTGTGAATCATATTTTCAAGGACTCCTGAACACAGCCTTGGAGTTCATGCTTACCATGTGCTAAGGCCTCCCATTGATGGTCATAATGTGCTAAGCACAACTAAAGACACCAGGAAGCTGACATACCACCCAAAAACATGTTGTCTCATTGTTGGAAAACCAGGCTCATCTCCCACTTGGATGAGTGCTTTCACATATATAAGCAACTGAGACTGGATGGTGAGATCAGAGCCCGGAAGCACCTGACTGGCTACATCTGCCATAATGTCACCTTAAAATGGGTCTCTTTGATTTTTAACAGTTTGACTATATAATGAATCTTGGTGAAGTCTTCTTTGGACTGAACCTGTTTGGAAATCTTTCAGCTTCATGTATCTGAATGTCTATATCTCTCCCCAGATATGGGGAGTTTTCAGCCATTATTTATTCATTGTTATTGTTGTTGTTTTGAGACAGGGTCAGGGTCTTGCTCTGTTGCCCAGGCTGGAGTGCAGCGGTGTGATCATGGCTCACTGCAGCCTGAACCTCCCAGGCTCAATTGGTCCTCCCAACCTCAGCCTCCTGAGTAGCTGGGACTACAGACATGCACCAACATGCCTGACCAATTTATTATTTTTATTTTTTTAGAGATGAGATCTTGCTATGTTGCCCAGGCTGGTCTCAAATTCCTGGGCTCAAGCAATCCTCCCAACTTGGCCTCCCAAAGTCCCAGGATTACAGGCATGACACCAGGACCTGGTCCCATTACTTATTTAAATAAACTTTCTGCCTCTTTCTCAATCTCTTCCTCTTGATTTTATAATGTGAATGTTAGCTCCCTTGATGGTGTCCCATAAATCTCATAGACTTTTTGATTCATTTTCATTCTTTTTTCTTTTTCCTCCCCTGACGATATTTTCAAACGATCTGCCTTTGAGTGCACAGATTCTTTCCTCTGCTTGATCAAGTTTCCTGTTGATGTTGTTTCTTTTTTATGATTTCTACCTCTTCCTTAAACTGTCATTTTGTTAATTTACTGTTTTTCTGATTTTGTTGACCTGTCTGTGTTCTCTTGTAGCATACTGAGCTTCCTTAAAACAATTATTTTTAATTCCCTGTCAAGCAATTTGTGTATCTCTCTTTTTGGGGGGTTAGTTACTGAAAAAGTATTGTGTTCATTTGGTGGTGACATGTTGCCTTCATTTTTTGTGTGTTTCTTGTTGCTTTGCATTGATATCTAAACATTTAATGGGGCTATCACCTCCTCCAGACTTTGTTGACTGGTTTCAGTAGAAGACCTTCACTTATGGGTGAGTATAAGGGCTCTAGCTGAGTGGGGTGCAGCAGTACTGTGTCTGGTAAAGGCACAGCAACATAGTCTGTGGACCTCTGTCAGCTAAGGTCAGTGTTGGTGAAGATTGCAGGACTCCTCGGCAGCCAGAGCCATGGGTGTCCACAACAGCAACAAGAGATTTTGGGGTCTTCAGTGCTGAATGCTTCAGGGTCCTCATGATCTTTTTTTTTCCCACAGAAGAAGTCATGGTCAAAGGGATCTCTATTGGCACTAGCTCATAAGTGTGCTCACAGTGGAGGTGGCACCAATTTTTGATGCACAATCCTGTGTGGCTGATACTGATAGCCACCACCGTGCATCTTTGCTTCCACCCAGCTCCAGATATCTCAGCTATGCCCATCTCCTCAGTGATCATTTCCCTGCAGTTATTCTCTGGTTTTTGCTCCACTGTATTGCTGTAAGCTTGTAATTAGACTCTTGAGCCATCCCAGGGATATTTTCATTAACGGATGACTGTCTAAGTATTTTTTTTTTTAGGGCATGGTGGTGTATTCCTGCAGTCCCAGCTACTCAGAAGGATGAAGCAGGAGGATCGCTTGAGCCCAGGAGTTGGAGGCTGCAGTGGGCTATGATTGTGCCACTGCACTGCAGCTTAGGTGACAGAGTGAGACCCTGTCTCCTAAATAAATAAATAAAGTAGAATATATATAATTAGGAGGGAAACAGTGGGTATAAATGGACATAAAGACTGGAATGATAGACATTGGATACTACAAAATGTTGGAGGGTGGGAGTGGGGTGAGGGTTGAAAAATTACCTGTGGTTACAATGTTTACTATTCAGGTGATAGGTAGGTACACTTAACGCCCAGATTTCACCACTACATGACATAAGCATGTAAGAAAACTGCACTTGTATCCCTTAATTTTTTAAATTTTTTACTGTAAAGAAAAAACTTGAGGATGCCACAGGCCAGGGAGAACATCGCAGGGAAGAAAACGAGCACAGAAAGGAAAAACTGGGAGCGTGGTACATATACTTCATCTACTTTGCAGACCTGCTTGACCTTTGATTAAAATGGAGATGAGACTAACGACTAAGAACCGTCAAGTTTTGAATAGTGAGAGTGTCAGACTTCAAAATCAAACCCAAACAGCTTTCTTTTCAATTAAAAGAAAACTCAATATTCTAATTTTTCTTCCACCTAACAGGTCCTCTGCTTGCGCACACATCACTTCGCTTTCCTTTCTCTGTGGTCTGAAGAGTTAGAGAAATTGTTTTAGATTCCATCCATCCCAAGTTATGCACTTCTGATTTTTTTTTCTCAACTGACCTCATTTAGCAGGGTGGAAGGCAGCTTTTCCTAGTCTATTAAGACTTCAATAAAATCATCCATTTCTAGTTAACTGGAATAGTATTCACATTTAGACCTGCATATTAATTGGCTGATAACGAGATGATAAAGCTGCTTTTCTCTGCAGGTGTACCAATCAATTTCAATGAAACAGAAAAAATGAGTTCTTTTCTTGTTGCATCTGAAATTAAAAAGTGATTTATATTTTCTAATAAAGTGGTTTTCATTGATCTCCTTCTGAAAATGTATGGTTTCATTTGCACCCTTTTAAATTATAATAGTTTCCGTTTGTAAAAGAATGATTTTCCAATATCATTTCTGGCTTCCAATTGATGATTAACTTTAATATGGATTTGAAGGGAAATGTTTGGAGGGAGGTGTAGGGTATTAAGAACCTCCATCTCCCCCAGACCAAAAAAGCCTGCTACTTTTAATGAACTTAATATCCTCAAACTACAGAATTATTTTCCTAAATACAGTGTTTCGCCAAAGAAAGTTATGTTTTTCCCCCAAGAAATCTATTTCTCTATTTCACAAGTTTCCTTTCGTCATAGAATTTTATGCCTGTGCCAATTGTTTTCCATTTTTGTTGTGTCAGCCTGGCTGCAGGGCAAATGTGGAAAGGAGAGTTTTGTTTCTTTCTTCCCCCGTCACCAACAGCAAATTCTTACTTGGAGATGCTCAAAGAATCCTGTTGTTATCAGCTGAATTCTGACAGTGTGAAAACTGGCAGAGCAGTTACATTTCACTTTAATTTAATATTATGGTCTTCTAAGCCATAATAATTAAGCAGCCATGAAAGGAAGCTATATTTGGAACATGTGATGGAAAATTGCAGAGTCCAGGGCTGCTGAGGGATCTGGGTCATCTCATTTCTCGGCCACCTAGAGGCATCTGGATTCACAGTCAGGCTGCAAACAGGTGTTGAGTGGAGTTAAGAGACGATGCGGGCATTAGACCTAATTTAAAACAGATACCAGAGGCTTTGTCTGTTTAACCACATAGGAGAAGAATGTTGGCTGATAAATGAAATCATGGATGGATGGATGGATGGATGGATGGATGGATGGAGATGGATGGATGAATGAATGAACAAATGAATGGATGGATGGATGAATTTATGGAAAGGCAATTTGCAGCTCTGATGTAAAGCGCACCTTTGTGATATGATCTGAGTGCCCCCTACACTCAAAAATATTTCCCTCCCTCTAAGTCTCACAGTCATGAATATTTCCTAGTAGTCCCAGGTGTTTTTGCCTGGATTAAATATTCCCTTCTTATAAATTATTTTTTAATGTACTTTGAAGAGGCAAGACTTGGATGGGCAACATTTCAGTGGACTTGTTCATCACCTTCCTCCCCATGTATCAAGATATTGTGGACTACAAAATGACAAGGGGCTTGAAAGCAGAGCCAGAAACATGGCAAAAGGTTAGAAAAAGTGCTGTGGGGGTGGCTAGTGATGAAGAAAACCCCCTCAGCCCTGCAGAGCATCCTGAGGTTTTTTTAAATTTTGTTATTTCTAATTTTTGTGGGTACATAATAGGTGTATATATTTACAAGGTACATAAGATATTGTGATACAGGCATTTAATGCATAATAATCACATCATGGTAAATTGGGTGTCCCCTCAAGCATTTATCCCTTGCGTTACAAACAATCCAATTATACGCTTTTAGTTATTTTTAAATGTACAATTAAATTATCACTGACTATAATATTTTATAATTTATTATTGACTATAATAGTCACCCTGTTGTGCTATCAAATGCTAGATCTTACTCTAACTGTTTTTTGCATCCATTAACCATCCCCACTTCCCCACTACCACCCCTCTGGAAACCTTCTCAGCCTCTGGTAACCATACTTCTACTCTCTATCTCCATGAGTTTAATTGTTTTAATTTTTAGCTTCCACAAATAAGTGAGAACATGCAAAGTTTGTCTTTCTGTGCTTGGCTTATTTCACTTAACATAAGGACCTCCAATTTCATCCATGTTGTTACAAATGACAGGCTCTCATTCCTTTCATGGCTGCATAGTACTCCATTGTGTATATGTACCACATTTTCTTTATCCATTCATCTGTTCATGGGCATTTAGGTTGTTTCCAACTCTTAGCTCTTGTGAACAGTGCTGGAACGAACATGGGAGTACAGATACCTCTTCAATATATTGATTTTCTTTCTTTTGGGAATATGCCCAGCAGTGGGATTGCTGGATTGTATGTTGGCTCTATTTGTTTTTTTTGAGGAAACTCCAAACTGTTTTCCATAGTGGTTGTAATAATTTACATTTCCACCAACAGTGTACGAGGTCAGAGGGCCCAGTTTTTAGTTACAGTCCCAGATATAGTACTTTTCAGATCACTAGACCAGCTCATTTTCGCTCCTCTAAACTTACAAAAAATAATTTTCAAGACCAGCCAGTGCTGAGGATTGATGATTTCCCTCTCAGCTTGAAAACTAAAATGAGGGGCTGGGCATGGTGATGCACACCTGTAATCCCAGCATTTCGGGAGGCCAATGCAGGAAGATCACTTGAGGCCAGGAGCTCAAGACCAGACTTGGCAACATGGTGAAACCCTGTCTCTACTAAAAAACATCAAAAATTAGCTAGGCATGGTGGTGCATGCCTGTAGTCCTAGCTACTCAGGAGGCTGAGGCAGGAGGATCACTTAAGCCTTGGAAGTCAAAGCTGCAGTGAGCTGAAATCACATCACTGCACTCCAAAGTGGGCAACAGAGCAAGACCCTGTCTCAAAAAAAAGAAAAATCATGACAAAAATTAAAAATAAATGTAAAATTAAAACAATAGGTGCTCAAAAAATTGAGCACCTATTGTGTGCCATGCACTTTCCACACATTATCTAAGTTAGTCTTCAACATAATCCCACTTCTATGCCCATTTTATAGTGGAGGACACTTTGACTTGAGGGAGACAATTTGTTTTCCCAGGGATACACAGAAAGTAAGGGACAGAGCCAGGATTCGGACCCAAATATACATGACTCTTCAAAGTCCACGCTACAAACTCCACTCCACCTCCTACTCTGTGCTACTATTAAAAATAAACACTTTTGGGAAATTCCACAAGGCAAATAAGGCAATTTTTCAGAAAATAAATTGCAAGGGAAAGGGAGGAACTTTTAAGTTAAAGAGACTTAAAAGACCTATCAATCAAATGCAATATATGTACTTTGCTTGAATTCTGATTCAAAGAGGTGAATTTGCTTTTTTAAAAGAAAAAGGAGAGATGACTCAATCAGAGAAATTTAATCAGACATTTGATGATGTTAAGTAATTATTGCTAATATTTTTGGTTGATAGTAATACTCTTCTTGTTTTCTTAAACAGAAGAGTCATATTGAAGCTTTCGTGATTGAAGTAACATGATATCTAAGATTGGCTTCAGAAGGATCCAGTGAAGGCTGGGCATGGTGGCTCACACCTGTAATCCTAACACTTTGTGAGCCAAGGTGAGAGGATTGCTTGAGGCCAGGAGTTTTGAAACCACCTTGGACAACATAGTGAGACTCTGTCGCCACAAAAAAAAAAAAAAAAGCGTGTGTGTATGTGTGCACGCATGCGTGTGTGTATGTGTAAAGAATCCAGTAAGGGCCAGGCGCAGTGGCGGCTCACACTTGTAACCCCAGCACTTTGGGAGGCCGAGGCAAGCGGATCACTTGAGGTCAGGAGTTCGAGACCAGCCTGGCCAACATGGCGAAACCCCGTCTCCACTAAACATACCAAAAAATTAGCCAGGCATGGTGCTGCGTGCCTGTAATCCCAGCTACTCAGGAGGCTGAGACAGGAGAATCTCTTGAACCCATGAGGCAGAGGTTGCAGTGAGCCAAGATCGTGCCACTGCACTCCAGCCTGGGCAACAAGAGCGAAACTCCATCTTAAAAAAAAAAAGAATTCAGTAGGTTAAGTGATGCATGACTGAAAATAAATACATAAAAATAAAGAACACAGAATCCAGTGGGGAGGGGAGGCATGGATATAACATGATTGGATTGTTTATATAATTGCTAAAGCTGGGTATTGAATACTAGGAGGTTCATTTACTAGTCTCAACTTTTATATAAATTTGAAAGTTCCTAAAATAGAAAATATATTTTAAAAGCAAAACAAAAAAAGTGAATGGAAAACTGACACTATTTTTTTTTTTTGAGACAGTCTCACTCTGTCACCCAGGCTGGAGTGCAGTGGTGTAATCTTGACTCACTGCAGTCTTGAACTCCCAGGCTCAAGAGATCCTCCTGCCATAGCCCCCTGAATAGCTGCTACCACAGGCACACACCACCATGCCCGGCTAATTTTTTTAGTTTTTTGTAGAAACAGGGTCTCACTATGTTGTCAAGGCTAGTCTTGAACTCTCGGCCTCAAGAGGTCCTCCTGCCTCAGCTTCCCAAAGTGCTAGGATTACAGGTCTGAGCCTCTGTGCCCAGCCACATGACTCCATTTTAAAAAGCAATTGATGCATGCACAACTCTAAATGCACTAAAAACCACTGAACACTTTAAAAGAATGAACATTATAGTATGTGAATTACATCTCAGTCAAGTTTTTTAAATAATCTAAACAAAAGACACTAAAGTATATTAAAATACAGCCAAGTCCGGGCACAGTGGCTCATGCCTGTAATCCCAACACTTTGGGAGGCCGAGGTGGGCAGATCACAAGGTCAGGAGATCAAGACCATCCTGGCTAACACAGTGAAACCCCGTCTGTACTAAAAATACAAAAACTTAGCCGGGCCTGGTGGCATGTGCCTGTAGTCCCAGCTACTCAGGAGGCTGAGGCAGGAAAATCACACGAACCCAGGAGGCAGAGGTTGCAGTGAGCCAAGATCCCGCCACTGCACTTCCACCTGGGTGACAGAGCAAGACTCCACCTCAAAAAAAACAAACAAACAAACAAAAAAATACAGCCAATACATCATTTCCTAATTTTTCATGTAATACCTGTTAGTTGATCACTTTTAATAAGTGAACACACGCATAGTAGGGGGAAAAAATAAAGAAACCAACGCTGTCCTTTTCTGTCCTTTCTTATAAGTTCTGGACTGTTATTCAAACTCTTTGAAAAAAAAAAAAGTGTAAACTATGAAAACAAATGAAATTATTAAAAGCACATTCTCTTCTCATTCTTCTTCAAAAAATGGAGACTTGCTGTGCAGCCTTTAAGATTTTGCAAAGAAATAAAGGAGGAAGGAGGAGACATTGTTCTATGTCTGCAGCCTCAGCCCCTGGAAGAGCTGCACAGATGCCCAGGCTTGAGAGAAGCACTCAGCCTGCTCTGAGGAGGGAATCAGCCTCTGTTCACTTCAGCCTCCCTTCAGGTTCCCATCTCCTGCCCAGAGACAATTGTGGCCAGAGTGCTCACACCTCCTGCCACTGCACCACACACATGCTAATTAAAGCCCTTAGACGGTCTTTATTGCTTTAAAGATAAAGATCAACAACAGAACTGTGGCCTAAAAATCCCATCATGGTGTGAGCTCTGGCTAGCTTTCCAGCCTCATCTCACACCCATGGCTGTCTCTGAGGTCCAGGAATACTGACTCTCTCCTCCAAGTAGTTAAAGGTCCTTCTACCACAGGGCCTTTGCATGTGCTGACCCCTCAGCCTGGCTAATATCTACTTATTCTTGACATCTTGAGATCTCGGATCACACAAAGTTTTCCTCAGATGTATCTGGATGTGTCAAAGTCAAACTCTCTGTTATTTATTCTGAAACATTTGTCACAGTTGGAGTTTTACATTTACTTATTCCATTATTTCATTAATGTCCCAACTAGACTATACGACCCATGAAGAATGAGACATGTCTCCTTTTGCTGACCACTGGCTCCCCCAGACTCTCCCCCACCCCACAAAGCCTTGTATATGGTAGGCACACAACATTTGTCAAATGACAAATAAGGAGTTTATGAAACAAGAATGAATCAATGAAACCTCCAAATCCACTGACCCCTGCAATCACTGCTTCAGAACTTACACAGGCTCTGTCAAAGTGTCTCCTCTTGCAAATTTGAGAGGTTTTTTTTTTTCTCAAAAAAACTTTGAGACGGAGTCTTGCTCTGTCTCCCAGGCTGGAGTACAGTGGCACAATCTCAGCTCACTGCAACCTCCATCTCCTGGGTTCAAAAGATTCTCGGGCCTCAGCCTCCCAAGTAGCTGGGATTACAGGCACATACCACCACACCCAACTAATTTTTGTATTTTTAGTAGAGATGGGATTTCACCATGTTGGCCAGGCTGGTCTCAAACTTCTGGCCTCAAGTGATCCATCTGTTTCAGCCTCCCAAAGTGCCAGGATTACAGGCCTCAGCCATCATGCCCAGCCTCAAAGATACCATTTTTTTTAATCCACCTCCAAAACAACCCACTTAATAATAACTTATCAGTGGTCTCCCTGGCACAAATCCATTTCATAGAAATAATTTTTAGTACTTTAATGATGCCTTTCTGCCCTACAGCATATGACAATAAGGAATAATTAGCTCCACAACTATAATATGAAAAGGGTGGAATGCATTTAAATTGGAATTGATTTTTGTTTAATCTGTATTTTCATGGGCAGAAATCAGGTTTCTCTCAGCCACCTCATTACAAAGGACAAGTTGATGTTGCTTTGGGGATGTTGGAAGTCCTCCCTTCCAATAGAGGAAGGGCCAGAACTCACCTTCATCCTAGTTTGACTTTTCTTAGAGTTATTGTTTCCTGCACAGGTATGCCCTGAACTTGGACCTCAGCCTACCACTGATATAATAAATGTCCGATCTCAGGTGTGTACACCCCTTCTATCATTTATATGACTTATGTCCTGCTCATGACTTCAGTCCTGCCCAGGGTCATTGGCCTCAGGAAGTAAATCTTTTTCTGTAGGTTCCTGAGTATGGGCCCCTGACACAACTGAGTGCTTTAATACAGGCTAGTTTCTGCCAAGAATAATGACCAGAGAATAGATGGATGCGCAGGAGTCATGGCCTCAGCTCTGCAAATTGTTTCTCTTTGTCCATCCTAGATAATAAAAATACCACCTTGGCCAGGCACGGTGGCTCACGCCTGTAATCCCAGCACTTTGGGAGGCCTAGTGGGTGGATGACCTGGGATCAGGAGTTGGAGACCAGCCTGACCGACATGGTAAAACTCCGTCTCTACTAAAATAAATAAATAAATAAATAAATAAATAAATAAATAAATAAAAAATTAGCCGGGCATAGTGGTAGGCACCTGTAATCCCAGCTACTCGGGAGGCTGAGGCAGGAGAATTGCTTGAACCCAGAAGGCGGAGGTTGCAATGAGTCAAGATTGCACCACTGCACTCCAGCCTGGACAACAAAAGCAAAACTCCATCTCAAATAAATAAATAAATAAATAAGATAAAAATAAAAGTACCATAATGTACAGAGCTCCTTAACTCAGCATGTACAATGAAATCACTTATAGAACATTTTGAATGCCACCAACCCTCAAATCAGATTTTCCAGAAATAGGGACTAGGGCATCTATATGTTTTTCTGCTTTGTTTTGTTTTGTTTTTTTGAGACAGAGTCTGGCTCTGTCACCCAGGCTGCAGTGCAGTGGGGCAATCTTGGCTCAATGCAACCTCCACCACCCGGGTTCAAGTGATTCTCCTGCCTCAGCCTCCTGAGTAGCTGGGACTACAGGCGCACACCACCATGTCTGGCTAATTTTTGTATTTTCAGTAGAGATGGGGTTTCACCATGTTGGTCAGGCTGGTCTTGAAGTCCTGACCTCAAGTGATCCACCTGCCTTGGCCTCTCAAAGTGCTAGGATTACAGGCATGAGCCACTGCACCCAGCTGGCATCTATATTTTTAAAACACCACAGTGGTGCCGATATGTAAGTAAGATCGAGAGCCACTGACACAACAGCCCTCTACAACTTGCAAAAAGCTTTCACCCTATTCCCAAAGGGTTAAGTACTAATTGCCCCATTGCGCAGATATGAAAACAGAGGTTCAGAGGTTAGTGACTTGCCCAAGGACAAACAGTTTGCAAGTGAACTTATCTAGAATCAAACAGGAATGTCGGCCTCAAAGTCCTTTAATCCAGAATGAATGGAGGCTGATGTATACTCCGTGGCCAAAAAGAATGATGATTAAAAGCAGTTTAGCCTGTGGTTCCTTAACTGGGTTGCTAATGAGCTGGTGGTGCTTTTAATTTATTTTCAAGTATTTTGAAGAATAATCCAGAACCTGTCATCCTTCTGAGGTGGTTCCTTTCACAAAGTTGTGGTTAGTGTTGTGTGTGGCCTTGCTACCTTGTCCACACTGCTGATTATAGCAGGCAGGATATAGGACAGACCAATGACCTTTAAAAAGGCCACTTACAACCAGATAGATGGTGGGTGGTTTCTTGATCACTCCCTCATCACTACGAATCAGCAGCTCACGATAAACCTTTAGTAAGGCCTCTAGGGGTGGCAACTGGGGAAGGGCAGCAGAAGTGAAGGGGCAGTAGCTGGAAGTCAGAAACAGAGGGAGAGCCATTGGAAAGAAGCACACAGCAGGAGTCATACGTCCAACCGCATCACCAGATTAGGGATAGCGGAAGCTCACCGTAAGGGGTGACAAGGTTGTCAGGTCACTATTGCTGCTTTGAATCCCAAACTCATTTTAGAGACATAGCTTGTGCAATTTTTTGGACAACTTTCCGTCTCCTTCACATCCCTAGGTATTCCTAAAATTAACTTCCCATATCATCCTCCTTGCTCCTGAAAAGTCCAGTTAAGGAGTGGCCATAACAAGGCATCCCCCCTCTTGCTGAACACCTCAAGGGAGAATTCTTTGGCCTCTGTTCAAAGAAAGGTATCTGGGTGGCTTTGGAGCTTCCCAGAATTCTCTGTACCTCTGAGAAACCACAGGGCATCCACCATTGTCCAGGACCACTGCCTGGTGGAGCGGCTCTGCATTCCTTTGCCTATGTTGCCCTCTAGTGCTCACTCCCTATAGTTATCTTTACATACTATTTCCCTTTTGATGCTAAGTTTAGGAATCCAAAATCTGGAACAAAAACTTCTTATAAGTTTATCCAGCCTGGGCGCGGTGGCCCACGCCTGAAATCCCAGCACTTTGGGAAGCTGAGGCGGGTGGATCACCTGAGGTCAGGAGTTCGAGACCAGCCTGGCCAACATGGCAAAACCCCGTCTCTACTAAAAATAAAAAAAATAGCTGGGTGTGGTGATGTGTGCCTATAATCCCAGCTACTCAGTAGTCTGAGGCAGGAGAATCACTTCAACCTGGCAGGCAAAGGTTGCAGTGAGCCGAGATGCGCCACTGCGCTCCAGCATGTGTAAAAAAGCAAAATTCCATCTCAGGAAAAAAAAAAAAAAGGAGTATCCATTACTTCATGGAAATTCATCTAGCAGTACCTATATGATATATTCGCTTTTCTGTATGTATCTTAAAAGCATTTTAAAATCTCTCCATGCATTCATCTGTCAAATATTTACTAAGTGAGTGCCTACCATCGGACAGAAAGCCTCCCTTTTAGGTAATAGAAAATACAGTTCCTGCCCTCATGGAGACCTAGCAGGGGAGACTGACAGTAGATCTCATAAACAGATGTGAAATGACAATTGTGACCATGCCGCAAAGGAGAGGTTCATGGGACGCCTGTTAGGGAGATCCGGGGGGGCTTCTCTGGAGAAGTGAGAATGGACTAAAATATGAAGGACCAGAGTTAGGATGTTAGAAAAAAAAGAGGGGCCAGGGAGAGCAGCAAGTGCAAGAACACCCCTGTGTCAAAAAAGGAGTAGGATGCATTTGAAGACGTGAAAGCAAGCCGCTTTAGCTGGAATGTGAAAAGTAGGGGTTTGGGGCACCATGGGAGGACAGGCTGGAGGGACAGCTGAGGGACAGCCTTTACGTGGCCTGGTTGACCACATCAGAATTTTGGTCTTTAAAAGGGTACTCCCTTTGCAAACCCCCACCTTTGTGTGGCAGATGGAAAATTGAAAGTACCTATGATTGGATGCAAAAAGCATGGGAGTGTAACTGTGTAACTTCACTTCAGCCTCTGATTGCAGGCAAAGTCTTCATTTGCATAGAAGTGTAACTTTTGTAACTTCAGCCTCCAATTGGCTGCTTTCCACAAGCAATCATACTGATCGTGGGCCACCATTTCATTTACCTGAGGCGAGCACCAAGTGGCCAGTGGGAAGCCTCTAGTGGGTATTTGGACCAGAGAAGACTCTGTATTGGGGCCTTTGAGCCACTGCTCCAGCCAGCTCCCAAACTGTGGAGCGTACTTTCATTTCAATAAACCCTTGCTTCCCTTAAAAAAAAAAAAAGGAATTTCGGTCTTTATTAAAACGAAGAGTGCTTGATTGTCTTATTTTGTTGAAGAAGAAGGTAGGTGATCAGATTTGGGTTTTGGAAAGATCCCGCTAGTTTTGCGTAGAAGATGGATTGAAGCGGGACCGCAGCTTTACAGTAGATGAGGTCAAAGGTCATTATTCTTGCAGTCCTGGTGAAAGATGATAGTGACTTGGGCTCAGTGATAGCAGCAGAAGTGGAAAAAAGGAGATAGAGTCAAGATAGAGGATAATGGGGCTTGGTGGTGGATTGCATGTGGGAGGATGGAGAAGGACAGGGGTGTGTCAAGGATGATTCAGAATTCTGGTTTCAGTAACAGGATAGTGGTATCATTTCCTTTTTTGTTGCATTTTTTGTTTGTTTGGGGGTTGTTTTGTTTTGTTTTGAGACATGATCTTGCTCTGTCACCCAGGCTGGAGTGTAGTGGTGCAAGCACAGGTCACTGCAGTCTCAACATTCTGGACTCAAGCGATCCTCCTGCCTCAGCCTCCTGAGTAGCTGGGACTACAGGCATGTGCCACCACGCCCAGCTAATTCGTTTTTAATTTTTTGTAGAGATGGGGGTCTCACTGCGTTGCCCAGGCTGGCCTCAAACTCCTGGCCTCCAGCAATCCTCTCACTTCAGCCTCCCAAAGTCCTGGGATTACAGACATGAGCCACCATACTTGCCCTTTGTTTCCTATGATAGGGAACATTGGCAGAGAAACAGATTTCGGCGGATGGGGGATGAGAAAAGCATGAGTTTGGTGTTGGAAAAAGTAAGATTAATGTGCCTTTAGGACATTCAAATGGCTACATCGGTCAATTAATATAGTCAGTAAATTCTTACTCAGCCCTTCATATGTGTCAGGCACTACTCTGGGCTTTATCTCCCATAGAGTTTACATTGAGGCTCATCCCTTCACCTCTCTGCTTAGAGCCCTGCCTGCCTGTCCTAGCCAGATAAAAATCCATTGAGTATTCAATAAGCTTTTTCTTGGAGCTGGCTACATATGAGACATTGAGCTCAGTGTTCTACTTGATTAGGTGATTCTATACTTTTTTTGTTTTTCTTTTCTTTTTGTTTTAAGATTCACGGTAGGCTGGGCCAGTGGTTCACCACTGTAATCCCAGCACTTTGGGAGGCCAAGGCCAAGGTGGAAGGATCACTTGAGGTCAGGAGTTTGAGACCAGCCTGGCCAACATGGTGAAACCCCATATCTACTAAAAACACAAAAATTAGGCCAGGCAAGGTGACACATGCCTATAATCCCAGCTTCTTGGGAGGCCAAGGTACCAGAATTGCTTGAACCCTGGAGGCAGAGGTTACAGTGAGCTGAGATTGTGCCACCGCACTACAGCCTGGATGATAGAGCAAGACTCTGTCTCAAAAAAAAAAAAAAAAAGATTCATGGATACATGTGCAGGTTTATTACAGTGATAATATTACGTGTGATGCTGATGTTTGTGTTTCTAATGAGTCCATCACCCAAGTAACAAACATAGTACCTGATAGGCAGCTTTTCAACCCCTGCCCCTTCCCCTCCCTTTTTGTAGTCCCCAGTATCTATTGTTTCCATCTTTGTATCTGTGTACCCAATGTTTAGCTCCCACTTGTAAGTGAGAACATGTGGCATTCAGTTTTCTGTCCCTGCGTTAGTTTGCATAGGATAATGGCCCACAGTGGGATTCGTGTTGCTGCAAAGGACATGAATTTGTTCTTTTTTATGGTTGTGTGATATTCCATGCTATATATGTACCACACTTTCTTTATCCAATCTACCGTTGATGGGCACCTGGGTTAATTCTATGTCTTTGCTAGTGTGAATAGCAAAGTTGCAATAAATGTATGAGTGCTGGAATCTTTTTGGTAGAAAGATTTGTTTTCCTTTGGGTATGTATCCAGTAGTGAGATTGTTGGGTCAAATGGTAATTCTATTTTTAGTTCTTTCAGAAAGCGGGATTCCATTTCTTTTTTTTTTTTTTTTTTTTGAGATGGGGTCTTACTCTGTCTCCCAGGCTAGAGTGCAGTGGCGCCAATCTTTGCTCACTGCAAGCTCTGCCTCCTGGGTTCACGCCATTCTCCTGCCTCAGCCTCCCGAGTAGCTGGGACTACAGGCGCCCGCCACCACGCCCGGCTAATTTTTTGTATTTTTAGTAGAGACGGGGTTTCACTGTGTTAGCCAGCATGGTCTCGATCTCCTGACCTCATGATCCACCCGCCTCGGCCTTCCAAAGTGCTGGGATTACAGGCATGAGCCACCGCGCCCTTTCCTTTTCTTTTCTTTTCTTTTCTTTTCTTTTCTTTTCTTTTCTTTTCTTTTCTCCTGAGACAGGGTCTTGCTCTGTCATTCAAGCTGGAGTACAATGGCACAATCATGGCTCACTGCAAACTGGACCTCCCATGCTCAAGCCATCCTCCCACCTCAGCCTCCCAAGTAGCTGGGACTACAGGCACAAACCACCACGCCCAGCTAATTTTTGTATTTTTTGTAGATACCGGGTTTTTCTATGTTGTCCAGGCTGATCACAAACTCCTGGGCTCAAGTGATCTGTCTGCCTCGGCCTCCCAAAGTGCTGGAATTACAGGCATAAGCCACTGTGCTAGGCGGGAAAATTCCATTTCTTACCTTCACTTATTGCCTTGCCAAAGTAACTCTTTCCCAGTGGCCCTTCCTGACATTACTCAAAAACCAAACTGGATTATGCTGGATAGGGACCTTGTCATGAAGGTTATCTCTGTTTTTCTGGACATCCTAGTAAACTGTTCACATCAGAAGCAGAGGAAAAACACGCACCTAGTTTCTCAACTATTTAACTGATAGTCTGACCTCCAGAAGCATTTCTCCCCGCACATTTTCACACCTTAAGATTCAAGTCTTTTGAGAAGCTGATGAAGAAGGCGAGTGTAGTGGCTCACACCTGTAATCCCAGCACTTTGGAAGGCCAAGGTGGGCAGATCACTTGAAACCAGGGCTTTGAGCCCAGCCTGGCCAAAGTGGCAAAACTCTGTCTCTACTAAAAATACAAAAATTAGCCAGGCCTGGTGGCACAGAACTATAGTCCCAGCTACTCAGAAGACTGAAGTATGAGAATTACTTGAACCAGGGAGGTGGAGATTGCAGTGAGCTGAGATCGCACCACAGCACTCCAGTTTGGGTGACAGAGGAAGACTCTGTCTCAAAATAAAATAAAATAAAATAAAATAAGTAGTAGCAGAAGCTAATGAAGAAAACCCTGAGAGTTCTTAAACAGAGAAACCAGAAAAAAGAGTCTTGAGGAGGACAGAAGTTTAGAATCCATCTAACCTGTCTTTCCCAAGGTTAATTCCATGGAACATTGGCTCCTAAAGACACCCAGAAACAAAATGATACTGTGATTCAAAAAGTTGGAAAATCTTTCATGCTTTATTGTCTTCTTAGAACTTCATAGGGTACATTAAGACATTAAACGATCGGAAAAGTGGCCAGGCAGGATGGCACACACCTGTAATCCCAGCACTTTGGAAAGCCAAAGCGAAGGATCACTTGAGCTCAGGAGTTTAAGACCAGCCTGGGCAACAGAGTAAGACCTCATCTCCACAAAAAAATCAAAAAGAATTAGCCAGTTGTGACAGCATGTGCCTGTAGTCCTAGCTACTCAGGAGGCTGAAGCAGGAGGATTGCTTGAGGCCAAGAATTTCAGACTGCAGTGAGTTATGATCACACCACTGCACTCCAGCCCAGCCTGGGTGACAGCAAGACCCTGTCTCAATCAATCAATAAATCAAGGATCTAAAAAGTCCTACAGCAAAGAAACCTGTTTGAAATCCCAAACTTATTCAACTGTCCAACCCTTTTATCTCATAATAGCTATCAACATGCCTGGGATTATATTCTGGTAAATATATACACTGATATAATGGCTATAATAGTGGCCATTACTATTTATTATTCACTCTATGCTATATATTTATCATCATCTCATTTAATCCTAAAAATAACCCCATATTATTATCATATAATATGTTATATATGTGTGTGTGTGTGTGTAATTAAATAATTCAAACTTAAAGTTGCTGAAATTTCAAGTTATTCTGAGCCTCAAGAGAAATGTGGCTCACTGATCCCTGTGTTCTTCCTTACGAGTGGTGAAGTGGGAGATGAAATATGGTCACAGGTTCTCTGAGACTGCTCTGACTGAGTAGCAGGGGTCTGTGTTAGGCTGAATAATGACTGCCCCACACCACAAAAAGATGTCTACATGCTAATTCCCAGAATCTGTGAACATTACCTTACAGGGCAAAAAAGATTCTGCAGATGTGATTCAGTTAAGAATACCAGAAACAAAGGGATGGCCGGGCACCGTGGCTCACGCCTGTAATCCCAGCACTTTGGGAGGCCGAGGTGGGAGGATCACGAGGTCAGGAGATCAAGACCATCCTGGCTAACACGGGGAAACCCCGCCTCTACTAAAAATACAAAAAATTAGCCAGGTGTGGTGGCGGGTGCCTGTAGTCCCAGCTACTCAGGAGGCTGAGGTAGGAGAATGGCATGAACCCAGGAGGCAGAACTTGCAGTGAGCCGAGATCACACCACTGCACTCCAGCCTGGGCAACAGAGCAAGACTCTGCCTCAAAACAACAACAACAACAACAAAAAACAAGGGAACACAAGAAAACTTTTGAAGGTGATGAACATGTCTATTACCTTGATTGTGGTGATTTCATGGGTATATGCCTAGGTCCAAACTCATTAAATTGTATATATTAAATATATTAAATATGCACAGTTTATTGCACATCAGTTATACCTCCATAAAGCTATTTTTCTAAGTTAAGGATCTTGACATAGGGATATTGTCCTGAATTTTCTGGGTGGGCCCAACGTAATGACAAAGGTCATTACAAGACAGACCCAGGAGAGTCAGAGTGAGAGCAAGATGTGTGAAGGCTCCAACACACTGCTGGCAGAAATTAAAATGTTACAACTAATTTGAAAAAGTCACCTTTTTTTTCAAGTTAAACCTACATCTACCATATGACCCAGACGTTCCACTCCAAGTTATTTACCCAAGAGAAAAGAAAGATTATATGCACACGGGCGTTTGGACATAAATGTTCGTAGTAGTTTCATTCATTCACAATAGTTAAAAACTTGTAATGAACCAAATATTCCTCAACAGGTGTTAAATAAACAGATGTTAAGTAAAATAAAGGTTAGTAAACTGTAGTATATCTGTACAATGGAATAGTAGTCAGGTTATTTTAAAATGGGCAGATAATTAGTACATACAAAACCATGGATGAACCACAAAATTACTAAAAGACAACCATAATCTGGTTTATGGTAAAAAGAGAGTATCAGTGGTAGCCAGGGCTGAAGGGAGGAAAGATGGCAAAGGGACCTGGGGCAGCTTTGAGGGTGATGGACACATTCTATGACTTGATGGTGGCAGTGGTTTCCTGGGTGTGGCAATGGTTTTTTGCATTTGTCAGAGCTCACTGAATTACATTTTACATTGATACAACTTATTGTACATAATTATAGTTCAATAAAATTGATTTTTTTTTTTTTGAGACGGAGTCTCACTCTGTCGCCCAGGCTGGAGTGCAATGACACGATCTCCGCTCACTGCAAGCTCTGTCTCCCAGATTCATGCCATTCTCCTGTCTCAGCCTCCCAAGTAGCTGGGACTACAGGCACCCGCCACCACGCCCGGCTAATTTTTTGTGTTTTTTAATAGAGACGGGGTTTCACCGTGTTTGCCAGGATGGTCTTGATCTCCTGACCTCGTGATCCACCCGCCTCAGCCTCCCAAAGTGCTGGGATTACAGGCGTGAGCCACCGTGCCCGGCCAATAAAATTGATTTTTAAAAACCTTAAAAAAAGAGAGAGAAATGTGGCTATGCAGCCAGTCATGTAGCATGCACCTGCCAACTTCTGCTTCTCTGAGTGTAGATTAACTCTCTTTCTTATTCTTATACGGTAGATAACTTGCAAGATCAAGCAGCACGAAAGATCCCCTCAGATCATTGCCCCTCCTCACAAAATAATAAAGTAACCTTCTTTGGAATGTAGCCATCTATAATCAAATTGCTATAATGTATGCACTTGTCTTCTATAAAAAATGTTGTAATCCTGCTAACGTTTCTCCGTCTCTGCCTACTTAAGTGAATCCTTAACTTCACTTTGGAATGCTGACCTCATTCATTTGCAGTCCTTGTTTCCTGGGTGGCTATACTCAAGCTTTGCACTCAAATAAACTCTACACCTAGTCATATTTTCTTAATCTTATTCTTAAAGGTTGACATGTACCTATAATATATAACATATACATATTATATTATGTAACATTTAACAGATGAGAAAACTGAGGCTCAGAACAGAGAAGTAATTTCTCCAGGCTGGTAAGTGGTGGAGCTACTGGCCGTAAAACTGGCAAATGCTGATAGGGTTCAGGACATACCACCCCAAAATATGACAGTGGGAGACCAGAATATGCTACCCTAAATATGCTTTCTTGGCATAAGGATTATTTTAAGCTGATTATTTTGGGAAACAGAAGACAAAGAAGATGACTGGAAGTTACCCTTTTAGGCCAGGCACGTTGGCTCATGGCTATAATCCCAGCAATTTGGAAGGCCGAGGCAGGCAGATCACTTGAAGTCAGGAGTTCGAGACCAGCCTGGCCAATATGGCGAAACCCCATCTCTACTAAAAATACAAAAATTACCCCTGCATGGTGGTGCGTGCCTGTAATCCCAGCTACTTGGGAGGCTGAGGCAGGAGAATCGCTTGAACACAGGAGGTTGGAGTGCTGTGATCCGAGATCATGCCAATGCAATCCAGCCTGGGTGACAGAGCAAGACTCCGTCTCAAAAAAAATGATAACCAAATTATAATTATACTTTTTTTATTTTTTGTTTTTAAGAATAGAGACAGGGTCTCACCATGTTGCCCAGGCTGGTCCCAAAGTCCTCAGCTCAAACAATCCTCCCACCTCAGCCTCCCAAAGTGCTAGGATTACAGGCACGAGCCACCTCACCTGGCCAATAATTATACTTTTAGAAATAGACTACACTCAGTGTGTAAGCTAGGACTTAAATTAGGTCTTCTAAATATTTTGTGTAATTCACATCATCTTGCAAAATTCCCTAATTTCCATGATGGCAAAAATAATTTGTATTTAGTCACTGGGGGACCAGAGAGAAAGGTAGAGAGAGAAAGAGACTGAGAGAGTATAAATGCGATGTATGTGTTCAGATTTGGAATAATTGTCAAATGCATTTGATGTTCAGCAACTTTTATTATTTATTTTAATTTTTTGTAGAGACACAAGTCTCACTGTTTCCCAGGCTGGTCTCAAACTCCTGGCCTCAAGTGATCCTCTCGCCTCAGCCTCCCAAAGTGCTGGGAGTAGAGGTGTCAGCTACTGGACTGGCTGATGCTTAGCAATTTTTCAAAAGAAAGAAGGTAATCTTGGAACAAAGAAGAATTATATAATTGTGTAACAGGAACAAGGTCATCAAAGTGTGAGCACACCCAACCTTCTCCCACTGGAGAGTTCTTTGCCAAACTGGTTTCAGGGATTTTGTAATAAAGAATCATAAAAATGATTCTGCAGGAGAGGAGAGAGGAAGGAAAGAACAGAGTCTTACTTGCTTAATTTCTGGGGCTCTTTTTTGTTAGGGAGAATTAGGTAATGAGCCAAGCAGAAAGGAAACTTTCTTTTTAAATGGCAAGGCAAAATTGATCTACATAATAAAGAACAAAAGGGGGATAGGGAGAGGCAAGAAACAGAAAAGCCACAGGGGCTAGAAGTTGAGGGTGAGTTTGAGGGGATTTGATAAGCAGCTCAAGGGCAGCTCTGGAGGTGAGAGAATTGGGGAGGAGAAGGAAAGTAATTTTGATACGTTTTGCTGTGGGTTTTGAAATGGATCCTCTTTAATGTTTTTTAAGAGAGGCAGAAATGATTGAAATTCCTTTTTAATTAATTTGGGTTGGTAGATTGTGGTTCTAAGCCTGTGGAATTTAGAAAGATTACAGTTGCTTTTGACATTCCTGTTTTCAAGTCCAGTATCTGCTACAGATGGATACTAGTCCAGGGCATTAACAACAAAAAACTGCACACTACAATCTGGAACAATTTTACTAGAACATTTTTCATAAGTATTATTAAATGGTAGGATTTGGGATGATTTTATTTTCTCTTCTTTTGCATATCTATTTGTCTAAATTCTCTATAATAAACATGTATTACTTTTAATGAGAAAAAATGTGTTTATGCAATAATGGAGAATCAAAACTGAGTAAACTTGTTTTTTTCTCCTTCTGAATTTGTCTGTAAAGTCTCCCTGTCCCTACTCCTTCCCCACCTCCCAATGGCACCTGCAGAAAATATGGGAAAATGCCCTCATCATGCTGTCGAAAAATGGGGTTTTTTGTTGTTTATTTATTTTTATTTTTAGACAGGGTCTCACTCTGCCACTCAGGCTGGAGTGCAGTGACCAGATCACAGCTTACTGCAGCCTTGACCTCCCAAGGCTCAGGTGCTCCTGCTGTCTCAGCCCCCCAACTAGCTGGGACTACAGGTGTGCACAACCATGCCCAGTTAATTTTTGTATTTTTAGTAGAGATGGGGTTTCACCATGTTGTCTAAGCTTGTCTCAAACTCCTGGGCTCAAATGATCCACCCACCTCAGCCTCCCAAAGTGCTGGGATTACAGGTGTGACCACCACACCTGGCCGAAAATTTATTATCTTGTGATGCTATATAGGCCAGGCACGGTGGCTCACACCTGTAATCCCAGCACTTTGGGAGGCCGAGGTGGGCAGATCACCTGAGGTCAGGAGTTCAAGACCAGCCTGACCAACATGGTGAAACCCTATCTCTACTAAAAATACAAAAAAAATTAGCCAGGCGTGGGGGTGCATGCCTGTAATCCCAGCTACTCGGCTGAGACAGGAGAATCACTTGAACCCAGAAGGCGGAGGTTGCAGTGAGCCAAGCTCTTGCCACTGCACTCCAGCCTGGGTGACAGAGTGAGACTCTGTCTCAAAAAAAAAAAAGCTATATAAATTCAAGTTCTAACCACTCCTTGGAGTTACTCATCACTGAGTACTCCCACGTGTATGTGCAATGTACATATCAATAAATTTATCCTTGCTCTCTCTTGTTAATCTGTCTTTTGTCAGTCTGATAGCAACAGGAGTCAGCCAAATGCCTAGGTAGATAGGGGTGGGTACCCAGTGAAACTCCACCTCCAAGCCAAAGACAGTTTAAAGCCTGAAAGCCAAGCCACAAGTTGAATCCTCAGACCAGACTGAGAACCTATCTTCCTGTTCAGCATGCTTTCCACTGATTGGTCCCCACCCTTCACCTATTTTACATACACCTACCTTTTCCTAATTGGTTTTCTACACTGTTGTGCCCACCTTTGAGTGGTGTCTTTGCTTTGAACTTCTTTGCATACTCATAAACCAGTCAGCACGTACTCCCTATTCTGAGTCCATGATAGTCCCAGGCTCAGCCATATTAGGGAACTTTTCCCACCTTCAGGTAGGGGAACCACCTCCCTATATCCCCTCTCCACTGAGTACTTTCCTTTTCCTTAGTAAATTGTACTCCAGTCACTTTCCAGTTTCCAAGCACCTAATTCTTCCTGGATGTGAGACAAGAACTTGGACCTAGCTGAGCTAAAGAGCAAAAAGACCACAACAAATCTAACTTTTAGGGTCACAACTAATGAATCTAAAATAGGTAGAGGGAAAATGACCTTTTTTCCCTTCTCATACACTATCAAAGGGTGCCACGGAAGAGACGAGACAGGCAACCTCTCTGGGCTGGAAACAATTGGCCATAGGGCCCAGAGATGACCCAGTAGAGTTACCATTTTGTGGGAAGAGCCTGCCCTAATTATTCTCTATTCTCCTTCCAGCCCAACCCTTATGCACACTTTACCAGGTAAAGTACATCGTGGCCTGTATCTCTTTATCAAGAACAATGTTCTCAAGGCGAGTTGAGTACATGTATGTGACACAGTCTTATCATAATCAGTGGCTCATGAAAGCCATGGTGTGGAGGGAGTGGGGATATGTCTCCTCTAAATCAAGGGATGAGCTTGCATACCTTTAAGAAGACTCAAGCATGATTCAGAAACACATCTCAATGGTCAGGCTCTACCATCCCCTAACCCTGAAAATCTATCTGTAATTGTCCAAAGAGTTCTTCTTGCCCTCTTCCCAGAAAACCCAATGCACTGAGCACAGCAGTTGTTGTAGCAAAGAAAGAAAATAACCACAGGGGCAGCCAAGCAAGAGGACAGGAGATAATTTTCTAATCTGCCTCTCTAAGAATTCAGAGGCTAGGGTTTTTCAAGGATACTTTGGTAGACGGGGGCTAAGGAATGGGGAATGTTGACTGGTTGGGTTGAGAATGAAATCACCAGGGATCAAAGCTGTCTTCTTGCATGGAGTCAGTTCCTGGGAAGGAGTCACAGGACCACTTGAGTCAGTTTCTTGGTATGGGCTACCAGTCTGAGCGGTGCTCAGCTGGTCCATCAGAATGCAAGGTCAGAAAAATATCTCAAACACGAGTCTTTGGTTTTGCAATAATGACGTTATCTATAGGAGCAATTGGGGAGGTTACAAATCTTGTGACCTCTGGCTATATGACTCCCAAACCATAATTCTAATCTTGTGGCCAGTTTGTTCGTTTTACAGAGGTAGTTGTGGTCGCCAAGCAAGGAGATGGTTAGTTTTAGGGAGGGATTCTTATCATCTTCATTTTAAAGTTAAACTATAAACTAAATTACTCCCATAGTTAATGTAGCCTATGCCTCGGGATAAGCAATGACAGTTAGCTTATGAAGCTAGAACCAAGATGGAATCAGCTATGTTAGATTTCTCTCACTGCCATAAAGTTTGCAAAGGCAGTTTCCCATCTCTTCTCCTGGAATTTGTTGACATCACTCTTCAGATTATTCTCCTCTATCGAAGAGTGATGGCATGGTGACTGTTTTAGGTTCCTAGGGATGATGTAACAAAATACTACAAACTGGATGACAACAGGAATTTATTCTCTCTCAGCTCTAGAGAGAGTCTGAAATCGAGGTGACAGCAGGGCCATGCTTCCTTTGAAGACTCTAGGAAAAAATCCTTTCTTGCCTCTTACAGTTTCTCATGACCTGTGTGTTAAAGAAAGAATTTTCATGACACTTGTTAAAGATGGTAAGGCAGACTTTATTCGGGGGGACTACTACAATGGGATTTGGCTGTAGGGGAGAAAGATTGGACTCAACTCAGAATACAACAAGGAAATGTGGGAATTTACAGCCAAGGAGCAAGTTGGGGATTGGTGAATGGAAAAATCACTGAGAGGAAACATCAGAGATAAAGGGGTATTCTTGCTAGACTGACTCAGCAGATTCTTGATGAAGGCAGGCCAGGGTAAGATATTGAGAGAGATATCAAGAATGGGGGATTTTCACTAAACTGATCCAGCTGAACTAGACTACACATGCCAGATGCGGAGACCAAAGGTCAGGGCCTTGAGGGCTTAGAGGAGTGCGACCAGAATTAGGTCAAAGGAGTCTTTGTTATAGCTGTTCTTTGGCTTGTAGCAGCATAACTCCCATCTCTGCCTCCATCTTCTCATGGTCTTCTTCCTCTATGTCTCTGTGTCCAAATCCTCCCATTTCTCTCATGAAGACACCAGTCAGCCAGGTGTGGTGGCTCACACCCATAATATCAGCATTTTAGGAGGCTGAGGCAGGAGGATCACTTGACCCCAGGAATTTGAGACCAGCCTGGGCAACATAGTGAGACCCCACCTCCCAAAAAAATAATTAAAAATTAGCCAGGCATGGTGGCACATGCCTGTAGTTTTAGCCACTTGGAAGGCTGAGGTGGGAGGATGACTTGTGCCTAGGAGTTTGGAGCTGCAGTGAGCTGTGATCACACCACTGCACTCCAGCCTGTGTGACAGAGTGAGACCCTTTCTAAAAAAAAAAAAAAAAGACACCAGTCATTGGATTTAGGGCTCACTCTAATCCAGCATGACCACATATTAACTTGGCTACATCTTCAAACCCTATTTCCAAATTAGGTCACATTCAAAGGTCCCAGGTGGACACGAAGTTTGGGAGGAGACTATTCAATGCGCTGCTGTGGTTAAAACCCTGGTCTTTAGAGCTCAAATTCCTATTCTGCCACTAACTAGCTATGTTAACTTGGGCAATTCATGCAACCTTCATAAATGTGCTGTCTCACCCGTAAGGTATGAATTTTACCTTCCTGGTAGACCTTTTGTGAGGAGCAAATTAGATAGCATTTATAAAGCATCTTTGAGCTCAATGCCTGGCACTTGGTGAATGTTCCGTGAGCAGAAGCCATTGGTCACCGTCTCCCATCAATCCAAGCCCCAGTCCATCGCTGGCTCCTTTGCAGCTTATCTACTCCACCTGCCCTTTACATGTTGGTTTTTCCAGAGTTTTGTCCTTGATAGATGCTTTTCTGCTCCAAGCAGTGCCTCCCCTCAGGGTATATGTGTGTGGGGAGAGAATGCAGGCACCTTATCTACTGTACCTGAGGAATGCCAGCCCCTCCAAATTATCAGACCCAGAGGGCACTGAAGTGTGGTGGCAGTCACCTCTCACTCCTGCCTTGAATCAAGTAACCACCTCTTGGAACCACTTGCTATGTGGGCTCTAGATTGATGCCAAGCAGCCATAAAATTAACCACACAGTGCCGTAGGCTAGACACCAAAACTCATACCCTGTAGTTCAACATTTAAAGCTAATCACTAATCAATGTTATTTCCTAAGCCAATGAGAATTCCTGTCAGACAACTTTGTATCCGCCCACCCCTTGTTCCCTTTTGCCTTTTGAAACCTGACTGTAACCTGGGCTGAATGGAACACTGCCCAAGCCAAGTTGAAAGTGTTTCCCGGGCAGCTGTCCTCACGTTGGCTTCATCAAATTTTTTTTTTTTGAGATGGAGTCTTGCTCTGTCACCAGGCTGGAATGCAGTGGCACGATCTCAGCTCACTGCAACCTCTGCCTCCTGTGTTCAAGGGATTCTTGTGCCTCAGCCTCCTGAGTAGCTGGGATTACAGGCACACGCCACCACACCCAGATAATTTTTGTATTTTTAATAGAGATGGGGTTTCACCATGTTGGCCAGGATGGTCTTGATCTCCTGACCTCATGATCCACCCACCTCGGCCTCCCAAAGTGCTGGGATTACAGGCGTGAGCCACTGCGCCTGGCCTCAAATGCTTTAAAATTATATTTTGTGCCTCAGCTTCTTCCCTTACAACAAGGGCTTTAGCTGCCGCTGTGTTCTGATGACTCTGTTGGGAGGAAAATTCTTCCTCTTCCATGTTGGGTTCAGCAGTTTGAGGCCCACAAATTTAACTGAGAAAGGACCAGTTAACAAGGATTTTTTTTCCTACTTGCATATCGGAGTTTCCATAATAGAAAACTCATGGGATAGCCCAAAGGAAAAGTTTGTATTATCAACTTAACAAAAGAGAGAGGTTTTTAGGGCTTCAATGAGGGAGTGTGGAAGGTCCTAGTGGGCTTTTTGTTGCTAATAAATGGGCAATCTGCCTTCTTGGCAGCTAAATCTGCAGTAAACTCCCCCAGAGTGGGGTTAATGGAGCTGTAATTTTGGGAGGCTCTGCTTTTGTCAGATAAGGGAAGTTCAGATAAGAGTTATTTCTACACCTTTTGCAGGTCAAATATTTTCACCTTAAAATAAACTTTACAGCAACCCTGGAGGTCCAAAAGGGTTCCCACAATTCCCAAATGAATTCCTCAAGTCTCAGCCTCTAAAGGCAAACTGCCTAGTGCAAGCCCCAGCTGTGTCCTTGAGAGCTGGAAGAACTAGTTAACCCCCTATATTAGTCAGGGTCCTCCAGAGAAACAGAACCAACAGAATATATCGAGATATATAAGGGGAGATTTATTATGGGAATTGGTTCACATTATTATGGAGGCCAAGAAGTCCCATGTTATGCCATTGGTATGCTGGAGACCCAGGAAAGCCAGTGGTGTAATTCAGTCTGAGGCGGAAGGCATGAGAACCAGAGAGGCCACTGGTCTAAGTCCTGGAGTCTGAAAATCCCAGAACCAGGAGCTCCAACGTCTGAGGACAAGAGAAGATGGATGTCCCAGCTCAAGAAAAGAGAGAGAATTCTCTACCTTGTTGCTGTATTCAGACCTTCAACAGATTAGATTAACGACAGTGGGTCTTCTTGACACAGTCTACTGATTAAAACGCTAATCTCTTCCAGAAACACGCTCCCAGGCACACCCAGAAATAATGTTTTACCAGCTATCTGGGCATCCCTTAGCCAAGTTAAACTGACACATAATTTTATTTATCTATTTATTTTTTTGAGACAGAGCCTCACTCTGTCACCTAGGCTGGAATGCAGTGATGTGACCTAGGCTCACTGCAACCTCTGCCTCCCAGTTTCAAGCAATTCTCCTGCCTCAGCCTCCCGAGTAGTAGCTGGAATTACAGGCACGTGCCACCACACCTGGACAATTTTTGTATTTTTAGTAGAGACGAGGTTTTGCCATGTTGGCCAGGCTGGTCTCGAACTCCAGACCTCAAGTGATCCGCCCACCTCGGCCTCCCAAAGTGCTGGGATTACAGGTGTGAGCCACTGCGCCCAGTCTTGACACATAAAATTAACCATCACACCCCCCCTGCACCCCCTGTACAACAACGGGGTTTTATTGTAGGGGAGAGAGATTGGGCTTAATTCAGAATACAACAAGGAAATGTGGGAATTTACAGCCAAGGAGCAAGTTGGGATCAGTGAATGGATTAAAACTCCCTGTGTTTTAATCTATAAAATGAGCACAGTGTGATGGTGAGGATTAAATGAGTTCTATATGTATTGCATTTGGAACAATGCTCAGACATGGTAAGAGTGATATAAGTGTTTGCAATCATTATTTACATTTTGTCCTATGGGCACCTCAAACTCAACACCCCTAAAACTCAACCCCTCATCTTCCCTTTAAACCTGCCCCTCCTTGTATGCTTTTTTTTTCCTAGGTTGCCTTCTAATTGGTATTCATGCTTCTAGCTTTATCCCTCCCAACTCCATCCTCTAAACAGTTACCAGGGTGCTCTACCTAATATACAAATCTAAGTGGATCTGATTTACTCAGATCTCTCTGAAAATGACAGAAACCAAATTCAAACCACTGTAAACAAACAAACAAAAAGAGTGAGTTTATTGGCTTGTGAATCTTCTAGGGGAAGAATTATTCTGGCATGGCTGGATCCAGTTGCCCAAACAAGTTGATCAGGACGATGTCTCTCCTTCTCTCCACTCTGCTCCACTCTGCTCTGTGGCTTCATTCTCAAGCAGTCCCTTCTCAGTGGTTAAGAGTTTCCAGGGCCAAATCCTACAATTTTATTAATTCTAAAAGAAGGTGAACTTTCCTTTCCTAATTGCTTCAATTAAAAGTTCAAAGAAGGCTGGGCGCAGTGGCTCACGCCTGTAATCCCAGCACTTTGGAAGGCCGAGGTGGCAGATCACCTGAAGTCAGGGATTCAAGAGCAGCCTGGGCAACAAGGCAAAACCCCGTCTCTACTAAAAATACAAAAATTAGCTGGGCGTGGTGGTGGGTGCCTGTAATTCCAGCTACTTGGGAGGCTGAGGCAGAAGAATCGCTTGAACCTGGGAGGCAGGGGTTGCAGTGAGCCAAGATTGTGCTACTGCACTCCAGCCTGGGTGACAGAGATTCCATCTCAAAAAAAAAAAAAAGTTCAAAGAAGACTCTCAGTGGACTAGTTTGGGTTTCTACACCCGCCCTTGAACCTATCACTTTGACAGGGGCTATGCAGTGCTCAGGCTGACGTTGAAGAATGGGATCAGCCCCACCCAATCATGTAAACTGAGAGTGAGGAAAGGGTTCCCCATGAGGAAAAAGATAAGATTTGTTACTAAAAAAACAGGATACTAACCAGTCAAAAGCCACTGACGTCCTAGCATCATTCTTCTGCCGAAAGACACCCCACTGCGCCCATCAAGATAAACTCTCAAGCTCTCAGTATAAAATACAAGGCACTTCATGATTTGATCCCTTTTTTTTTGGTACGGAGTCTCACTCTGTCGCCAGGATAGAGTGCATGGTCATGGTGCAATCTAGGCTCACTGCAACCTCCGCCTCCCAGATTCAAGCGATTCTCGTGCGTCAGCCTCCAAAGTAGCTGGGATTACAGGCACGCACCACCACACCCAGGTAATTTTTTTTTTTGTATTTTTAGTAGAGACGGGGTTTCACCATGTTGGCCAGGATGGTCTTGATCTCCTGACCTCATGATCCACCCACCGTGGCCTCCCAAAGTGCTGGGATTACAGGTGTAAGCCACTGTGCCCAGCCCCTGATTTGATTTTTTACTTGTCAAGGTTTACCTCCCTGTCCCTGTGCCGTGGGCACCTTAGGCTCCTATTACACTGTACATTGTGCCCCATGCAGTTCTTGTATCCAACTCCAGGTCATACATTCGCTTCCAAAATAACCATCCTCTTTGTCTAATTCCAACTTACTCTTGAAAGCTCTTGGGTCTCATCGAGACTGGAAAGATCTCCCTGGACCACCCTGTTCCAGGCGGTACTCCCACAAAGATGGCACTTTATGAACATTTTATGAACACTAAGGAGTTTGGCATAGAGTAGTTGCCCAGTAAACACTGAATTAATAAATGAATACAGGAATGAATGAATGATGAGTGATAGAGTAGAAACTCAACAAATATTTGTTGAATGAATCAATTGGTTAAAAGCAAAAAATGTATTGCCTCATGTAACTAAAAAATCCAGGGTAAGAGCTGAATGTATGAATAAATGGATAGATGAATGGATGGAAAGATGAATGGATGGATGGAAAGATGGAAGAACTGATGAACAGATAGGTGGATGGATGGAGGGATAATGGATGAAAGGATGGATGGACAGATGGAAAGAAAGATGGAAGGACTGATGAACAGATGGGTGGATGGATGGATGGATAATGGATGAAAGGATGGATGGACAGATGGAAAGAAAGATGGAAGGACTGAAGAACAGATGGGTGGGTGGATGGATGCATGGATGATGGATAATGGATGGAAAGATGGATGGATAGATGGCTGGATGAAAGGAAGGAAGGAGGCATGGATGGATGATGGATGGATAGATACGTTAACTAATAAACCTCTCCTCTTCCAGCAGTTTGGGAAGTTGGCCTTTGCAGGCCTGTTTTTCCAGAGGTTAAAGTTATATTTCAGTAGACATAATCCTAACCACTTTTACCAGGCACTTTAGAAATTCTCGAACCTCAAAGGGAGACAGACGAGTGATGCTAGGCTCCAGTGGATAACGGGAATGTCCTTAAAAGGAAACTGAGTACTTTTTTCTGTTAGAGATTAACTTCCTAGTAAATTGCAGCATGCCTGCCACAGCTGGAGGTAGATGAAGAATTCTGTTTTTAAAAGCCCTCAGAGAACTTGAATTTAATTAAATGAGCATTTTATTCCATTCCAAAAGGAAGCAAAACAAACCACCCTGGTTCTGAACTTCGAAGGACCTAAAGCTTCCTTCCTTTGATTTGGTAAAAAGCTGAGTGAGCTCTGCCCCTCAGGAGCTAGTGAAATAAGGGCAGCCCCACCTCAAAGCCTCACCACCAGCTGCGAACTCTTTCCATAGAGTCCTGAGTGTGGACATTGCAAGCAGCTCTCACCATGCACAGTCCTGTTTTGCAAGGTAAATTTCCACTAGTAGGGAGGAGGGAGAAAAACAGAGTTGTCTTAAAAAAAAAAAAAATTGAAAGGAGTTCCCAGAGCTTGGCCTATCCCCAGTAAGCTGTGCAAAGAGGCCCCAAACTTCCTGATCCCCAGCTGCAAGCCCAGGCCTGTTTCCTGGCCTGCAGCAAGCTTAGCACCCCTGGGACAGGGCAGGGCTTTGGGCCAGCTGACAGGGCCCCCATCCCTCCTGCTCCTCCAGGCTCTGCTGAAGCAAAGGGAAGCTCTGTAGTCAATTTCAGGCTGAACTGCTTTGCTTTTTGTGCCTCCTTCCTTATTTTTTCCTCACCGCAGTTGCCTTATTGCTCAAAAGAATCTCAATCAGTTTCTCAGGTTTTTATGGCCAAAAAGAAGGGTCCTTTGCAGCACCTTACTGCTTCGCCCTCCCTTTCTCCCTCCCTGCCTCATCCCTCATTCCTCCAACTTCCTCGATTTCTTCCTTTCCTTCTCGCCCACCCTCTCCCCATTTTTCTCTTCCTCCCTCCTCCCTACCCCTTTTCCCTCACCCCTCTCCTTTCTCTCCCTTCCTCCCTCCGTCTCCCCTCTCCTTCTCTCCCTCTCCCATTCTGCCTCTCCCCGCTCTTTCATCTCCCTACCTCTTCCCTTTCTCTCCCTCTCCTTCTTTCCCTCCTCCCTCTCTTCCTCTGTTTCCCCTCCTCCTTTTTCTTCTTGCCCTCTCTCCTCCCTCCTCTTCTCCCTCTCCCTACCTCTTTCCTCTTTCTCTCCCTTCCCCCCTCCTCTCCCTCCTCCCTTTCTTCATCTTTCCTCCCTTCCCTCCCTCCCTTCTCCCACTTCCCTCTCCGTCTCTTCCTCCCTCCCCGTCCCCCACCACCAGAGTAAAAATAAAAAGTCCCTCAATGCATCACCCAACCTGCAGTGGGGCAACTCCAAGCTGACCGGTTACATACTTCTCAATAGGCAGGTAGGTCTCAGTGAATAAAGAAAAATGGTCCTCACTATGCACAGGCTATAAAGGGACTAGTATTTCAGTTTAATCATGAGAAAGGCTCTCTGCTTTAAGAAGCACTCTACATGCGTTTCCCAAGCCAAACTGCTGGGGCTCAACTGTGGGTTCTGCTCCTTCCTGGCTGCCCAAACTCAGGCAAGTGACTTTATTTCCTCCATTTCCTCATCTATAAAATGGGAGTAGTTGGGTGGCATTAAACCGTCTATGGAAAGTCCTCAGCATGGCGCCTGGCACAAAGCAACGGCTCCCTCGCCTCTGTTCTCACTCCTGTTCCACAGAATTACACCCACTCTTCTCTGCTGATACTCTTAATCTCAGATCCCCAATTCTGTCTTTCAAATGTGTTGTGTCAACATTTATTTGCAAACATGTCTATTTGATTTCAAATGAAAACGCTTTTGAGTGGATTTAAAAACAAAACACATGCGGGGGAGAAAAGAGAGGCTGACAGACATGTTAGTAAACAGCGAAATATTTTTGAAAGCTGGATGCAGATAGCTCAGATGCTAGAGGGTTGAAATGGACAGACTTTGGCTAGGAAGAGATATGTGAATGTTAGCAGAGGGACCTTTCTTGGGGATTAAGGAATCAGGAACACAAATTTCTCTTCTTTCCTTCCCACCAGGGCTCCATGCCCCCCTTACTGGAGGACCAAGACCTTGTTGCCTTCAATTTACGGGATCCCAGTGGGATCCTGATATTTTCCATAGTTTCTTAACAACATTTCAAGTTAAATATTAAAATTATTCATAGGGTGTGGAGTGAGCCAAGTGCAACACATTGCTGTCAGGGGTGTTGGCTACTCCGCCAGCTGTTGAAAAAAGGAGAAAGAAAGAGAGCAAACTGAGATCCACACACCCCACACAGTATGACCAAGGCGCCTTCTGACTTCAGGAAAGCCAGGCAGACGGGGATCCCTGGATGCTCACAGCTTGGCAGCCGATATTCACTGGAGCCAGAACAGTCTGCTCTGAGGCTTGTCTGCATCCAGAAGTTGCAGGAAAGTTCCACAACGTGTGAAGACTTCTTTTGTCCTCTCTGTGGGAGAGCTGGGGAAATAGGATTCCTTATAGACTTATCCTCCCCACCTCTCCAATGAGCAAAGGCTGCTAAAAACTTCTGAAGCCTGAATCCCAAAGCTGGAGGCTTTCTCTCTCCTCCCAGTGATCGGAGCTTCTCAGGGTGGGGATTGTCTCATGGTTCTGGGGCCAAAGGCAGTTCCAGGAAGGAGGTGAGGGTCCGACTCTGGAGAGAGGCATTTCAGCTCTTTGGCTCAGGGGTTCCATCCTTCAGCGGGGCATCCTTGCAGTCTGCTGCCTGGGTGCCGGTCTCCAGACCTGGCTCTCTTCCCTCGCGCTCTTCTTCAAGCTTCTGGGACTCAGCTGCCACCGTGGTGCTCTTGCTGGAGTGGCACCCCATCTCAGAGGGACACAGAGGATCCAGTGCCCTTGGATGTTCCAGGAGGAGGAAGGTCTGTGCCTTCCTCCTTGGGGGCCAGCGTTAAATAACCATCCTCTTGCAGCACTGTTGAAAAGAGCCAGTTCCGTTTCTATGGCCACAAGGAGACGCCCCGCTGTGCATAAGGAGCCCCCTGTGGGGTGGGCAGGGCCTGGAGAGCTGCCCTTCCGGCTAACCTGGCCAATTCCAGGCACTGTGCCCCATTCATTCCACCAGAAGAATTCCCTTTTGTTTAATCTGTAACTTACAAATCATCCCACCACCACCTCCTAGTTACCTGTAAACACCAGCCCCTATCTTCACATGCAAAACAAGCCCTGTCACTATGCAACGGGCTGTAGCCTGCCTTGTATCTCAGGGCCACATTAAGTTCCTGGGACTCACCCCCTACTTAGAGACCACCCTTTAACCTAGAATGCCAACTCCACCCACTGTTGAGGAATAGGGAGTCTTAGGACCGTGGACTCCCAGGGTTACCCAAACAGGTAAGTCATTAAAATAACTAGCTAATAGATGCTGGGTACTACTACTCTGTGCCAAGAACAGTTCACATCCATTATTTGTTTACAACCCTAAGAAGTAGGTGTATTATTTAATCTTCATTTAACACATGGAGACACTGAGGCACAGGGAGGTTGAGTAATTTGTCTGAGGTAGTTTCTAACAGCCAGCAAATAGGAGAGCTGGGATTTGAACCCAAGTCACCTGCCTTCCAACCTCTTATATTTTACTTTCTTATTTTTTTTTACTTGTTTTTCAGACAAGGTCTCACTCTGTTGCCCAGGCTGGAGTGCAGTGGTGCAATTATGGCTCACTGCAGCCTCAACCTAGGCTCAAGTGATCCTCTCAGTTCAGCCTCCCAAGTAGCAGGGACTATAGGTGCATGCCACCATGCCCAGCTAAGTTTTGTTTGTTTTGTTTTTTTGTAGAGGTGCCGGGAGTTGGAGGGTGGTGGGGTTCTCACTTTGTTGCCCAGGCTGATCTCGAATTCCTGGGTTCAAGCGATCTGCCTGTTCAGCTTTCCAAAGTGTTGAGATTACAGGTATAAGCCATCCTGTCTCTTTATCAGTATGCTAATCTTATCTGTTTTGAAGACCCCATCAGGCTATCTTCACACACCATGACAGATGTTATCCACTTTGTAGGCTGTTATTGTGCTTTTAATCTGGGACACATGGGTAAAGGTTTTTGCAGCTGTGAGCAATCTCTGATGTGAATACTTCCTTAGTGAAGCCTCGTGTTCTATGGAACTGGAGTTTGGAACTCTTGTGCTCTATAGTTGACCCTATGTTATTTTCTGATCACCTAGCATTCCTTTTCCTAACTCTAGTAGGGGACTGATAATCCTGACCCAGCTCCTAGGAAGCTAGATGGAGGGTCACGCAGGACTGTGAAGTGGCTTTTCAGAGAAGTACATTTACAATGATTCTTTGTGTATGCACACAGCAGTCAAAGGTGACATTGACTCGGATTCACTTGTGGAGGGCAGGTGCATACCGGCCTCGGGCACTTTACACAGACCTTCTTGGTTACTCCTCCCAATCACACAGTCCTACAAGGAAGTATTATTAATCCCACTTTAGAGTTCAAATCACTGAGTCCAGAGTGGTTAGGTCGGTTACCTGGGGTCACAAACCTGGTAAGCAGCCAGCTCAGAATGCAAGCACAGGTCCCACTGGCTCCAGAGCCTGTGATCTTCCCACTCCAACCCCCTTTCTGCCCCTGCCTCTGGTTAGTGCCATTCCTCCTCCCTGGGTGTGGGAATTCAGTGATCTGCAAGAATGCCACAAAACTCCCCTATAAATCAGCTTTCTTTGAACAAGCTTCTTGCCAACAGGGCCTGGCAGAGTGACAATTCAGAATACATTATGATGCTATTTACCTCTCCCACATAAATGCCAAAGTATACTTTGGGGCTGTCAAGGTGGAAGAGGGAGGTTTCATTTACCTTCCAATTAAGATGCCCTGTTTGAGGCAAATCCTTATTTGGATATTGGGATCCAGGGCCAGCAATCCTCCTTTGAAGCCTCCAAATTAATCATGCTTAACTCAAGTCAGCCCAAGAGACAAGCAGCAGGAGCACCCAGGGGCAAGGTGAGAAACCCTAGGATTGTGCATGGACCAGTTTAGAGGCAAGGTCCATGGGATTAGGTGAGGGAGTCTTTACAAAATGAATGTGGTAAGAAAACTTGGCTTGCAGCTGGGCATGGTGGCTTATGCCTGTAACCTAGCACTTTAGGAGGCCGAGGCGGGTGGATCACTTGAACCCAGGAGCTCAAGACCGGCCTGGCAACATGGTAAAACTCCATCTCTACCAAAAAAAAAAAAAATACAAAAATTAGATGAGCGTGGTGGGGCATGCCTGTAGTCCCAGCTACTTGGGAGGCTGAGGAGGGAGGATGGCTTGGGCCCAGGAGATGTAGGTTGCAGTGAGCCAAGATTGTGCCAATGCCCTCCACCCTAGTAAACAGAGCTAGACCCTGCCTTAATTTAAAAATCTTCTTTAAAAAGAAGCCTTGTCTTGCCTGTGACCACCTCTCCCAGACACATCCTGGATGAGTTGTATAATCTGTGGGACCAAGAGCAAAATAAAAATGTGGACTCCTTGTTCGAAATGATTGAGAATTTCAAGACAGTGACAACAGAACTTTAGATGAAGCACAAGGCCCATGAATCCAGCCCTGTCCATACCCAACCTCTTCCTCAACTCCCAGAAATGGATTCACCTCGGATGAGGACTGTGATTTGCCAGATCTGCTAGCTGGCTCAGCTCAGGGTACACAGCCCTAGGAATAGAATATGACCAAAAGAAAGGCAAGAACAGAGAAATGAGGTATGGGCAACCCAAAGATGGATGGGACCTCAGTAGATCACATTTTAAATATTTTCAGATTTAAACTGCTTCCTTAGACATTACCACCCACAAAACATAGCAAACATGCACACGCACACACACACACACAAATCCACATTAAAAACACAAAAACTTCTTGGAAAACATACTGACCCTGTCATATGTTGGCGAGGTTGTGGAGCAACTGGAACTCTCATATATTGCTAGTGGGAACCATGATATGGTGCAGCCCCTAGAGAAAACAGTTTGGCAGTTTCTTAAGAATTATACATTTACCATAGGGCATTTACCTGTATT